>NC_000024.10:23630755-24239247 GCF_000001405.40 Homo sapiens
CGTACGCCCAATAAAATCCTCCTGTTCCACCCATTGGTCTCTCCTGTCCCTTAATTCCCACAAGAGTGGGAGCTTTGTCCTTTGTTTCAGGGATGAGCAAACAGCCAGGCTCTTTTCTTTTGGGACCAAAGTATTTCATCCTCAAATATGAAAGTAATTTTCTCAAGGAAAGCCACCTCTTACTCCCTCCCAAACATTGGAAATACATCTTAAAAATATTTCCAAAATGTCTGGTTAGCAGTTTCTTGGGTATAGTCATGGCATTCAGTAACATATAGAATTACTTAAAGAGGCAAGGGATTTTGAGAAGTTTGATTTTGCTTATTCCAGAATAAATGCGTTTTGGAAACCACTCTGTAAGACCTGATCTAGAGCCTGTCTCTGCTGGGCAGTTTCCTTGGGGCTGATCATACAACAGTGAATCAAACCAAGCTCGTGTCATCCTGAATTTCTAGACACTGAGGCAGATGGTCAGCAAACCATTACCCAAGACTGTAGTAGAGTTGGGCTGAAGCAGATGAGTAGGGGCCATGGCTACAAGAGGGAGTTTTGACCGGCAGCCATTTGTCACAGACCTGGGAAAGGGACTGAAACAAGGTAATAAGATAAAGGAATTCAACTGAATAACTTGGTGTTCTGCCTCTGAGGTGGAATGTAGATTATAATACTGGATTTAGAAATTATTTACTGGGTGCAGTGGCTCTTTTGGAGGCTGAGATGAGTGCATCATGAGGTCAGGAGATTGAGACCATCCTGGCTAACGTGGTGAAACACCATCTCTACTAAAAATACAAAAATTAGCCAGGCATGGTGTCATGGGCTTGTAATCCCACCTACTTGTGAGGCTGAGGAAGGAGAATCAATTGAACCCAGGGGGTGGAGGTTGCATTAAGCTGACTGCTCAACTGCACTCCAGCCTAGGTGAAAGAGTGAGATTCAATAATAATAATAATAATAATAATAATAATAATAATAATAATATAAAAAAACATTATTAAGCAGCATAGTGAGTAACATTGGTGTTACTGAGAATTTTTTATATTCATCATTTCACTTCTTCTAGCCTCAATGGAAATTGAAAAGGCTGAAATATGCTCTCTCTGATGCAAGGGGCACAATGGACATACTTCATTTCTTTCCGTTGTGTCCAAAGAGGTTTCAGTATTCCACCACGTAGGTACAAAATATAAACCAGAGCAGTGAAGTAGTTTTGCTTCCTTTCTTCCTTAATAAAGAGGTGCTTAAATAATATTACTATCTTGAAATTACTATTTCATATAAGAAAGCAATCTCATTTATAAGTAACTTTTTTCTTCTTGTTCTTCTAGCACACAGAAAGTTGCCTTTCTACTTGCAGAAATGATTAACTGTCTCTTAAGGTATTTTAATTTCATGAGAAGGATTGAGAAGAGATGGTGGGTGGAGACAGAGAAAAAACTGTGTTGCTTTTCTCCTGTTTTTGAAACTAACTCAGTCCCTGCTGATGACTTTAGAACAAGGCAGAGCAAAAAGGTTCATGACCCTCTGGTGAACCTATAAATTCTTCTGTATATTTGCATTGCTTACTCATAAAAAAATAGGTTATGGGTAGAACTGGAAGAGAAAGGTCAGCATAATTGTTTCTGAGAATGAGGTCTATTTAAACATTTGAGATGTAGGGACCCGTGCCATGATGCAGAGGGAACAGACAATTTGTTGAAATATGGGCCTTCCCTGGAAGAGATAGAAACAGAAGAAACAAGTATGTGTATATTTTCAAGAAGCAGGTACAAGATATTGCACAATTAATGTGCTGGAGTGATTACTTTTCACTTCAGAAATAAGGAAGAGTTGGAATTTCAGTTTGGTCTCCAACAGCATATCACCCTTTATGACAGAATGGAAATGTCACCAGCTGAGGAGATAGTGAAGGCAAATGCCAAGCAAGGAAGCTACAGCCATAGTCAGACCCCAGAAAATGGGTTGGTACAGATGAAACATTTGTAGTACAATGTTGGTGGTGTTATGTGAAATCAATCTGGAAAGAAAAAGGCAGATTATCAGAGCCCAGAATACCATGGCATTGGACTCTACCAGAGCAGAGACACTGTACATGAGATACAATCTTCCCCTCAGGGAATGCCTGGTGCAGATGACCACAGGTTTCTCGCAGGCAGAGACTGAATTCACAGAGAGCCTTGACAGGGCTGTTTCAGTATTCCAGGCAGATGATGAGGAAGACCCCTCTTGCAGCCACAGGACAGAGAGTGTGAATGTGCCAGGGCTAGTTACTGGGTGGATGGAAGATGGCTCATGAGCGAAGGACTGGGATGATCACTCCTGGGATGAAGCTGGTGCTGTGGAGTTTCTACATGTGTATGGAAAGAAACTATCAGAAATGTGGATGGGAGGCTAGGTATAGAGATCAGGAGTGGAGTAAAAGATATGGAAAGGATCCACATCAGAGTAATCGCTGAAACTCTAAGAAGGGCTGCCGTCCATTTGCAAGACTCAGTTTCAACACAAACAAAAAATTAAGAATAATAATAAATTTAAAAAAGAGCTGAAATAAGAGGCTGTCAATGTCAGCTAGTTGGCTGTAGAAGAACCAAACAGTGAAGGTGGCTGCCAGTCCAAGGTTGCTTCCAGGGGCATACATTGCCTCCCTCCTTCCTCTGGTTCTCTGCTTCCCTTCTATATTCTGATTCTGGCCTAGCAGATAAATTTATCTGTCCAATTAATAGACCTGCTAAGTCTTGCTTGAATTACAGCAACATATGAATGTTCCTTAGATTCCTGGTTAATTCAAATCTGAAGCACAGGACACTTGAGGGAAATTAATCACTTCCTTCATTGAGATGACCTATTTGTTTTCCATTGATGATAGCAATGATTCCAATTTTAAAAATTAGTTCACTGGCATACACGATGGAATTATAGTACTGCATTTTTAAACACTTAAAATGTTTTATAAATGTGTTTGTGTATTTTGTGCTTTCATGCCCATCTGTTTTAGAGAAGATGATTCTGGAATCAATGAAGATGTTCGACAGCTTCTCCAGTCACAGAATTTCTCATTCATTACACTAAAAAGAGCTGTTTTTCTAAGCTTATATTTCCTAAATTTTAAATGAGTATAACCTATCATATTGATTAACTCCAGGCCTACTCTTTAAAGATTAAGCTATTTTCTTTCCTCTCCAGTGAAGGACTGCCATCTGTAAAATGAGGTCATCTTTTGCCGGCACATTTCAGTTTTCTCCCGGAACATAAAAACACACAGAAATTCCTAGGCTTTATGAATAGTACAATATTGCCTCTGATCTTTACATTTAATACCTGTGGTTTGAATGTGTGTGTCCCTCCAGAGTTCATATGTTGGAAGTTAAACCCTCCAGTGTGATAGAATTAAAAGGTGGGGGCTTCTGGAGGCAATTAAGAGTGCAATTAGCAACCCTATAAAAGGGCTTAATGGAAATAACTGGGCCCTTTTGCCCTTCCACCATTTAAGGATACTTTATTTGTCCTCTCTGGAGAACACAGCAACAAGATACCATCTTGGAAGCAGAAACTAGGCCTACGCCAGGCATTGAACCTGCCAGTGCCTTTACCTTGGGCTTCCCAACCTCTAAAACTGTAAGAAACATATTTCTGGTTTCATAACTTACCCAGTCTAAGGTATTGTGTTATAGGAACAGGAAGATACTGAGATAGCATCTTTATTGTGGAAACTTTGGTCATAATACTTCATGAATTGGCTTCAAGTATTTCATTAGTTTATAAATATAGGGTTCCTTCCCAGGTGGCAAGATCACTTTTGACAATTTAGAGACTTCTGGTGATCCTATCTATTACTTACACTTTCCTCTGTTGATTTGTGTGAATTAAATAATTGCACAAATTGTTACTTAAACAGAAGGTAGTATGTAGTGTGACAAATAGTACACCAATTGAACTGTGTACTCTTCTCCTGCCATGCATGAATGAAAGGAGATGATCCAGAGTCAGAACCTGAATTAGAGATGGCCATGTGTCAATAGTGATAAAGACTATGAGGCACTAAGAAATGTCAGATGCAGAGAACCCAAATTTAGAATCATGTTGACAGATAAGGAGTTCAAACAGATTATTAAATAAAATCCTGAGTAACATATTTAGCTCTGCTATTCTAGAGAGTAACTGTTAGAACCAGGTTTTTTTTTTTTATATATTCCTGAGTAAACCTTTCCATAGAATTTTGTACTATTGATTTGAAAAAATAACCAACTACACAGGGAAACTTATTGTTGTACTTTGCCCAAGTTTAAGCCTTGTTAATCTTACTGGTAGATAGATTTTATTTGTTGCAAAACTGGTCATAAAACGTATAACTTTATACAGAGAACTACAGAAGTGTTAGTGGCACTTTTATGCCCAATACAGCCCAGTGGATTATAATATTTTCTTAAATTGCTGAAGAGATTTTTGCCAAAAATAAAACAAGTAGCACTCACAGACTTGATTTTTATAACAACATGAAATCTTTACTATGCACATTATTCAAATGTGACACCATACTGGGGACAAAGATAGATTTATATATAGTAAAAAGGCAAGTAAATGAAGCTATAATATTACTTCATTACTCTTAGTACATCTACAACTATTTCCACTTATGGATGTCAGCAAAATAAGCATGCATAAATATTGACTATTTTCTACAAGTATTTATTGTAACGCTTGATTAGAACTATAGGAAGCGCTTGGCACTTGGGCACTGACGGAAGTTTTTTCTTTTTTTTTTTTTTTTGTTTTTTTTGAGATGGAGTCTGCCCTGTTGCCCAGGTTGGAGAGCATTGGTGCAATCTTGGCTCACTGCAAGCTTTGCCTCCCGGGTTCACGCCATCCTCTGGCCTCAGCGTCTGGAGTAGCTGGGACTGCAGGCACCTGCCACAACGCCCGGCTAATTTTTTGTGTTTTTAGTAGAGACTGCGTTTTACCGTGTTAGTCAGGATGGGCCCAATCTCCTGATCTCATGATCCACATGCCTCGGCCTCCCAAAAGTTCTAGGATTCAAGGACTGAAAATGTTGATTCACTTTTAGATTATGACAATTTATACACAGCAAAATTTAATGCTCTTTACATAAAAAATATTAGACTACTTAAACAAAACTTTCAAAAATTCCTGCAGCTACCAGAATTAGAAAAGTAAAATTAGGGTTGAGACACTCCCCTTCTAGAAAACTGGACTTCAATGCATCACCACTGCTGGAAAAAATAGTCATGGAACAGGAAAACAAACAGTGAGATACTTTGAAATAGCCATTCTGCACAGAAGAGAGCTTCTCTCAATTAAAAAAAAAATCCCAAATAATAAAAAAACCCCCAAAACTCTACCGATATATGATACTTGATGTTCAAGTTTAATAGCATGCTGATAGAGGTGTGCTTCCTTACTCAATTTTGAATACATTTCTGCACATGTATATTATAAAATTCAGGAAACAGCCAAATCACAAGTTAATTCTTGACATGAATTTACAGTTAATCCTATTCTAAGCAGCACATTTGAAAGCACTGATATACCCAACAGTTACACAGATTATTTCATAATGAAAAACACAAAGTTTACCATCACTAATACCCAGTAACTATAGTCACTTAATGTCTGCTACTCAATAATAATGCAGAAGGCAAGCTTGTATTGAAACTGGCTTAAACTCAAGTACTTTTCTTGCTAAACATCAAACTTTATTATTCCAGGAAACTAAGATTTAGATTAAACAAATAAATACTAAACCTAATTTAAATTCTGTCTTCGAGTCTATAAAAGTAAGAGATTAGTGGCCTATGGTCAGTTTAAATTTAGGTTTTAGAGAGTTGGTATGAAACTGTTTAACTAGACCACTGAAATGGTTAAAATTGGGGGGTCATTTTAATAAAGTAACATTTTCTATTTAAGAAAAATATTTATGGAGCAAAATTACATGAAACATATTTGGGTCTGTGGTTGTGATACAAATTCTTAGAAATTTAAACATATCCTCCTTAAGATGGAGCTGACATTTTTATCCCAAGGATAATGAAAAATGGATGAGTATGTTGTTGGAATATAACCTATTAAAAAATTGCTTTTGGAAATCTTGTGAATGAGTCTTAATCCAGATCTGTTAGGAGTAGATTATAAAATTGCATTTGGAAAGCTAATCAATGAGTCAGAATCCAAATTCTTCTGTAGTGGAGTCAGCATAATTGTTGCTAATTTTTGCATTTTTGAAAAATATTTTCTTATTGGCTGAGGAAATTAAGGGAGCCTGGACTTGGGAAGAAAAGCTAATTTGAAAAGTCAGTCATAAAAATCACATTATCTTTGAGGCAAAGTTTAATAAATGCCAGCTCTAAGAATTGAAACTTCACCCCTATTCCATTTTATTTCCTATGTAGATAGCAGTTATTTGAGGATAGATGGCGTATATGTGAATTCGTGGTCTCATCCCTTGAAAGCTGGCATGTTACAGGTCCCTATCAAGAAGCATCACATATTCCAATGAGTGTCTTAATAGAACTGCTCTAGCAACAAATGTGAACATGCCACAAATTTCCGGAGTATGAACAATCATTTTAACAAAGGGTTGCCTTTTAAAATTGCTAACTTAAAACCTCTCATATTTTTTCTGAATAAAAAGATTTAACCACTGGGAAGTTTTCCTTGGAGATACATCCCAGTAGCTTGAGATAGAAAGTGAGGTATTTGAACATTTACATTAGTTTGGTGGAATACATATGTTTACTGCAGAGCAGCCATGTGATGATTTGTCAGAGCTGTAAATGCTTCAGCTGAAACACTCTGCCAAATATTTATGTGTAAGAATTGAGTTATTCATTTTACTACGACTTGATATCTTGCAGTTCCTGTTCCTTCTTTGCTTGGATATCTTCACAAGCCTGCATTGTGTTGGCATCCAAGTAAGCTCTGTTAGAAGACAGTATCATGAGAATGTGGATCTAGAAAAGAAGGGTGAGTAGGATGTCTAGAGAGCATGTGAGAAGGCAAAGCATCATGCTAGTTAGGTTAGATGGAGTTGACGTTGAAGGGGAAAAGTGTTATTCTGTATTAATATTTGCTCTATTGCAGAGCTGTGAAATTCTGAAAACATGCTCTACTACTTGGCTTCACATTTTGAAACTGAAGAAAAGTAAGTACACAAACATTGCAAAGTGTTTCTATTGATGACTAAATGTCTGTATACTCATTAGTCTAGATGAGTCACATATATAACACATCTCACTACAATTGGGGCTTGTCTATATAAATAGATATTCATAAAATTTGCCTCAGATGTATATTGTGATAATGCTACTGAGGAATTTATGTTTGTGACTGTTATATTATCTTTAAAATTTTTTAATATTTTGATGTTTCATATTTTGTCTGTTGCCTTGCATCTATAGTTCTCCATCTTTATTCCTTGCATTTTTTCTAAAATTCTCATTTTCCTTATATAATAACAGTGGCCTAATTTTTTTGGATAAATACTTGTTAATTTTTTCTAAATCCTTATTTTCAATATTTCAGTGTGATTATTCCTAGGTGAAAGCAAATTTTTATCAATCTAACGGTAGAGTATTTTATATTTTAACACATGAGTTTAAACAGCTTACATCTAATATGGTTACTCTCTTATCTAAATAACTAACACCTGCTCAGTCAGTTTTTCATTTACCCTAGATTTTCTTTGGCTCTGCCTTTGCCTCCTATCTGCCTTTGTTCTTCTCTCCCTTTCCCCACCCGTCACCTGTTTTTCTAATTGTATTCATTTACTTTTCTTACTCGTATTTTTTTCTTTTTGTGCTTTTGACATTAATCACCAAATTTCTACAGTTTCTGTAGTTAATCAAATTCAAAAATCAAATTAAAAAAATCAGAAAATCAAATTAAAAAAATTAAAGAATCAAATTAAAAAAATTCAATAGCATTTTTTAAACAAAGTAAAACCTATGTCTAGCCCCGTTCAGAAAACAAAACAAACAAACAAACAAAAACTTCCTGCCTACCTCTTTTATTTTGAGATTTATTTTTCTCTTTGCTAAAATAAAATAAGCTTTATGTTTCTTTCTCTTGGTCTTTTGATAAGTCTTTAATATTGGCATAATCTTTGAGAGTTAAAAATATGTTTCTAGTAAATGATATTTTATGTGGATAAATATTTTCTGTAGAGATTATTTTCAAAATCTGTGTGTTTCCCTTTCTGTATATTTTTGTCTTCTTTTGTTTCTTGTAAATGTATATAAAACCTTCCACCACTGAGTTCCACTTTCCTGACTTCTGTTTCATTTACGGTCACCAGGTATAATACAGGATTACCAGTTATATTTTCATTTTAAATAAGCAAATAGCATTTTAGTATAATTCTCAATATTCTAGTAACTTACTAAAATTCTCGTTATCTCATGGGACAGGCTCATACTGAAAACAAATTCTTTATTGTTTGTCAAAAAGTAATCAAATTTTAAATTGAAATGTTATGTCCCTGCACCTGGCAAACTTACTACAGATCAACATAGGAAAGTACTTTTCCTACTGTACTTGTTCGGGGTCTACTGCAGAAGAAACAAACAAACAAAATATTATTTGAGTTCCTTTAATATATGGTTGATTTTTCAATAATGTATAATTGTCTATTTAAAAAAGATTATTTTTTTCCTCCTACCCACATCTTTTTTCCTTTAGATTCCATTTCTTCATCTCAGAGAACTCCTAAACCTACTCATTATGAAGACTTTTTTGATTCAACTTTTTATCCTTGAGTATGACCATTAAGTGTGTCTTCCTTTGCTACCCCTTAGGACATGGAACATCCATCTGTGAATTGTTAATGTCGTCTGTGAAGTGATAAAGCAATCTTTAGTTCTTGAGTGTAAAGTGATTCTTAGTGGGGCAGTTTTGTGTTAACCTTTTTAGGTTTTTAGGAACTTAATTGTTCAATCTAGTATTGTATACCCATTTCTGCCTTTGGGGACCTTATATTTTGTAGGCAACATGAAACAATCTAACCTCAGTCTTGAATATACCACAGGATAGAGGTTGAGATATAAATCTTTCTCTCATGTATTTGAATACAAACCTCATTCTGTGTTAGATCCTAGTATCTGTGAGACATGACTCTCTGTACTGACTTAAGTATTTTACCAAAATGTCTGAATCATGCTTTCTTCCACCAATTATTTAGGCAGGGTGCCCAACCCCACTGGACACAGAAATGGTCTCTTTCCTGAAAATATATCTAAATTTACTCCTCAGTTTACTGTATCAATGAACTGTCAGGTTTATTCTCACACTAATATTGCTGGAGTCCAAACCTCAGGGATGTTTCTTTTCTTGATAGTCAGTGTGTTATTCTTTTTTAAAATTTTATCTTACACTTAGAAGCTCTGGCTTTCATAGGAGTTGTTTTTGCAGCTTTTAACTTTGCTCCAGTGAACTGAAAAATAAACGCTTGATTTCTATTAAATCATTTGTCACTTAACAAATAAAATCTCTGACAAAGGTCTTTCTACTATAACCCTTCAGCATTTGAGGAAGAACACATTTTTGCTTATATTTTCTGGAAGTCTTCCCAATTTTGTTTTATTTTGAAGGGTAGGATATGTATTTTATAATTTTTTCATTGATCTATATTATTAATATGCTCTAAATCATTGGCTATTTTACATATATTATAAAGGCTTTGTTGGGAACAGGCCCCAAAATCTGGTCATAGATTGGCCCCAAAACTGGCCATAAGCAATATCTCTATAGCACTGTGACATGCTTCTGATTGCTATGATGACTACAATGAAGGTTGTTTATCAGAATGAAGGCCAAGGACACCTGGCACACCCAGGGCAGAAAATCACTGAAGGTATTCCTGAACCACAAATAATACCATGAACGATCTGTGCCTCAAAGACACTTTCCCACTGCAGATAACTAGCCAGAGCCCATCCTTTGTCTCCTGTTTTAGTTAACCTGTAATCTATAGAAACAATGCTTATCACTGGCTTGCTGTCAATAAATATGTGTGTTAAACTCTGTTTATGGCTCTCAGCTCTGAAGGCTGTTAGCCCCCTGATTCTCACTGTGCACACTATATTTGTGTGTGTGTGTGTGTGTGTGTGTCTTTAATGCCGCTAGTGCCATTGGGTTATGGTTTCCATGACCGAGCTGGCCTCGGCAAGTGGTGACTATACGGGGTCTCAAATCCAGGTCAAAGGTCACAGGAGCAATGGTTGGAGAATGTAGGACTACACTGGAGGACATCTGGCTACTCTTAAGCAATCGCCATAGTGAGTTAGAAGGGGAGTTTGGAAGCATCAGGTTAACAATGGGACAAGTCCAGGTTCTGGTTTGTTCCACCTTGGAACATTTTCACATTGATGATTAGGAGGAAGGAGAGTATAGCAAAGTAACAGAAGAGGTGACAGAACAGGTTTGTTTGCCAGCTAAAGCTAAAGTGGCAAAGGAGAGAGAGGTTTGTCTCTGCCCTTCTTCACTCCCTCACTATTTTGAAGAAAAAGAGTGGTCTGACCCTGTAGATCTTTCTTTTCTGGAACCCACTGACCAAAAACTAGTTGCCCCATGATTGTTCAAGCAGTGCCATGAGCAATTGCTCTTCGTTCTATTCAGGCAGGAATTCAGCAACCTAGACGAGAGGGTGATATAGAGGCTTGGCAGCTCCCTGTTAGGATACATGCCCCAGGTCAACAGGGAAATATTATCACTACTTTTGAGCCTTTTCCTTTTAAATTACTCAAAGAATTTAAACCAGCTATTAATCAATATGGACCAGGTTCTTCTTTGGTAATGGTACTGTTAAAGAATGTTGCTGTCCCCAGTCAGATGATTCCTACTGAATGGGATGCTCTTACGTGAGCTTGCCTGACTCTCGCTCACTTTTTACAGTTTAAAACTTGGTGAGGAGAAGAAGCTTTTTTCAGCCTTCTCACAATGCGCAGGCCCAACCTCAAATTAATATAACTACAGACCATCTTTTGGGGGTAGGCAGCTGCGTTGGTTTGGATGCACAAGTGGTCATGCTGGGTGATGCCATAGAACAGCTTAGAGGAGTATGCATTAGAGTTTGGAAAAATAACTTCAGGAGGAGAACAATATCTTTCCTTTAGTGCTATAAAACAGGGACCAAAAGAACCATATGCAGATTTTATAGCTTGGTTATAAGAGTCTCTTAAAAAATGACTGCAGATTTAGCTGCTGAGGATATAGTGTTGCAGTTATGAGCTTTCGACAATGAAAATCCATATTTCCAGGTGGCTCTGTGACCTATTAGAGGGAAAGCACATTTAATTGACTATATCAAGGCCTGTGATGGTATCAGAGGTAATCTGCATAAAGCTACTTTGGTGGTGCAAGCCATGACAGGACTGAAAGTGGGTAAAGGAAATACTCCATTTCCTGGAGCTTGTTTTAACTGTGGGAAGCATGGTCACACTGGAAAAGAATGTGAAAAAAATCAGTGAGTCAGGCCACAAGTTGAGGGATAAAAGGAAAACTGCTGAGCCTGGAATATGTCCAAAATGCAAAAAGAAAATTACTCGGATAATCAGTGTCACTCTAAGTTTGATAAAGATGGAAACCTGATTTTGGGAAATGCCAGGAGGGGCCGTCCCAGTCCGCTTTCTAAACCAGGGCATTTCCAGCTCAGGAAATGCCCTATATTTCATCTCAAAAGGTGGAGTTTGCAGCTGTAATTGAGGTATGGACTTGTTTTAGTATGCCTATAAATGTGATTTCTGATTCTTCATATGTGGTTCATTCTACACAGTTACTTGAAAATGCTCAGCTATGATTCCACACAGATGAGCAACTGATGACTTTATTTACCCAATTACACACAGCAGCTAGAAGTAGAATGAACCCTTTTTGCATTACTCATATTAGAGCTCATAAACCTCCTCCAGGACATTTGACTGCAGGGAATCAAATGGCTGATCCGCCAGTTGCTACTACAATATCTAATGCCAGACACTTTCACAATTCAACCCATGTTAATGTTTTTGGTCTCAAACACAGTACAGCATTATCTGGAAAGAAGTGAAAGCTATTATCCAGCGATACCCAACTTGCCAAATGGTGCATTCCTCATCTTTTACAGGAGGAGTTAATCCTCGAGGATTGGGACCTAATTCTCTTTGGCAAATGAATGTCACACATTTTCCCTTGTTTGGGAGACTAGCTTATATACATGTATGTGTGGACACATTTTCTCACTTTGTCTGAGCTACTTGCCAATCAAGAGAGTCTTCTGCCTGTGTTAAATGTCACCTTTTGCAGTGTTTTGTGGTGATGGGCATTCCAGCTTCTTTAAAAAGGACAGTGACCCAGGCTATAGTAGCCAAGTTCTAGCTACATTTTTCTCTATATGGAATATTAAACACATTACTGGTATCTCATATAATTTTCAAGGACAAGCCATAGTGGAAAGAATGAATCTCTTCCTTAAACAACAGTTGCAAAAGCAAAAGGTGGAAACAGGGACTGTGGGATGCCACATATGAAATTGAATCTAGCATGATTTACTCTAAATTTTTTGAGCTTGTCTAGGACCAGATGCTATCTGCAGCCAAACAGCATCTACAGAAGCCAGCTGCAAAGATAGAAGCAGAAAAACTGGTTTGGTTGAGAGATCCAATAATGGAAAGTTGGGAAATAGGTAAAATAATAACATCGAGTGGAGGTTATGCTTGTGTTTCTCCAGTACCAAATCAACTGCCAATGTGCATGCCATTGAGACATCTAAAGCCCTGCTATGAGCCAGATACCAAGAAAGTGGTTTTGAGAGGATTCCAAAGACACATCGGTGGCAGTCTTGTCTAAGTTGACCCTGAGGAGGACCCCAAATATCATGAGCAACACCCATCAAAAGCAGCCACCCACCTGAGGACAGATCAAGAAGCTGTCACAGATGGTGAGAGAAAATCTGAGGTGGGACAACCAGTCCCAGTGAGTAATTTAATGATAGCTATCAAAGCGGTGATCACCATTGCCATGAGTATTTCTTTAACAGAACTGACACAGTCCTGTCCATGCTGACACACATGCTTTCTGGTCTCAGTATATTTCATAATAAATCTGCTCCTATAATTGAGGCATACCACCCTTAAAAACCTGTTTGTAAACAGAGCTGGACGTGGCCAGAGAAAATGAATGTACTTGTTTGGGAAAATTGCATTGCAGAACAGACTGAGGTGCTGTGTAACAATTCCTAGGGAATCCTTATTGTTTGGCCCCCTAAGGGGATGTTTACCTTAAATTGCAACTCTCAGTCTATGTGCCACAGCCACATTATGTTCAGCTGGTCTGAACAAAGCCATCAGATGGTAAAAATGGTAAGAAGTACCGCAAGAGTTCCTCTGGAAACATGGCGGTATAATGGCACCTCAACCTCAAATGATATGGCTCGCTCTAGGAGCTAAAAATAAGGATTTGTGGAACCTATTAATGGCTCTTCGTAGTATAAACATTTGAGAAAGAATAAAAAAGCATCTAGAAGGACACTCTATGAACATGTCTTTGGATATTGTAAATTAAAATAACAATTATTTGAAGTATCCCAGGCACACTTAACCTTAATGCCAGGAACAGGGGTACTTGAAGGAGCTGCAGATGGATTAGCAGCTACTAATCCAATAAAATGGATAAGAACTCTTGGAGGTTCTGTGATTTTAATGATGATTGTGCTTTTAGCCTCTGTTGTTTGTCTTTGTATAGTCTGCAGATGCAGATCCCGACTCCTGCGAGAAGTAGCTCAGAGTAGTAAAGCTGCATTTGCTTTTATTGTCTTAGAAAAACAAAAAAAGAAGACATGTTGGGAAAAGGCCCCCAAATTTGGCCATCGACAGGCCCCAAAACTGGCCATAAGCAAAATCTCTGAAGCACTATGACATGCTCAAAATAGATATGACGTCTACACTGAAGGTTGTGGGTTTACCAGAATGTGGGCAAGGAACACCTGGCCCACCCAGGGCAGAAAACCACTTAAGGTGTTCTTGAACCACAAATAATATCATGGGTGATCTGTGCCTCAACGACATGTTCCTGCTGCAGATAACTAACGAGAACCCCTCCCTTTGTCTTCCATTTTACTGAATCTATAATCTATAGAAACAACGCTGATCTCTGGCTTGCTGTCAAGAAATATGTGGGTAAAACTCTGTTCATGGCTGTCAGCTCTGAAGGCTGTCAGCCCACTGATCCCACTCTGCACTTTAGATTTCTGTGTGTGTGTCTTTAATTCCTCTAGTGCCACTGGGTTAAGGTCTTCACGACCTAGCTGATCTCAGCAGACTTCTCTAAGAATATTTAATTTTGGTGAAGACTTTATTTTATAAAACCACTTTATTGTAGGTAAATCATATCATGTCATTCTCTATAATCATATCTTCCCATGTTTTGCGTTATGAGATTTGGTTTGCATGGAACTTTCAAAGCCGTTCTCAACCATTCACTTCCTAGGATTTCCAGTTACGATGCAACAGCCCAGTGTTTCCTCTAAACAACTAAAACACCATGGATATAACGAGAAAAAAACAAGGACAGGCTCTGAAAGGCAGAAAGAGGAAGGCAGTTTGTCTAGGGACTTTAGGACTTAAAGATTGATAACATTGTCACTTTTCTGGGTTTTCCTATTTTCTTCCATATATCACAGATGATGGACTGTAGAAGCTTCCAACACAGAATCTCCAATAGGCACAGATAAAAAGGACTTCAAGCAAATCCTGTTCTCTCTCAGCCAAAGGACCAGGAGAGGATGGCCTAACCATACACAATCACACAAAACATTTCTAGGGGTAATAACCAAGCTATTCCAGACAAACGCTACGAGAAAAAAAAAAAAAAAAGCTAGTATTGCCATTTGTGTGGAGCCATATACAAAGACAATCTTCTCACGGGGCAGTAATGCTTGATTCTCCATAAAGTCAAAGTAGGCAGCAATTTTTTTTTTTTTTTGAGCTGGAGTTTCTTTTTTGTTGACCAGGCTGGAGTGCGATGGTATGCAATCTCAGTTCACTGCAAGCTTCACCTCCTGGGTTGAAGCAATTCTCCTGCCTCAGCTCCCTGACTAGCTGAGATAACAGGAATGTGCCTCCACACTGAGCTAATTTTCCATTTTTTGTAGAGTCGGGGTTTCTCCATGTTAGCCTGGTTTTGAACTCCTGACCTCAGGTGATCCACCTGCCTCGTCCTCCCAGAATGCTGAGATTACAGGCGTGAGCCACCACATCTGGCCAGAGGGAATCTTCTATCACCCTCCCGGAGAAAGCAGAGGAGAGCATTCCAATTCCCTTATGTCAGGAGTCTCTGGTAGCAAGCTGATCATCTAGGTTGACTCAACAACAACAATTTTTAAAGGGCTAGAGCTGATTAGGACTGATTGCACTGTGTGGTTTGACTGCCTCCGCACCACCCTCCTCTATTCTATCCTGTCAGTGGGCTTTAGTGGAGAGTTAACCATCTACCACCACCCACCCTCCTAGGAACTGAACAACTGAAGTAAATCCAAACTAATTAGCACTCTGCTATTTTCCCACACTGCAGGTCAACAGGACCCCAAATTAGCAACTGTATGATCTACAACTGCTCCAAAGAACATCAAATGTTTTGATATGCATTTAAACAAAAGAAAACATGTATGAGATCTATGTGCTGAAACATGTAAAACACTGGTGAAAGAAATCAAATAGAGATAATGAGAGATACACTGTGTTCATGGATATGAAGACAATATATCCTGTTAATTTTCCCCAGCTTGATCTATATATTTGGTGAAATTCCTATCAGTATCTCAGCAAGAATTTTTGCAGACAAAGCAAACTTACTCACCATGATAGCTAAGACAATTATGAGTATACAAGTATATAGTGGGAGAAATTCATCAACATTTCTAAGACTTATTACACAGCTAAAATGAACATAACAGTTTGGTATTGGCATAGAAATAGATTCATATAAAAATGGAGCAGAAGAGAAGGCCCAGGAATAGAGCCACACTGGTGTGGATATGACCAAGTGATATGACACAAATCTGGCAAGCAGAAATCAGTGGAGGAAAAACAGCCTTTAAACAAATGGTGCCAGGGCACGTGGATATTTATAAATTTAAGAAATAAAGCCATAACATAAATCTTATACTACAGAAATTAACTCAAAATGTCTCATGAATTTCAATGTAATATAAAATTACAACACATTTTATAAAACGTTTTCAGAAAAAAAGAACGTAAAAAAATTCAAGCTTCTTAGTTGTAGCAAAATGTTATTATATTTGATACCAAATGCATAAGCCATAAAAGTAAAAAAAAAGATTAACTGTATCAAATCAAAATTAAAAACTGCTGCTCTGTGAAGGATCTTATGAAGACATTCAAAAGCCAGTCTGCTAAAGAAAGGAGTACCCTTCTTGCTGATTGCTGTAGACAACGGGAGGAGAGCAGTACCCTCTCCGCTGAGAGCAGCAGCTGCAACAGAGAGCTTCACAGACCTGCAGAGACATCTAAATGACTTGCCGACAGAGAGGAGCCTCTCTCTCTAGAGTGAACACACCATAGGAAGACCTGCCTATAGAGGAGAGCTACCCACTCCTTTGTGAGGTATTGCTCCTCACAAGAGGGCACTAGCTTCAGGGGTCTGCCCGCAGACCCTGACCCAAATTGCAGATGGATAAACCACACACTAGCACATAGATACTCTGTTTTGCCAGTCTAGCTGAATGTCTGAGCACCTGCATGACAAGAAAAGTTTGTTACTGAGGCCGGCCCTGAGCAGCTCGCACTCCAGGCATTTATTTAGTATACAATTAACAACAGAAGCTTTGAGTCAGCACACTTGTGGATAATTAACCTGGCTGAGAGAGTAGACCTATGAATGATTAAAGCTCAGGTACCGTGGTCTAAAGTAAATTACAGTATGGGGCAATATCCTTGGTCGACCTCCCTCCAATTGAATAATTGTTCAATTATTACAAGCTATGTAATCTTTCGGCCTTCCAAAAAGTTTGTGACTATTCCCTATACCTTTCCATAATATTTCCATTTCATATTTCTGCCACCGTACTGAAGGAATCCCAACACTTTGAACCGTTTTAATGCCAAATAGAACTCTGCTTCTTCTTTACCCTTCACCTGTCTGTGTACCTCATTCTTCCTGCAAACAGGACAAGAAGTCAAGCAAAGGCATCATGGCCACAGAAGTTTCTGGCAAGAAAAACTGACACCATAGTGATCCTTTAACAGTAGCACTAACATTTCTGTGTGAGATTTTTATTTGAAAGTTAAACATTTGGGGAAATGTTAGGAAACTCTGAACCATATTATGACATCCTATTTGTTCATTTGTAGCTGGCTTTGTCTGATACCACCATAACAAAGGAAAGTGTATGCTTGTAAAGGAAGGGCACAATTCCAAATTCTCTTCTTCACTTCCTTTGACATCCAAGGCAGCCCTTCTAGCTACTGATAAAAAAATATGCAGATTCCAGCTTCAACCTGGGTGTTACTTGTACCTCCCTGGCTAGAAGCAGAAGGGTGTCCCCATATGGCAGCATTGAAAACTCTAACTCTCTACTTTCCCTTATGTGATTCCACTCCAGCAGAGGGTTGGGGTGCCTCATTACTGCCTGGTGCTCTCTATGTTTCAACTTAAACATTGTTGTCCTGGCTAGCTTTTTTGGTTTGCTTTGTTTTCTGTTGTAATGTTTGACTAAAGTAGGAAGGCTATTGTAAAAATATTTTTCTCTTTGTAAGGTGTCCCTTTCCTAGCCATGTGGCTATAGAAGTTGGGTTTTGGGAGAACTTTTTGCCTGTACTTATTTACATTTTTGGGTACCAGCTCCATTAGGATCAAGTCTGTGATAACACCAGGCAAAAAGAATCCAGGAAACTCAACCATCTTATCACTTGTTGCATCTTAAATTTCCTCACCCGTTTATCTTCTTGCTCCATCCTTCAGTCTTATGTTTGCTTTATATACATTATGTGGTGCTATTAATTGTATTTATGTAAGGGGGAAAGTACATTTGCTCCATCTACTTCATTACTCAAGTGATGACCCAAGATGAAGAACGTCCGTGATGTTCCTTTTGGGCAGAAAATTCAAAGTAGTTTTTGTTGTTGAAACAGTTTAGTTTAACCTAGATGGAGAGAGAATACCTAAGAAGGTACAAGGTCTTTGAATCCTAGAGGAAGCTAGGATATTTTCTGGGTTAGACTACTCCGTGATTGATTACATTAAAATCTTGTCAGGATGTTCCTCAAAATACAAAGAATTTGCAGAGAGTGGGAATGAACAGATATTCTAATCATGCTGATTACTTTACATTTTGCATTTGCTTTCTCTTTTTCCTCATTCACCCTCTCTCTACCCCTCCCTGTGCTTGTTTTATTGTTGCTTTTGTTGTTTTTTTGACACTTGCATTATTCTGGCCTTAAATTTACAATAATGTATTCCACATTTTAATCTGTCTCAGTCCATCTTTCATTACTTTATCCTCACTTTCTAAAATATCATTTTCTTTTTTCTTTGTTGTCTTGGGGTTCACCCAAGTTAATCTTTTCACTTTTTATTTATTTGGCATTATCCATTTTATTGTTGTCCATTCTTTTGAGATGAAGTCTTACTCTATCACACAGGCTGGAGTGCAAAGGCAGGATCTCAGCTCACTGCAACCTCCACCTCCCAGGCTCAAGTGATTCTCCTGCCTCAGCCTCCTAACTAGCTTGGATTACAGGCACACATCACCAGGCTTCACAATTGTTGATTTTTTAGAAAAGATATGGTTGCACCATGTTGGCCTTGAACCACTGACCTCAGGTGTTCTACCCATCTTAGCCTCCCAAAATGCTGAGATTACAGGCCTGAGCCATCACCACTGGCCTAATTTTTTTAAACATTCTTCATATTAACTATTTAACCATGTCCATCGCACTACCCTCTGAAAATCCAGCGTGAGAACTAAAAAGTTAATAGTATGTGGACATAGGTGAAATGATCTTTGTCTTGTGTCATGGTCTGCCAGGAAAGGAAATCAGGATTCCCTTTTTATAGCATTGATTCTAAATTTCTTCTACTTATGCACAATCTGAAAATATAGGCATAGGGTAAGATGGCACCACTAGGTTTCCATACTGAGGAATCTGTCTGACCAAATCCATACTCCATTCCAATTTCAGTTGTCCCAGAAAACTGAGTGATGAATCTTGTCAGGCCTTAGCTGGTGACACCAAATGTTGCATAATATACCAAATCCACAGTGAATGCTCCTTCTGAACAATTGTGCAGCTGGATCCCCAGTGTAAGCCATTTCAGCACAACAACTGGGAATCTCTACAGCAAATAAAGGAAGGAGTGGCAAAGATAAAGCTATTCTTTCAGGCAAGGACCTGCCAGTCAAAGCAGAAGATGAAAAATAATTTTTAGAAGAAGCTGGGAAAAATCACAACCAGACCTTTTTTTCCAAAATGGTGGAATAGGAACAGCTCCAATCTACATCTCCCAGTAAGACTGATGCAGACGATGGGTAATTTCTGCATTTCCCACTGAGGTACGGGGTTCACATCACTGGGACTTGTCAGACAGTGGGTGCAGGACAGTGGGTTCAGCGCACTGAGCATGAGCCAAAGCAGGGCAAGGCATCACCTCACCCAGGAAGCACAAGGGGTCAGGGAATTCCCTTTCCTAGCCAAGGAAAGCTGTGACAGATGGCACCTGGAAAATCAGGTCACTCTCACCCTAATACTGCACTTTTCCAATGGTCTTAGCAAACAGGACACCAGGAGATTAGATCCCACACATGGCTCGGAGGATCCCATGCCCACAGAGCCTCACTCATTGCTAGCACAGCAGTTGGAGATCCACCTGCAAGGTGGCAGTGAGGCTGGGGGAATGGCACCCACCATTGCTGAGGCCTGAGTAGGTAAACAGAGTGGACAGGAAGCTCGAACTGGGTGGAGCCCACCCCAGCTCAAGGAGGCCTGCCTGCTTCTACAGACTCCACATCTGGAGGCAGGACATAGCCAAACAAAAGGCAGCAGAAACCTCTGCAGACTTAAATGTCCCTGTCAGACAGCTTTCAAGAGAGTAGTGGTTCTCCCAGCACGAAGTTTCAGATCTGACAACAGACAGAGTGCCTCCTCACATGGGTCCCTGACCCCCAAGTAACCTAACTGGGAGGCATGCCCCAGTAGGGGCAGACTGACACCTCACATGGCTGGGTACCTATCTGAGATGAAACTTTCAGAGGAATGATCAGGCAGCAACATTTGCTGTTCAGCAATATTCACTGTTTTGCAGCCTCCACTGCTGATAACCAGGCAAACAGGGTCTGGAGTGGACCTCCAGCAAACTCCAGCAGATGTGCAGCTGAGGGTCCTGATTGTTAGAAGGAAAACTAACAAACAGAAAGGACATCCATACCAAAACCCCATTTGTACATCACCATCATGAAAGACCAAAGGAAGATGAAACCACAAAGATGGGGAAAAAACAGAGCAGAAAACCTGAAAATTCTAAAAATCAGGGCACCTCTCACTCGCCAAAGGAACACAACTCCTCAGCAGCAATGGAACAAAGCTGGACGGACAATGACTTTGATGAGTTGAGAGAAGAAGGCTTCAGACAATCAAACTTCTCCAAGATAAAGGAGGAAGTTCAAACCCATCACAAAGAAGCTAAAAACCTTGAAAAAAGTTTAGCTGAATGGCTAATTAGAATAACCAATGTGCAGAAGTCCTTAAATAACCTGAGGGAGGTGAAAACCATGGCACGAGAACTACATGATGAATGCACAAGCTTCATTAACTAATCCAATCAACTGGAAGAAAGGGTATCAGAGATTGAAGATAAAATGAATGAAATGAAGTGAGAAGAGAAGTTTAGAGAAAAAATGAATAAAAAGAAATGAACAAAGCCTCCAAGAAATATGGGACTATGTGAAAAGACCAAATCTACGTCTGATTGGTGTACCTGAAAGTGAAGTTGAGAATGGAACCAAATTGGAAAACACTCTGCAGGATATTATCCAGGAGAACTTCCCCAACTTAGAAAGGCAGGCCAACTTTCAAATTCATTAAATACAGATAATGCAACAAAGATATTCCTCGAGAAGAGCAACTGCAAGACACAAAATTTTCAGATTCACCAAAGTTGAAAAGAAGGAAAAAATGTTAAGGGCAGCCAGGGAGAAAGGTCGGGTTACCCACAAAGGGAACCCCGTTAGACTAACAGTGGATCTCTCAAAAGAAACTCTGAAAGCCAGAAGAGAGTGGGGGCCAATATTTAACATTCATAAAGAAAATATTTTTCAACCCAGAATTTCATATCGAGCCACACTAAGCTTCATAAGTGAAGAAGAAAAAAAAATCCTTTACAGACAAGCAAATGCTGAGAGATTTTGTCACAACAAGGCCTGCCCTACAAGAGCTCCTGAAGGAAGCACTAAACATGGAAAGGAAAAACTGGTACCAGCCACTGTAAAAATGTGCCAAATTTTAAAGACCATCAATGCTAGGAAGAAACTGCATCAACTAACGAGCAAAATAACCAGCTAATATCATAATGACAGGATCAAATTCACACATAACACCATTAACCTTAAATATAAATGGGCCAAATGCTCCAATTAAAAGATGCAGACTGGCAAATCGGATAAAGAATCAAGATCCATCAGTGTGCTGTATTCAGGAAACCCATCTCACATGCAGAGACACACATAGGCTTAAAATAAAGGGATGGAGGAAGATCTACCAAGCAAATGGAAAACAAAAAGAGGCAGCGGTTGCAATCCTAGTCTCTGATAAAACAGGCTTTAAACCAACAAGAACAAAAGAGAAAAAGAAGGCCATTACATAATGGTAAAGGGATAAATACAACAAGAAGAGCTAACTATCCTAAATATATATGCGCCCAATACAGGAGCACCCAAATTCATAAAGCAAGTTCTTAGAGACCTACAAAGAGACTTGGACTCCCACAGAATAATAATGGGAGGCTTTAACACCCCACTGTCTACATTAGACAGATCAATGAGACAGAAAGTTAACAATGACATCCAGGAATTGAACTCAGCTCTGCACCAAGCAGACCTAATAGACATCTACAGAACTCTCCACCACAAATCAACATAATATACATTCCTCTCAGCACCACATCTCACTTATTCCAAAATTGACCACATAGTTGGAAGTAAAGCACTCCTCAGCAAATGTAGAAGAACAGACATTATAGCAAACTGTCTGTCAGACCATGGTGCAATCAAACTAGAACTTAGGATTAAGAAACTCACTCAAAACCACTCAACTACATGGAAACTGAACATCATGCTCCTGAATGACTACTTGGGTACATAACAAAATGAAGGCACAAATAAAGATGTTCTTTGAAACCAATGAGAAGAAAGACACAACATACCAGAATCTCTGCGACACATTTAAAACAGTGTGTAGAGGGAAATTTATAGCACTAAATGCCCACAAGAGAAAGCAGGAAAGATCCAAAATTCACACCCTAACATCACAATTAAAAGAACTAGAGAAGCATGAGGAAACATATTCAAAAGCTAGCAGAAGGCAAGAAATAACTAATATCAGAGCAGAACTGAAGGAAATTGAGACCCAAAAACCCTTCAAAAAATCAATGAATCCAGGAGCTGGTTTTTGGAAAAGATCAACAAAATTGATAGACCGCTAGCAAGACTAACAAAGAAGAAAAGAGAGAAGAATCAAATAAACGCAATAAAGAATGATAAAGGGGATATCACCACTGATCTCACAGAAGTACAAACTACCATCATAGAATACTATAAACACCTCTATGCAAATAAACTAGAAAATCTAGAAGAAATGGATAAATTCCTTGACACACACATCCTCCCAAGACTAAACCAGGAAGAAGTTGAACCTCTGAATAGACCAATAGCAGGCTCTGAAATTGAGGCAATAATTAGTAGCTTACCAACCAAAAAAAGTGCAGGACCAGATGGATTCACGACCGAATTCTACAAGAGGTACAAGGAGGAGCTGGTACCATTCCATCTGAAACTGTTCCAATCCACAGAAAAAGAGGGAATCCTCTCTAGCTCATTGTATGCAGCCAGCATCATCCTGATACCAAAGCCTGGCAAAGACACACAAAAAAAGAGAATTTTAGACCAATATCCCACATGAACATTGATGCAAAAATCCTCAATAAAATACTGACAAACTAAATCCAGAAACACATCAAAAACCTTATCCACCATGACCAAGCTGGTTTCATCCCTGGGATGCAAGGCTGGTTCAATGTACACAAATCAATAAATGCAATCCAGCATATAAACAGAAAAAAAGACAAAAACCACATGATTGTCTCAATAGATGCAGAAAAGGCCTTTGACAAAATTCAACAGCCTTCATGCTAAAAACTCTCAATAAATTAGGTGTTCATGGGATGTATCTCAAAATAATAAGAGCTATGTATGACAAACCCACTGCCAATATCATACTGAATGGGCAAAAACTGGAAGCATTCCCTTTGAAAACTGGCACAAGACAGGGATGCCCTCTCTCACCACTCCTATTCAACATACTGTTGGAAGTTCTGACCAGGGCTATCAGGCAAGAGAAAGAAAGAAATGGTATTCAATTAGGAAAAGCTGAAGTCAAATTGTCCCTGTTCGCAAATGACATGATTGCATATTTAGAAAACCCCATCATCTCAGCCCAAAATCTCCTTAAGCTGATAAGCAACTTCAGCAAAGTCTCAGGATACAAAGTCAATGTGCAAAAATCACAAGCATTCTTATACACCAATAACAGACAAACAGAGAGCCACATCATGAGTGAACTCCCATGTAAAATTGCTTCAAAGAGAATAAAATACCTAGGAATCCAACTTACAAGGGATGTGAAGGACCTCTTCAAGGAGAACTACAAACCACTGCTCAATAAAATAAAAGAGGAAACATACAAATGGAAGTTTATTCCATGCTCATGGATAGGAAGAATCAATATTGTGAAAATGGCCATACTGCTCAAGGTAATTTATAGATTCAATGCCATCCCCATCAAGCTACCAATGACTTTCTTCACAGCATTGGAAAAAACTACTTTAAAGTTCATATGGAACCAAAAAAGAGCTCTCATTGCCAAGTCAATCCTAAGCTAAAAGAACAAAGATGGAGGCATTGCGCTATCTGACTTCAAACTATACTACAAAGTTACAGTAATCAAAACAGCATGGTACTGGTACCAAAACAGAGATATAGACCAATGGAGCAGAACAGAGCCCTCAGAAATGATACGACATATCTACAACCATCTGATCTTTGCCAAACCTGACAAAAACAAGAAATGAGGAAAGGATTCCCTATTTAATAAATGGTGCTGGGAAAACTGGATAGCCATATGCAGAAAGCTGAAACTGGATCCCTTCCTTACACCTTACACAAAAATTAATTCAAGATGTATTAAAGACTTAAATGTTAGACCTAAAACCATAAAAACCCTGGAAGAAATCCTAGGCAATACCATTAGGATGTAGGCATGGGCAAGGACTTCATGTCAAAAACAAAAAAAGCATGGCAACAAAAGCCAAAATACAAATGAGACCTAATTAAACTAAAGAGCTTCTGCAGACCAAAAAAAAAAAAAAAAAAAAAAGTACCAGCAAAGCGAATAGGCAACCTACACGACTGGCAGAACATTTTTGCAATCTACTCATCTGACAAAGGGCTAATACCCAAAATCTACAAAGAACTCAAACAAATTTACAAGGAAAAAACAAACAACCCCATCCAAAAGTGGGTGAAGGATATGAACAGAGACTTTCTCAAAACAAGACATTTATGCAGCCAACAGACACATGAAAAAATGCTTGTCATCACTAGCCATCATAGAAATGCAAATCAAAACCACAATGAGGTACCATCTCACACCAGCTATAATAGCAATCATGAAAAAGTCAGGAAACAACTGGTGCTCAAGAGAATGTGGAGAAATAGGAACAGTTTTACATAATTGATGGGAGTGTAAACTACTTCAACCATGTGGAAGACAGTGTGGTGATTCCTCAAGGATCTAGAACTAGAAATATCATTTCACCCAGCCATCCCATTACTGGGTATATACCCAAAGGATTATAAATCATGCTTTTATAAAAACACACACACGTGTGTATTCACTGTGGCACTGTTCACAATAGCAAAGACTTCGAACCAACCCAAAATGTCCATGAATGACAGACTGGATTGAGAAAATGTGGCACATACACACCATGGAATACTATGCAGCTATAAAAAGTGATGAGTTCATGTCCTTTGTAGGGACATGGATGAAGCTGGAAATCATCCTTCTCAGGGAACTATTGCAAGGACAAAAAAACCAAACACCTCATGTTGTCACTCATAGGTGGGAATTGAACATTGAGAACACTTGGACACAGGAAAGGGAACATCACACACTGGGGCCTGTTGTGGAATGGTGGGGGAGGTATAGCATTAGGAGATATATCTAATGTAAATGACGAGTTAACAGGTGCAACACACCAACATGGCACGTGTATACATATGTAACAGACCTGAACGTTGTGCACATGTAACCTAGAACTTAAAGTATAATAAAATATACAAATATATATAAAAATATATACAATATATTTAGAAAAATATGCAAATAAATATACAAAAAATATACAAATATAAAAATATACAAATATAAAAAAATAAAATATACAAATATGTAAATAATATATACACATTATACAAATATATAATATATGAATAATATAATATATAAATATATAAATATTTTTTACAATATATATAAATATAAATATATAAATAAATTTTTTACAAAAATGTAAAATATAACAAACATATACAAATAAATATACAAAAATATACAAACAAAAATATACAAATATAAAACATATACAAATATAAAAAATACATATACAAAAAATATACAAATATATACATATATAAAAAAACATACCTATACCGAAAAAGAAAGCGTGATAGTTGAAATGATAACCAGGGATGTTAATCTCAGTAAGTCAAAATTATTGCACCTCTAGTGAACAAAACTCTGACCTACCCTTTTATGAAAAGTTGTGGTGAGTAATGAAGAATAACAAGTAATACCACAACACCAATAATGTTCATTTTTGACAATGAAAATAGATTTTATGGTTGTATGTCCACAGTCAACATTCACAAATTCACATACATATGTGTGTGTGTGTGTGTGTGTGTGTGTGTGTGTATATATAAATACAAAAATGTACATATATGTATTAGGTACTGTGTGACATCAGTGCTGGGTGTCCAGGAGACACAGACAGACAGACAAGAAAACTAATGTGACAGATAAGAAGCACCTCCTGGAAGGAGTGATGTCTGTGTTGTAGGAGTCTTAAGTAGGCAAATCGGGAGAGAGCATTTATCTCCAAGAAAAAATGGGGCCCAAGTTACAAGATAGGAAAGGGCATGGCTGAAAGTGGAGTTGTCCAGATGTTGCTCCAACTGGACTGTGGTGAAACAGAAAGACATGAAGCTGACAGGAAAATAAATATTAGGTCTGGAAGGGATTTGTTCAGCCATGCTGAGGATATGGATTCAGAATCTAAAAGGTATCAAATCCTGACAAAAGCCATGAAATCTGACTTTGTATAGATGAAACCAATGTGATGAACATCTGTATTAGAGGAGGGGTTTGGTGGCTCAACCTTGTAATTCCAGCACTTTTAGGGGCCAGGGTGGGTGGATCACGTGAGGCCAGGAATTCAAGACCATCCTGGCCAATTTGGTGAAACTCCGTTTCTACGAAAAATACAAAAATTAGCCCAGCTTGGTGGGCATATATAATTTTACCTACTCAAAAGTTTGAGGCACAGTAATTACTTGAACCCAGAGGCTGAGGTTGCAGTGAGCTGAAATAATGCCACTGCTCTCCAGCCAGGGTAACACAGTAAGACTATCTCAAAGAAAAGAAGAAGCAAGGAAATGTGCATTAGAAAACATGAAACATGGACTCTAACAGGAGGTAATGAAAGGCACAAACATGTTGGAATCCTTTAATGTAAGATCAAAAGTGTGTACTGTTAATGTTAGCTCCTGATCTAAAATGCTTCTTGTTGAAATCTTCATTGAATAAAGTAGGTATAAGTGAAGCATTTTTAACACCAATTCTTCTTTTCACCCTTACTAAATGCTGGGGACAGCCACGTTTGAAATTTGGATTATAATAAAACTTTAACTAAAACCAAAGAAAAAGGTAATTCAGTGCCATTTTAAACCGGGAGACAAGTGACAATAACAAACATAACACATAAAATATCAGATTTCTCTTTCGTCACACAAACTTAATGACATCAAATAATTCATGAACATTATTTGCTATTTTTAAGAAAGTGCTTGTTGGGAAAAAAAAGCACTCAAATTGTTAAGCCCTCAGGTGAAAACATGTTATATATTAATAGCAACATTACATTAAGTGGCTTTGATACATTTATTTGGAGTTCACTGGTAAGATTCAAAGTTTTAGCAACATTTCTGAAAACTCTGAAAGGTTGATGCTCAAGCTGAACTCAATAATTTCAAAAAAATAAATAATTTCTACCTTAATATTTTATATAATTTTCAACATCTGGTCTTGTTGCATGTATTAACATATTTACTGATGTTCAAAGTAAAATTACATACATACTTTACATAGAGTGGTAACTGAAATATGTTAAATGCTTTGCTTAAGGCATCGGATTCTTTCTCTTCTGCCAGAAAGGTGGCTAGAAAGGCAGATCTTTGAAAATTCTGTCGCAACGGAGACCTACTGGAGGCTTCTGAACCAGTTAACTAATCTTTGGGAGAAACATCTTGAATTTCTGAAGAAACATGTGCCATCTCAAATAAACATTTCTTAAAAGGCCGGGCGCGGTGGCTCACGCCTGTAATCCCAGCACTTTGGGAGGCCGAGGCGGGTGGATCATGAGGTCAGGAGATCGAGACCATCCTGGCTAATACGGTGAAACCCCGTCTCTACTAAAAATACAAAAAATTAGCCGGGCGTAGCGGCGGGCGCCTGTAGTCCCAGCTACTTGGGAGGCTGAGGCAGGAGAATGGCGTGAACCCGGGAGGCGGAGCTTGCAGTGAGCCGAGATCGCGCCACTGCACTCCAGCCTGGGCGACAGAGCGAGACTCCGTCTCAAAAAAAAAAAAAAAATGAAAATTCTGTCGCAACGGAGACCTACTGGAGGCTTCTGAACCAGTTAACTAATCTTTGGGAGAAACATCTTGAATTTCTGAAGAAACATGTGCCATCTCAAATAAACATTTCTTTAGCTACTCTTCCAGCCTGCATGGTTTTCAAGACTGCGGCTTCAAATGCTGCTTCAGAAGGCCTAGGCAGGTAAAGAAATCTAGACCATCACGATGTTCCCAAGGTGAGTAGCAATGACATCACAAGAGGATTTTGGTCTCCTAGCAACCAACAAAAAATCTGACCAAAAGTGCTTCCTTCCCAGTCTGAGAAATGTATCCATTGAAAATCAAATATACACTGCTAACTTACACAGTGTCAGCTGCAAAAATCTCATCCCTTCAGCATGATTTAAATAAACAAGAAAATAGTGTCCTCAATCCCAGAAATAAATGTAATTTTCTCCCTGACACACACACTTACTAGATTGGTGACAGGAGCATAGGTAATTGCAAAACAAAACAAAAAAAGGAAATTATTTAAATAGCAAGTGCTTAATTGTGTTACCATACCATAAACAGAGAATGTGTCCCCATGTACAAATGTTCTCATTTCCCCAGCAAATATCAAAAACAATGTAATGATAATTTTAAAGCTTATAATCTTTTTAATTTATTTATAAAAAGGTAAGTAAATAATCATTAACATCATCATGGTAATTATGCCATAACTAACTTAAGCAATACTTTCTTATCAAAGCTTAACATATTTATATATAGCAATCCTTTGGTATCTGTAGGGGATTGGCTCCAGAAACATCTCAAATACCAAAATGTATGTCTGCTCAAGCTTCTGCTTTATAATGATGCAGTACATAAGTATAATGCACACCCATCCTCCTGTGTAGTTTACTTTATCTCTACATAAATAATTAATAAAATGTAAATGCTATGTAGACAGATATTTTACTCTAATGACTTTAAATTTGTTACATTTTACCATAGTATTGATTTTTTTGTTTTTGTTTTCAAACACTTTAATATATGTCTAGGGAAATCTGTTTGCAGAACCTTTATATGCAAAAGGTCTCTTATTTGTTGCAAATCAGAAAACATTACTGACACAGAGAGTGATGGCTATGTGGTTCCATATAGCCACTACTATCTGTGTTACTTCTCTAATATTTTCTTTTATGCAATTAAGCAGAATTTGGTGTGAGTAAACTGAAGATACAAAGTAAGCAATAATGATAGCAGTTAATACTTATAGTGCTTAAAGTCAAGGTAATACACTAAGAGCTGCACACATATTAATAAATTTAATCCTCACTGTCCTTTCTTTTTGTGTGACAGTTTCACTCTCTTCACCTAGAATGCAGTGCAATGGCAGGATCTAGGCTCACTGCAACCTAGACCTCCCAGATTCAAGCGATTCACCTGTCCCAGCCTCCCCAGTAGCTAGTATTACAGGCATCTGCCGCCACGCCTGGCTAATTTTCATATTTTTAGTAGAGATGGGGCTTCACCCTGTTGGCAAAGCTGGACTCTCTGTCTTATAAAAAGGTAAAACCTATACATAATACTTTAAACGGTGTGAATTAAGAGTGGCAGGCAGGGTGAAAAGAAATTGTTCCAAGTCTCAGAGGTGAAAATAGCAGGCAGTATGCTGTTAAAAATAAACCACAATTTAAATGGCAGCTAAGTGCAAGATAATGCAGACAGCTTGGAGGTGAGATGTTATGAAGGTCAAGAAAGACATACCTGTCATTTAATATATAATATCTTCAAAGACATTTTACCATTATATATCCTAGTCAAATTGCAAAGAAATAAAATTAGCTGGTTAGGCCTAAAGAAAGAGACCTGTTTGTGAAACTACAAGTGGTCGTTAAAATCTGTTGGAAGCCCATAAAATGAAGGAACATTTTTGCTTCAAGAGATTTTTATAGTAGAAAAAGAATAATGCTTTCTTCTACCAACTCTTCAAGATTCAATCATTAAAATGCAATTTATTTTAGAGTAGAGATGAAAACAATCTGGGAGATTATTTTACATCTCAAATTATTCACCTAATGAGAATAACTTTTTTTTTCCTAGTCAGTCATTCGATTTTGTCAATAACATTCTCCTTTAAGCCAGTTATCATCTTGACTACCTCTCTGATACCGTGCAAATACTAAAGAGAAAGCAGAAGTTAATTTTGTGGATGAGCACAAACACTTCTAATTGTCTTCTGGTTGTTTTCAATGAGATAATTATTTTTTTCAAAACTGAACAAAACAAACTTTTTATCACATTTTACAATGATGTGCATTTGCACATTCAATTTGATACACTGTTCCACAGAATGAAGAAGATTTTGAAGACTGTTCATGTCCACATTTAAAGTTGTAAAAGATTTCTCACATTTGTATCAAAAGATATTATTTAAAATACAAATTATAAAATGTATTTTTTACTTTTATTTGTGAAGACAGGTTCTTTGTCACTGAAGCTAAAATGCAGTGGCACAATTCCAGTTCACTGTGGTCTCAAACTCTTTGGCTTGAGCTGGGGTTTCCCTAATCAGTATCCATCTGCGTCTTGTTATGAACTGGGGCTACACATCAACAGGTGAGTGGTGGCCAAGCATGGAAACCTTATCTCTATTTAAAACACTAAGTATGGTTCACAGTACTGCCTGAGATCCGCTTTCTGAAGATCAGTGGCAGCATCCGATTTTTATAGAAGCGAGGGAACTACTATTTACTGCACTTGAGAGAAATTTACGTTTTGCACTCTTTATAAGAATCAAAACAACTGATCACCTGCAACAGTCTCCCATCACCCACAGATAGAACCATCTAGCTACAGGAAAATAAGTTTAGGGCTCCCACCGAGTCTACATTATGGTGAGATGTATAATTATTTTGTTAAATATTATAATGTAATAATAAGACAAATAAAGCGCAAAATCAATGGAGGGTACTCAAATCTTCCAAAAACTGTCTCCACAACCCCAGTTGATGAAAATCTTGTCTTTCACAAAAACAGGCCCTGGTGCCAAGTGATAGCAGATGATCACATATAGATGCATGCACACATAAATTATTGAGTGAAAGTTTTGAAGACAGAAGCTCAAAGAGTTATAATAATTTGAGAGAACAAGAACAGAAATGTTGACTAGATTGCAGAAAAAGAAATGTTTTGAGTAGAGAAAGCTAATGAAAATAAATTGTTGACACAAGAAAAAATGAGAGTGAGGGACGTGTGCAGATAAAGAATTGAAATATGTAAATTAGAATTATATATGCAAATCATATTTATAACCTAGGTTTACAGTTTAGCTATGAAATTTGGAAACTTTTACTGAAAGCTATAATGGGCAGTCAGTTAATTACACGTGCACTAAAGACTTTTAAAGGAAATCTAAGTGATATGCTAATACATAGAAAGGGAACTACTGTGAGTAAAACAGAAGACAGCCCAGAAATCAGAAGATCCCTTTTTCTTCCTACCTCTGAGCTATCTAAGAAATACCTTCTTGAAAGAACACTAAACTCTTTCTCTGTGTGTGTGTGTGGTTTTGTGTGCATGTGTGGTTGTGTGTGTTTGTGTGGCACAGCTTCTCTTCATTACTCAGTCTGCAATGCAGCAACACGGTTACAGCTCAGGTGATGTTTTCGCCTTAGTGTCCCGGATAGATGGGACTAGTGCAGACAATTACACTCAGCTAATTTATTGCATCTTAGTAGAGATGGGATATCACCATGTTGCACAGGCTGGTTTTGAACTCCTGAAATCAAGTAATCTGACTCCCTTGGCTTCCCAAAGTGCTAAGGCTATCCATGTGAGTGACAGGGCCTGGCCTAGTTGAGATTTTTCAAATCTAAACACGGACCAAGTGTTATTGGTCACTTTTGTAAGAGGCTCAAAATCTATGAGATTACATTCAGGCTTGCAAAAATTATGTGTATATTACATGAAGTTATAGATTATATATTTATATAAAAGTATATCATATATATTTTATCTTGCAGGACTAGGAAGCAGTACTTTTTTGTCAGTGATTAAAAGGTTTATTTGATAATAAAAATGCTTATTTGATGATGAGTAATATGGATTTCTGAGGTGATTATTATACATAATCTCAGGCATAAACATTACTCTAGAAACTAAAAGACATCATTGATGTGCTAGTCTAAATTGAACAGTATAATGAGGAAAGTGTAATCAAATATCAAAGTTAGTCAAATAAATGGTATTTTATCTTTCCAAGTAGCTGATACTACAGGCTCATATATCCACACCTGAATAATTTTTGTTTTGTTTTCATAGAGGCAGGGTTTTCTACGTTGCCCAAGGTTGTAAAATAATTTGTATTATGTGTGATAACAGTACCCTGGTCATATATTTTTGAAAAAACTTTAGGGATGTATTAAAATATCTGTACACTTAAAAAATGTACTTGACATTTGCTTCATTTGAGAACTGTTAAATCAAGGAGATGACTTCATTTTAATATTTTGATTATATAGATTACAAATCTTCCTATAAGAAGTCAATTATACCTTAAGAGATGAAAGAATACAGTGGCCTGTCTTTGCTGTGACAATTTTAACCTTTTTCTATTAGTATGACAATAATAAAAATGATCAAGAAATGCAGCTAGGATATTACTATTTTTTAAATATTACATGCCAAATAAACTATGTATTTTAAAGATCTATTTAAAAAATTTAATGTACAGACGATTTTATCAAAATTAAATTGATAAATCACCCATAATTTACCTGAAGTGTTTCCAAAAAATTTTCAGTACATAGTATTTTAGTCAGAAGGCAACTAAATGTAAAAGAGGCTTGAAGGTGTCTTTGGACACGAATATTGTTCTCTTTCCTATCTTCTATCTTGTTTAATGTGGGCTCATCTTTAAATTTATGACGTTAACTACGTACATCATTTTGGAGATGAGCATTGCTATAGAAACCAAAATACATTGGTGATGCACTAATCTAACGTTAAAATATAATAAAAGAAGTTGAAATAAATACCAAAACTTAGTTAATAAGATGATATGCATGTTTTAATATTATTTTCAAAGAACTTATTGTTTTTAATGTTTAGGATTAGTGATTATTTCACAGGGGGACCATCAGAAAGAGATCACAGAAAAATTATCCTTAGCAATAATAAAACAATAGCATATATTGCAGGTAATAAAATATACTACAGTGTTGTTGAGTAGACAGATTAAAAACAAATCAGTGCTCTGCCATATGAGGAATAAGATACTTTGTTCTCCTAGAATTCAGTGTCTTCTTGTGATTTTAATGCATTTTTACAGATTTCATGATATAATTTATGTGATGTATTTGGAATTATTACTGCACAATAAGTACAGCTATTAAGAGTAGTTGTGGAAGGAATGAGAGCACACACAGGAACGCCAAAGGTCATAATTTCCTTATAGCTACAGAGCAAAATACAGTTGTTTTACACATATCTCTCATGTTTCTGTATGTTTTTCTCTACATCTGAGGTTTTTGATACAATAATGAACAATATCCAGTTTGTGCCCTGATGAAGTTCATTGTATAGAAAAAGCAGCTAGGCAGACATGCAGCCACAGTAAAGCGCTAAGACATCATAAAGCACAAGCAATGAAGCACAAAGGTGGGGATTTAATTTGAATTTTATATTCTGTCTGCCTCATTCACTTCTTGCCAGTGTAATTAACCATCTCTATCTGTTTTAAATTCAAAACCCTAGGGGTAAAACTGATTACAGTACAAGGAACTAAATTTTACTTTTTGTTGTTGTTGTTGTTTATTAGTGACTATTAACCAAGTGTTAGCGAACGTCCCATATGGACATTCTACTAAAAGAAATGCTACCAAGGTTTTAATGCCTGCGTGGTGTGATCTATCAGATCTAGAAAGGGAGAGGCAAGTGTGTTTTTAATCTCCATAAATGATAAATGCTGAGATGCTATTTGAAAACCAAACTATTTCTGATTACTGAGGAAGAGAAATGTAGAAATTTAAGATTTATTACAATTAAAATATTCTAATTTCTTTATTTAGTTTCTATCAATACCTATGCAAAAAGTAAAGGAACTACTTGAGTACAAACATTTCCAAAATTCAAGTTTTTGGTATTCACTTATTTAATAGCTATATCTTAAATATGTAATCTGCCACTAAAACCTAATATTTTTGCTGCTTTATTTTCAACCAGATACTTTTTATTTTCAACCAGATGTTTTATACCCTTAGCAGCCTGATTGTAATAGTTACGTCATGTTGCTAACAGGTCCATGTAGCATTATCTGAAAATCAATTTTTTTCCTTAGCAGAAAAAACCCTAATTTGAGAAAAATATTTAGAGAATCCTAAAAATAAGCACAACTTATATAACACAGATAGAACAGTAAAAAAGCCTACTTTATAAAACAAGATGAGAATATAATTATTAAAAACAAAAATTTCTCATTATCCAAAGAATGAATTGCATTTACCATGTTGTGCAAATGTGATTATATCAACCATGCTTTGAAAACAACAAAAAACATTGATAAATATTATTAACTAAAATTTCAACTTACTAGATAGTGATCACAATAAATATGCCAGTCATAGTATCTCAGATATTATAGCCATATCATCAAAATGCAGTCCTGATAAAACCTCATGAAACTATACTAATTTGAGGAAGAACAACAGTATCTACTATGAGAATATTCAAAAAATGATAATTAAAACTTACCTCACAATTTTGTTTCTCATCTTTGAACGATCATCGAGTTCATCACTAACTGTGTTTTCAATTGTAGAAATACTGTTTCTGATGACTGGGATTATGTATAGTTGCTGGATCACAGAATTATTAACCACAGACTTCTTAAGTCCACATTTTTAATGACATTGCTTCTGTAACAATTTTCTTAGAAAAGGTCATGCATGATGGTATAATATTAAATTCTAATGTGTTACACAGACTTAGCATTAATCATTACAAATTTACATATTAAAAAACTTTTGCACTTAAGTGTATTCAATACATTTTAATCAGAACTTTACATAAATAGAACTTTAGAGTTTTCTCAGTTTTAATTGAGCACTACATTTACATTATTGTTCTGATTCATAAAAACTATAATCTTCACATAAATATCACTTTCTTCCTCAGCTAATAGTGATAATTGTTTTATCTATGTTCATAGTTTTATTGTGAGATGAAGTCAATTAGAAGTTGTCTTTAAAATACCTGTGAAAATTGTAAATGCTACTTTTTGTAAAACTGAATATGACTTACACATAAATCCAACTTAGAGATGGATTACATAAATTAGAGCACATTGAACTGCAAGTTATGTAGCTACAAAACAGAATTAAATAGATCTTGTTGTATTGACAGGCGTGTGACTAAGTACAAAACAAGGTTAACCATATTGTATATAAACTCATTACTTAAAAAGTCAGATCATTCTGTGTCCTGTGGGATCTATGTAGAGAGAAGAGTTTCCTTTTTGAAAACACTTTTTTTTTGTTAATTTGTTTAACTATTGTATTAGAATAGTAAATATATATTTTCAAAAGATTTTTTTACTTTGATCAGAAATATGATCATTTCTGTAAGAAAAAAAAATAGCTAATTGTATGAAGATGTGCATATATCTCAAAGAAAATCTCTGTACCAGAAATATAATATTGGTGGCAAGATAATAGTTTTTAGTGCATGTCCTCTTGTATATTTGAAAATATATATTAATCACAAGAAAACATTGGCTAGTTTAACAACAATACTGTTTATTTTAAAAAATCTCTTTTGAAAATACAAATTTACTATTCCAATACAATAGTTAAACAAATTAACAAAAAAAAAAGTGTTTTCAAAAAGGAAACTCTTCTCTCTACATAGATCCCACAGGACACAGAATGATCTGACCTTTTAAGTAATGAGTTTAGCTAGAAACTCCTACAATGTACTAAAAAATATACTCACACAGAGAAAAACATAAATATAATTTCACATTTTCCAATTAAATATCTGTACAGAATGCTGTTGTTAATTATGTACTTAACCCTCAGATTTCTCTTGAAATCAACTAAATTTCATGTTATTACTTGTTAATTTACTTACATTGGCTCCCAGTCTGAGTTTCAGTTTTGTGTAAGATTTCAACATTGCTACCTATTTTGCTTAACTAATATGGACATTTAAAAGTAATAAAATGCACTCAAATGTTCTCTTCTCACATTATGATTTTTAAAACAATACCTCTCTTATAATATAACTAAAATACCATGAAACAACTTCAAAGTTTGGGTTATGAAAATCTTTTTAATGCATACAGTTTAAATATAAAGTTTTTGTAGCATTAAATTTGGCTTCTTGTATTCTAAAGGGTTAGTATTTTTTTTTCACATACAACTAAATAAAACCCACTGTGGTAAATTACCAAAACCAGCTATAGGAGAGAAGTTAAGAAATACATGCTTATTTTGAAAAATAATGTTCTCTTACTTACATGGTTTTAATTATATACCTGATGGCTACAAAATGGTAAACTAGTTAATCAAAAAGAAAAAACCCATAAGTTAATTTTTGCAAATGAAATAATAGAATTTTAAACTAAAGTGTGATTAATGAACAAAAACTTCTTTATAATTTAAAATATTCACTAGTTATTGCTTTGTCTTTGTAATATGTTTCAGTCAAACAGTCTAGCATCATTGTGAGATTTTTTACACAGCCAATAGCTGGTGCTGCAAGCAGCTCAAAACCAGGGTTGATGGTAGTGGGTCAGTTACAGACAAGAACAGCCTTCTCTGCTAGCAGTTATTCACTTCTTATGTATTGCAGGTGAACTTTAGATGAAGGCAAGATGAAAACGAATTAATTTCTAGTAAGTTAGAAGAAGTAATCACATATTATTAGTAGAAAAGACAGGTTATAAAAACTTTATTTTCAAAGAAAATACCTTTAAGTCTATTTCACATAATTAAACATCTCAATGTATCTTGAAACAATTTTGAATTTTCTTACAAAAGAAAATCCTGAGGAAAAAAAACTGAGTGCAATCAACTAATGTAACTAATTATCCAAATTAGATTTTTACAGAAATTTCTAAAACTTCAGAACTTTACACCAAAGCAAAATAACATTCTAAATATACCTACTATTTTAGTTACATATTAATAAAAATAAATTAATTTCCAAGTATAATACATTAAAATTATATTATTTTTCTTGAATTATGAGACATATAAAGAAACTCATCAAAAATATGATGTAGAAAATAAGGTTTTGCAAGATGGACTTTTTTATTCAATTAGAAATTCAATCAGGGGCCAGGCATGGCGATTCACACGTGTAATTCCAGTACTTTTGGAAGCCAAGGCAGGCAGAGTACTTGAGGTCTGAATATTGAGACAAGCATGACCAATATGGTAAAAACACATGAGGTGTGGTGGTGCACACCTGTAATCTCAGCTATTCAAGAAGCCGAGGAAGAATAAATACTTGAAGCTGGGAAGCAGGGTGCTGCAGTGTGCTAAGATTGCACCAGTGCACTCCAGCCAAAGAGGCAATGTGAGATATCATTCTAAAATTAAAAGAAAACAAATTCAATCAATTAAAAATTGAGATGTACTACTTATTTAACTTTTCAATGCAGTTTGTGACAACTCTGATTTTTAATTACAAAATGTTTTAAATAAAGTGTGCACACATTTCAAAGTTACTACAACCCCACATCCAGAAAAAAAAGTTTTATTTTTATTTAATTAATTTAATTTTGTTTTATATTAAGTTCCACAGTACATGCAGGACATCCTGGTTTATTTCACAAATGACAGAATGTTAGAACAGCAGCAAGTTAGAGAAAATGTCAGGATGGCAGAATAGCCAAAAGTTAGAGAAAAATGAGATCTCATATAAAATTTCAGCAATTTTTTTTTTAAGACAGAGCTTTGCTCTTGTCATACAGGCTGCAGTGCAATGGTGTGATCTCAGCTCACTGCAACCTCCACCTCCTGGATTTAAGCAATTTTCCTGCCTCAATATCCCAAGTAGCCGGGATTCCAGCTGTCCACCACCATGCCCACCTAATTTTTCTTTCTCTATGTGTGTGTGTGTGTGTGTGTGTGTGCGTGCGTGTGTGTAATTTTAGTGAAAAAGAGGTTTCACCCTATTGACCAGGCTGGTCTAGAACTCCTAACCTCAGGTGATCCCACTGCCTCAGCCTCCCAAGGTGCTGGGATTACAGGTGTGAACCACCCCTCCTGGCATCTGCAACATTTTAAAAAGTGGTTTTTAATTTATTCTTCAGAACTCTCTAGAATAGTAAATGTCAACAATTTAGATTCCATGAGACACAAACGTATTAGGGTATTTCAACCACAGAAAAATGATGTTACTATTGCATTTAACAGAAAATGCCAGAAATGCACTCATCATCTTACAATGCCCAGCAAAAGTGCCTCCCAAACAGAAACTACATAAGTACAAAATGTCAAAGTCCAGGAATTAGAAATATTGTTTCATAAGCAAGCTTCATAATCTACTAAAAGAATGCTAATCTGAAGCCCAATGCCATGCTAGGCACCATGGTGGGTGCCTGTAATCCCAGCTGCTTGGGAGGCAGAGGTGCACTGAGCTGAGACCATGCCATTGCACTCCAGCATGGACTACAAAAGTGAAAGTCCATCTTTAAAAAAAAAATGCAGTGTACATAAGATGGATCAGGTGGTTCAATGCAAATAATAATCTTTCAAATTTGATTTTGTAAAAATTTTGAAATATAATCATTTCCAAATAAGGTTAAAAAAATCCAAAATGTAGGACACTGAATTTTCAGTATTTCAAGAACTAAAAGAAGTAAGTCATTTAAACACAACCAGCTATGCTGCTTTTGCAATGGGATTTTAGGGGAGTCACTTTGTCAGATGAAATCCTCTGTGGCCAGTGGGGCCTTTCCCTGAGCTTTAATCAAGCCTGCTAAATTTGTTCTACCCACACTACCTGGCAGGCTACACCCAGCTGGAGTTACTGGAGTTATCACCTGCCAAGGGCAAACATGGATGAGTGGTGAGAGGTGTATGAGCAAGTGTGGCTTCCAGCCTCTAGACATGGTCAGTCATGCCAGCTGTGTCAGGTCAGGAAGTTTTAGGTGCCAACAGAACTGCTAGATCACTGAAAAGCTGCAACTGGGCCAGGCCTACTGCAAGCAGCCTCCACAGCTGATACTGGGGAATGTAGTGATGCCCAGAAGCTTGGAGATGCCAGAAAAGGCAAAGCCCCAAGGAAGGTGTGACAGCCCTCCCTGGCTTTGAGAGCTCCCTGGTCTGTGCGCCCTGAAGGGCCACAGCTCTCGTTTTATTTTTGTCTACCACAATGTGATAAGCAAGGGGAATGTTTTCTACCCGTTTGTGTTCCAGGTCATTCAGCCCTGCCATTCAGGTGATCTCATATTATTTTCCTGCATCCAGGAAAAACGAAGTTCATGCTGCCATGAGCCCTTCCACCTGTGTCTGTAGAGATAATCCCTGCGCTGGTTATGGCAACAGTGATGGCCTCCCCTAGAAGATGCTTGAGTATTCATTCTACTCAACACCTAGAATTATCTAGCCCTGGCTATAATCCTTGAAATCTTGGTTTTCATTTGGCTTGGTTATTGTAAAATCTTCACAACTTTTCTGTCATAAGAGACATTTAATATTTGTCTTATGGCAATCATTACGCTCGATGGGTATGCATAATGTAGTGTACCAATGCACATGTGTGCATCTGTATTCTGTATGCCTTCCAGTCGTATTCCGGATTAGCTCTATCCCAAAAGGCTTTGATTCAGTTTTCTCCATGGTATCTCAAAAATAGAGTGTGCCTAGGGTTTTATTTTGCTATATTAGCGTTTTACATAAATATTTAAAAATAATGGAAAAGAAAAGGGGAGAAAAAGGAAATATTTAGTTTACCTTTTTGTTTTTATTTGTTTTTTTGGAAACGGAGTCTCGCTCTGTTGCCCAGGCTGGAGTGCAGTGGCGCGATCTCAGCTTGCTGCAAACTCTGCCTCCCGGGTGTTCACGCCATTCTGCCTCAGCTTCCGGAGGAGCTGGGACTACTGGCTCCCGCCACCATGTCCCGCTAATTTTTTTTCTTTCTTTTTTTTTTTTTGTATTTTTAGTAGAGACGGGGTTTCACCAAGTTAGCCTGGATGGTCCCCATCTCCTGACCTGGTGATTGGACAGCCTTGGCCTCCCAAAGTGCTGGGATTACAGGCGTGAGCCACCGCACCCGGCCTATAGTTTAATTTCTAATTATTGATTAACTGAACTGACTTTACTTTACTAACGCTTACCCTAACTTGAATCAACTGAACTTTAAAAGAGCTTCTTAAAATCCTTCCGATTTACAGAAACCAGGGATTTTGAGTTAAGTGACTGTGAATATACAAAATCAAATTGTTCTAAAAGTGTGCTCCTATTTTTTTGTTTACAATTTTCTGGAGAGATGGTTCAATACTGTTAATTGCTCAAAGGTGCCTGACAGTAGATTTTAAGATATTCAACAGCATTTCTAGCCTCTTGGCACTAGATGCTAGTAACAACCTTACCAATTCCACTTCCAGTCATGAACTTGGCTTAGAGTAAAACTCAAGTAAAATCTACTGACCTGTAGAAACCCTAGACAATCACATGGACTTTGTGTTACCCCCATGAGCTCATTGTCTGCAATCGTTTTCCTTCCACAGTCTGCTCCATCCACAGTGACCTGGTCGTTTTTCAAACTGTTTATACAGGCTTCTGCCAGAGATCATCACACTTGTAGATCTTGCTGCATGCTTACATAATTATTCCCTTATTGTTTTATTTAGATATGTACTTGAAAGTCACTTTGGAAACAAATTATTTTATACTTTTTGTTTGTTTTTATTTTTTATTATACTTTAAGTTTTCGGGTACATGTGCACAACGTGCAGGTTTGTTACATATATACATGTTTTACATAAAACCAAGATGTACTACATAAGAGAATATTGCCCCTTGCCCTTTATACTAAATTGATAATATCAATCAATAGAAAGCAAACAACAAACTTCATACCGTAACCACTAAAACAAAAACCTAACAACTGGAAACATAAATTAAAAGTGTAACTTTCAATTTAAGTGTTTTAAACAACATTTTCATGGGACAAAAACATAGATCTCCTAAATAAAAATAAACTCTGAGATTACAAAACAATCAGTGCTTCCCAAATAAAAACGCAGGCAAAACTGCAGGCCTGGCAGCTTTGAACCATTCAAAGAAACATCACACCAATCAAACACTGTCTGAACCCTGTAAATCAATTGTTTGTATCAACCAAGGAATCCATCCAAAGAGACAATTTTAAAGTAGTAAATTTTTTTTGGATTGCCATACTGCCTCCCAGGCACAGATGAAGCCTTCAAAATTGAAATCCACATTTTCCATTTTAAACCCTGGTTCCTAATTCTGGGAGGAGTGAAGAAGCACTTGTGTGTTAATTTATTGTGTTTGTTCTAGTCTTTCTAGAAGATAAATAAACAATTGATGAAACATATTTATTACTGTTTTGCCAAACTCAGAAGTCACTCTTGGTTGAAAATGCCAGGAATTGGTCACAAACAAAATTTTAAGTTGTTGAAAGCAAAGAATACAGTTATTTCCTACAATAGACAATATAACAGATTTGTTAATACAGATCCAGTATTTAAAAAATAATAGTTTATATATCACTCTTATTCATAATGCTAATGGAATGTATTCAATGTGTGGTTAACCTTTCTCTAAAAAAAAAAGAAATGCTATTACTATTACAATTCTGGCAAAGTTAGCTATTACTATTACAGCTCTGGTAGGCAGCTATTACATAAAAAATTACAAATTTACTTTAATGGACACTCAGTGTGTGCAGATAAAATCTGAGACAATAATATAAATTGAGAAAGAAAAGTATAAGAGCAGCATATATTTATATTGTTGAAATTAAAATTTAGATTATTCAAATAAGTTAATATTATTCAAAGAAGGCTCTATTAAGTTTAGAATACAATTAAAGTCCCAAATATAATGAATTATAACATAAAAATACAGAAAAAAGTTTTAAAAAGTTAACATTTTTAATGGACAAAGGAGAAATTGAGGATCCAATAAAATAAAGAACATATAGAAAAAAAGTAAAATGTCAGAGTAATTTTTTACTTGTAATAACTTTAAATGTGAGCTCTTACATAAAAACACACAGACTGGCACAAATGCACCTTTAAAAGAACAATTCACTCGTGATTTCTATGCAAGTCTTACTTTAGGTTCAAAGAAACAGGGATTGAAACTAAAATAATACAGTTTCTTGGAAAAGCATGACAACTTATTTTCAAACATTAAAAAAAAAAATTCTGGGCCAGTTCCAGTGGCTCTCAGAAAAAAAAATATTCTGGAGATGAAAAGTAAAACAATTGACATTAAAATTGACTAGAGGCCTGCAATTCCAGCACTTTGGGATGCCAAGGTACAGATCATAAGGTCAAGAAGTTGTGACTATCCAAGCCAACATGATGAAACCCCATCTTTACTAAAAACACACAAATTAGCTGGGTGTGGTGACACATATCTATAGTTCCAGCTACTCAAGAGACTGAGGCAGGAGAATCAGTTGAACCCGAGAGGCAGAGGTTGCAGTGAGCCAAGATTGTGCACTGTACTCCAGCCTGGTGACAAAGCAAGACTCCATCTCAAAAAAAATTGTATAAATAACTAACTAAATAAGTACTACAGACATTTAAAAGGAGACTTGAGCATACAGAAGAAAATGTCACCAAATTGAATAAAAGGGGCAATTGAAATTATTAAGTCAGGAAGAGAAAAAATAAATAAATAAATGTGAAAACAGTCTAGAAACCAGTGTGACACCATCAAGCAGACCCACTTATCCATTTTGGAAGTTCAAGGAAAAGAAACAAAGAAATAGGGAAACTAAAAAAATGTGGTCAAACCTGTCACAAATTTAAGATAATAAATACCGAAGAAACTGAACAAACTCCAAGTAAAATAAACTCAAAGAGGCACATTCAAACATACATGATAGTTAAACTGTCTAAAATAAAGACAAAGAGAATCTTGAAAGCAGCCAAAGAAATTTTGACCAGTAATGTATGAAAGAACCCCTCATAAATAATCAGGGAATTTCTTATCTGAAAACTCAGGGTAGACTCATATATTCCAAATGCACTAAGAAAAAAAAATTCAAACAAATGTTATGTTTAAACAAAGTGTCCATCAAAAATGAGGGAGAAATTATGAAATTCCCAAATAAAAGCCACATTCTTTTGCCAGTAGACAACCATTTAATAAATGCCTTATGTATTATTCCAGGGTAAAATGAAAGGACACCGAACAGCAGTACAAATAAACAAAGATTAAGGTAAAGATAAATATCCTGATGCAGAACAGACTGGAGGAGAGAACAGGTGCAAGATACACCCACTAATGTCTCAGGGGTCTGGCTCGGTTACTGCTTCCATGGTTACGGGCTCAGCTAACAAGGAAGGTACACTGGTATTAGCAATTCCATAAACAGCCAATGGAAGAAAAAAAATCCATACATTTGTTCCAAGCATGAGAGGGGGGAAAAGAGAGATTATTGATGATGAAAAAGACCAGCCTTTTATCAAAAGGATGTATTTAACCATAAGGCTAATAGAAAGTGCCAGTAGACTCAGAAACATTTTGGTGAGGGAAAATGATGGCTTTACCCAGAAAGTGCTATCAATGAGATTGACAGAGAACAACTCACTAAATATTGAAGTAATGAAAAAAAATCAAGAATGCTCTGTATAGGGCTGCTGCAGATGACAGGAAGCTTATGCTGCCTAGTGCAGATGGCTGCGTCCCTTGCTGAGGTCTTGATTTTGTTTGCATTTAAGAAATGACAGAAACAGAGAAAGCATTGTAAGAGTGGATACTGTAAAGAACATTGTGAATAGTTTCATTCAGTTTAAGAAGCCTATTGTTGTATCAGCCAATAGCCCAGCCATTTGACTAGATGCATCCATACTTCCTCTTTGTGATTTGGTTTAGGCTAACAAAAAGGCTTGGTTTTAAACTGCTTCTATGACCTTTGGACAGAGTCCAGGTTGCTGTTTTACCATTAAATTTCCCAAGATGATGGGTGAAGCATAGGCCAATGTAATGTTGATTGGTGGGAGAAAGCTGAAAGCATGGGAGGCATGTGCCAGAGACCTGGTCTCTCAGGTGTCTTGGACTGCAACTTTTCCCCCAAGTGGTTATGACTCAAATTAAGGACTTTGCCTCATATAATTCAGTTGTGCTAGAGAAAAGTAATGCCCTTATTTACTGTAAAGTTAAAGATGAAGTTAAAACAGGTCAATGAGAGAGTGTGGTGTGCCGAAAAAAATCTGAATCTCAGCACAAGGAATAGAATCTGTGTTGATGTTAAGTGTGGGTTTCTGTGTTTCAGCCTTGTTTCTGTTACTAATCTTCAGGTTCTCCATTAAGTGGGTCTTGAATTCTTGATGCATATCCAGGGAGAATTATGTATGTGGAAAACAGGAGAATAATTAGGGTAAATAGATGCTTTATTGAGTGATGGCGCAGCTTTCAGGAGACAGAAAGTGGGTAAGTCCATTTCAAAAACAGGAAATACCTGCATCTCTGCAACACTCAGTGAAGACAGGGCCAAGAGAGACAAGATGAAGAAGCAGGTTGTTAAAACATCACTGAAGGCTTCAGTGGAGAGAAGTTTCAGAGTGGGTAGCGTCTATCTGCAGGAAGGTTGTTGAGATGTATCTGCAGCTTTAAGTTTGGAGAAGACATATCCATTTGCAGCCGTGCAATCCCAAGAAGTGTACAACTCACAGTGAAGAGGTGGCACATTGTTGGTAGATCCACTTTAAGTCAGGTTATTTCAAAGTCTGATGCAGGGCATGGTGGCTTTTGTCGATAATACCAGCAATTCAGGAGGCCAAGGCAGATGGATCACTTGCAGTTGAAAGTTTGAGACCAGCCTGACAAACATGGAGAAACCGTGTCTCTAATAAAAATACAAAATTAGTTAGGTGTGATGGTGGATGCCTTTAATCTCAGCTACTCAGGAGCTGAGGTAGGATAATCACTTCAACCTGGGAGGCGGAGGTTGTGTGAGTTGAGGTCAAACCATACTACTCCAGTCACGTCAACAAGAGTGAAACTCCGTCTCCAATAAATAAATAAACAAACATATATAAACAAACAAACAAATAAACAAATAAATAATCTAAATACGTATGGAATGCATATGAACCTCAGAAGTCAGAAAGAGAGTGCTGATTAGTCGGGTGAAGATGGGTGAAAAAGATGTCTAACCCTAAATATAACCCCTATTACTAACACTAAAACACTAACAATAACCCTCAAGCCCTAACCCTAATCTCCACATAAACCCAACCTGAACCATTAACAAAACATATCCCTATCCATAAATATAACCCTACCGCAACCCATAACCCTAAACATACACCTACACCTACCCCTAACCCTAAATCTACCCCAAACCCTAAATCTACCCTTAAACATAACACTCAGAAAAACACTAACAGAAATACTAAACCAAACCCTAACTCTAACACTACCTCTAAACACTGAACCCTAACCCCTAACTCTAACTCTGACCCCTAAAGCTCCTTCAAACCTAACCCTAAAAGCACCCTTAACTCTAACCTGAAAATTAAAATTCTAACCTTAAAAACATAAGCATAACACATAACCAACATCCCTAATCCAAATTCCTACCCCAACCCTAATTCTAAAAATACGCTGACCATATCCCTAAACTTAATCCTGACACTAACCCTAACCCTAACTCTAACCCACAACCTCAAATGCAACTGCAACCATAGCTCTAACACTAAAACTTAAATGCTAACTATAATCACATATAATAAACCCAATCCCAACTGTAACCCTGAACTCTAACCCTAAAACTAAACCCACCCTAACGCTAACCCTAAAGCTTAACACTAGGCCAAACACTAACCCCTCATCCTAACCCTAAAGTGACCCTAACCCTAACCTAAATGCTAAACAATAACCCTAAAAATAACACTGCACCCTAAACACTAACCCTAATGCTAACCTGAAACCCTAAACCGAATCCTTATTCTTATCCTAACACAAACCCTAAACCCAAACCCTAACGCTAATGCACTAACCCTCTTACCCTAACCCTCACCGTCACCTTAACTCTCACCCTAAGCACTAACTCTAACCCTCACCATGAAGTTAAGCCAGAACCTAACCCTACACTAACAACAACCTCTAACTGTAGGCCTATTTCTTACCCTAAACCTAAACATAACCTGACCCTAAAACTAACATCTAATCTTGATTCTAACTGTAGCCCTAAACATAACACTAAACTTTAACCCTGTCCCTAATCCTAATCCTAATCATAACCCTAATCCTACCACAACACTGACCTCTAACCCAACCCCAGATCTAACCCTCAATCTAAACTTTTTTCTGCAATTGTAAACCCCTATTCCTAATCCCAAACTTCTATCCCATTCTTAATATTATCATATCACCCTTCAAAGAATTTTAAATATATCATCTATGACTCTAACCCCTAATGCCCATAAGAGTACACTTAACCTTACCTCTTAACTCCAATTGAAAATTGAATTAAACAGATGATGTCACTGGGACAAAACACTAAATGTTAACAAATATGATAATTAGAGACATTAGATTATGTAACCAAATAATAGTACATGGAATTAACTACACGAGGAAGACATTATGCACCTATGTGATTACGTTTTTTTTCTAGAAAATTGAGGCTTGTTTTAACATTCTGAAGCCATCCCTCTTCAATATACCATGTAAATTAAATGCTGGGAAAACAGTACATGTATATCTCAACTGTTACAGAAAATACTTAAAGTTAGTCAACATGTTTACTGATAACAACATCCAATAAACTGTGATTAAAATGTCTTTCACATGATAACACGTCTTTATACAAAACCCATAACAATCAGCGTCTGAATTGTTGGGAACAAAAGCTTTAAGATGAAGAACACAGCACTGATGCTCACTTTCATCATTGCATTTGATACTGTATTAGAAGTTCCATCCGAAATAATTGGAAAAGAAAAATATATATGAAGCCATTCATATGTCAAAAAATAAAATAAAACTACCTACTCATGGATCTCATGATCTCATATACAGAAAATCATAAGAAATCAACAAGAAATAATAAAATCTAATAAACAAATTAAACAAACATACAGTATATATATCAATACACTAAAATCTATTTGTATACACTAGCAATAAATGATATGAAAATGAAATTAACACAACAATTTTATTTGTAAAAACAACAAGCTGCATGTTCTCCAACTTCCCTTGAACACACAGGAGCAGGCAGCTGGGGTTGGGGGTGGCCTTGGAGTGGGGTCTGTGCTGCTTTATTGGGACCTGGGCTGCACTGTCCATGGGCTAAGCAGAAACTACTCAAGTTCCTGGGGAGTCAAAGTAGAAATACTTAAGTACATAATGGATGAAGAGTAGAAAATCTACAGTGGTTTTGAAAGCCCTCATGCCACGACGTCAAATGGATATCTTCAGAGTCATAAATTAATGATAAAAAGAGAACATGCATGAACATCAACAACAGTGAAAGCCAGGGAGAGTGGCCCAGGTCATTTTGCTGAGAAGAAATGCATTGAGTTTAATTTGAGAGACGTCCCTTCACAAGTGCTGCTAAAGGCATACACATATTTTACCTAAATGTTTCACTGCGCCTACAGTTCCACAGAAATTCCTAAATTCCCATTTCACCTGAAACTGCAGTAGAACTGTTGATGGCTGTGAACTTTCTATATTGTATATAAATACAATTGATTTATAGGATAAAATAAATTAGAATAAACTCTTAAATTTTTTTTAGTGTTTAAGGCCTGTGGTTCAGTTCATATTTTTTATAGGCAGCACATTCCCTGTATGCAAGGTAACTATAAAATTAATCGCAGAAATCAAAACCACAATGAGATACCATCTCACACCAGTTAGAATGGCAATCATTGAAAAGTCAGGAAACAACAGGTGCTGGAGAGGATGTGGAGAAATAGGAACACTTTTACACTGTTGGTGGGACTGTGAACTAGTTCAACCATTGTGGAAGTCAGCGTGGCGATTCCTCAGGGATCTAGAACTAGAAATACCATTTGACCCAGCCATCCCATTACTGGGTATATACCCAAAGGACTATAAATCATGCTGCTATAAAGACACATGCACACATATGTTTATTGCGGCATTATTCACAATAGCAAAGACTTGGAACCAACCCAAATATCCAACAATGATAGACTGGATTAAGGAAATGTGGCACATATACACCATGGAATACTATACAGCCATAAGAAATGATGAGTTCATGTCCTTTGTAGGGACATGGATGAAATTGGAAATCATTGTTCTCAGTAAACTATCACAAGAACAAAAAACCCAACACCGCATATTCTCACTCATAGGTCGGAATTGAACAATGAGATCACATGGACACAGGAAGGGGAACATCACACTCTGGGGACTGTTGTGGGGTGGGGGGAGGGGGGAGGGATAGCACTGGGAGATATATCTAATGCTAGATGATGAGTTAGTGGGTGCAGCGCACCAGCATGGCACATGTATACATATGTAACTAACCTGCACAATGTGCACATGTACCCTAAAACTTAAAGTATAGTAATAAAAGAAAAAAATTAATTGCAAAGAAGATTCTATTCTGTTTTTTTGCATAACAGAGTTGAAATTTATTTGTATTCTGAAAAAACTATGGACATTTTCACAAACAGAGAAATAAACAAATATGCCAATTCATAGGCGGTTTTGCCTTACCCCTTGAATATGACTTTAAAATGAGTAATGTTGACATAGAAAATGATGAAAATTAGACATATATAATTGCATAATATGCATGTTCATAACTTAGCCAAAAGATTGATTTTTATCTAACCCTAACATAAATGTTATATTAATGCCTGTAATCTCAGCACTTTTGGAGGCCAAGGCAGGCAGATAATGTGAGTCCAGGCATTTAAGACAGGTCCAGGCAACATGGCAAGTCTTTGTCTCTCTCAAAAAATACAAAAAGTTAGCCAGATATGATAACTGAAGCTAAGGCAGAAGATCAGTTGAGCTCAGCAGTTAGAGGCTGCAGTGAGCCATCATAGCACTTCTGCACTCCAGGCTGGGAAAAAGAATGAGACCCTGTCTCAAAATAAAAATAAAAGGAGAAGAAGAAGGAAAGGAATAAGAGTTGAAATTTTGTATGTCCTTTGATAAACCTCAGTAATGTTTAATATTGTCTTTTCATTTTGTTTATTGCTACAATTTAAGAAATTTACTTAAAAACACTTTTGGAAGGTTGCTGGGTACAATTTTTGAAGAAGCAACAGAACTATACCCAGATGGTCAACAGGTCAAATATATGACTTACAAGCAAAGCATCCTTGGCAACTTTAAAAACAGAAAGAAAAAAAAATCCATAAGGTTTGATGGGTTAGGTTATTTTCTATGTTTTTAGATTTAAGAAATCCCTTTTTTCTCTTAGATAATTATAATTTATAACACTTTAATAGGTTATACTTTTGTAAACAGAAATGAAACACTTGTTAAAAAAAATTAACTCTCCTGTCCCCCCGCCAACCACAGCCATCTGAATGGACCCCTCCTTTTGATCAAGAGCATTCCAAAATTGCTTCACTTCCTGACAAGAAAGAGGGACACACATGCTTCATTACATACTATTCCCTTTTGAACTTTAGAAAAAGCTGACCACCACTAACAGCAACACATACCTTAAATCTGATAAGGAATATTTACCACCTATTTTCTCGAGCCTGCTACATGGAGGCTTCATCATCATAATAAAACTTTGGTCTCTACAGCCCTTATTATTTATTGTAACCCAGTCATTCCTGTCTATTGATTTTATGTTTTTAGATAATAATTTAACTCTTTCAGCCAACTGCCAATTAAAACATATTTATATCTACCTGTAACTTGAAAGCCCAGCCCCACACCATCACTATTTTCAAGTTGTCCATCCTTCCTGGACCAAACCAATGTACATCTTACATGTGTTTGATTGATGTCTCAGGTCTCTCTAAAATGCATAAATGTAGGCTGTGAACATACCACCTGGGGCACATGTTCTCAGGATCTCCTGAGTAGGGATGTGTCATGGACCATTTGTCACTCATATCTGGATCAGAATTCTTCAACTAATTTTATGGCATAATATCAAAGTTTGATATTGTTAGTATATCTCAGCTAATGTAGGATGTCAATATGTATAAAGCAGACATTTACATTACCATTACAAATGCACTCTCAGTTAAACTGTGACTGTCTCAGGAAAAGAAAAAATGTTGCTAACCAGGCATATATCATATATTTAAACTTACATAATAATTCAAGTTCTAATATGCCTACTTAAAAAATGTTTCTATATTGTTTCAACTACTTTAGTTCTCTAAGAAAAATGAGTTATTAAAGCATGAAAAAAAGTGTTGTTGGAGGTTGCGATGTCTCCCCTGGCCTCAGCCCATCGTGGTTCCACTCAGCGCCTCTCCTTTCTCTGTACCAGAATCTCCGCCAGAAACAAGCCCAGATCATCTGCAAACCACACTTTGGTAGCTGTGACAATGCGTGGTCACTGCCTCACTCAAGGGACACTTTTGTAAGGTCAGAATTGGAGGCCAGGGCTGGGAAGTAAGGCCCAGGGCAGTGCCCCTCCTCAGTTCTGGGTGCTGCAGACAGGGTGTCTTTTCCTCACTTGGCCGCCAGATGTCTCAATGCCATGTACTCTCCTGGGAGGGTCCTGAGGAGACGTCTTTATTCTCACCCTGGTCGTAGCACCAGGTGACTTGTAGCAACGGCCACTCCTGGACATGTCCAGAAGAGAAGGAGGTTTTATCCTCATGGTGGACCCGACCCCAGGTGTCCCAAAGCCGCGGCCACTCTTGGGCGGGTCCTGAGATGAAGTAGGCTTAGTCTTCTTCATGAACGTGGCCACAGATGTCCCCAAGTGCCCTGAAACCACGGCCTCTCTCGAGTGTCCTGAGAAGGAAGCTCTGTCCGAGGCACTGTGAAGATAACCTGCTTCTCAGAGAGTTGGTTTGCAGGCTCAGTGCATCAGCTCCGTGCACCCTCTGGTGGTAGCCTTGGAAAATCTCTGAAATTTGGGGTGGGTTAATCCAGGCGGTCATCTCACGAAGTGGAAGTGAGATACAGCCAACCTTCCCATATCTAGAATGGAGATAAAAGGAAGCAAAGAAGACGGTCAATATACAAAACTCAATTGATTTTCTCTATATCAGCAATAATGAATATAAATAATTGGATTTTGAAATATTAAAACACCATTTACAATACTACCTGCAAAATTGAATCCATTAAGTATAACTGTAACAAAATATGCAGAATTCATTCAGAAAACAATGAGTCACCATTGGGAGAAATCAAAGGAAATGTTAGCAAATGCAGACAGGCTAGGCACGTTGTCACACGCCTGTAATCCCAGCACCTCGGGAGTCTGCAGCAGGCAGATACCTTGAGCCCATGAATTGGAGACCACCCTGGGGAACACGGTGAAAGCCCATCTCTGCCCAAAATACAAAAAAAATAAGCTGAGCTTGGTGGTGCATGCCTGTGGTCCCAGCTACTTGGGTCGTTGAAGTGGGAGAATCTGTGAGCTGAGATCATGCCACCGCACACCAACCTGGGTGACACAACTCCTTCTCACAAAGTAAATAAATAGATGTTTCTTGTTCTGGAGAAGCACATTTATTATTATTTCAGCTATATTCCAATCAAATTCCAGGTAAATATATCAACAACTTTTCCTAAACCTAGAATAGATGAAATAAGACTGAAGAAGTGCAATGCCAGATGTGATATGAATACTTACACTAAAGCTAATGTAATAAACAAGAGTGTGTCATTCATGATTTAATAGACAAGCAGATAAGTGGAACAGAATAGTCAGCCCCAAAACAGGCCCAAGTCAAATGATTTTGTCGAAAATGCAAAGAATGTCCTTTGGAAACAATAAGTCTCTTTCACAAGTGGCAAGAAAACAGCTGGAAACTATACGGAAACAAATGAACATAGACACAAATTTTACAGTTAAAAAAATTAGTCAAAAATACCCACACATTAAATTTTTTCAGTGCAAAGTTGTAATTGGAAAATATCTTCATGAGCTTGGGTTTAGTGATGAGTTATTATCAAGTCCATGAAAGAAAAAAAAACGGATAATATGAACTTTATTGAAAGTTGAAATGTCTACTCTGTAAAACACTCTGTTACCATTGGGCATGGCAGTTCAAGCTTGTAATCTCAGCACTTTTGGAGGTCGAAGCGGCCAGATCACCTGAGGACAGGGATTCCAGATCAGCATGGTAAACATGGTGAAACCCCGTCTCTAGGAAAAATTCAAAAATTTAACTGTGAGTTCTGGCGTGCACCTGTAATCCTAGCTGCTCAGGAGTCTGAGCCAGGAGTTTGAATCCCTTGAACTTGGGCGGTGGGGATTGCGGTAAGGCCATATAGGGTCATTGCACCCCAGCCTGGGTGACAAAATGAGACTCCACCTCCAGCTACTCGGGAGGCTGAGGCAGGAGAATGGCGTGAACCCGGGAGGCGGAGCTTGCAATGAGCCAGGATCGCGCCACTGCACTCCAGCCTAGGTGACAGAGTGAGACCCCGTTTCAGAAAAAAAAAAAAAAAGAACCAAAGAACCAGCCACAGCCATAGATAGAAAAATTTAGCAAACTTATCTGAAAAGTGACTTGTATGCACAACATATGCAGAAACTCTAAAACTCAAAAAGATAAGCAACCCAATTCCAAGGTAAAAACCTGAGTAGATACATCACTAAGGAAGATACAGAGATGGAAAACAGGCAGACACACCAAACACTGCTTGCGGAAAGCCTGCTGCTTCTGCTGAAGGCTGACTCTAAGCCGTCCCATGGGGAGCAGCAGTGGCTGCCAGAGCGGCAAGTGGCTCCAGAGACCGCCCCCACCTACCCCACCTCCGCTCTTCCTCCAAGGTCCAAGGGTCCTGAAGGCACTAGGCATACTCTCCTAGAAAGAACCGGAAGCTGGATACTTTATTTCTCGGCTTTCCTTAAAGTTCTGGAAGCTGCCAAGTATCCTTAAGTTGGAAGTTTTATTTTTTTCCTAAGCACCTTGAGGCACTGAGAAGCATTAGGAGAGGTGGTTTTTAACTCACACTTGTCTTCATAAAGAGATAAAAGAATTTGCTCCAACCCCTTTGTATTAAGTTGTTTTAAAATGTTTGGTTCAATATGTTGTTATTTTGCTTTCCTCCAGACACGAAACACAGAAAAAGCATTAAGTAAAAACCGAATAGGGAGTCATCATAAATTCATGGATACTATTTAGTTTTTCATTTAACCTGCCTTTTTTTATTGTAATTTAAATTATAGGATACATGTGCAGAACAGGCAGTTTTGTTACATAGGTGTACATGTGCCACGGTGGTTTGCTGCACCCATCAACCCATCATGTAAGTTTTAAGCCCTGAATGCATTAGGTATTTGTCCTAATGATCTCCTTCCACTTACCCCCTACTCCCTGACAGGCCCCATTGTGTCCTCATTGTTCCATTCCCACTTATGCATGAGAATAGGTAGTGTTTGCTTTTCTGTTCCTGTGTTAGCTTGCTGAGAATGACGGTTTCCACTTCATTCATGTCTCTGAAAAGGACATGAACTTATTCATTTTTGTGGCTGCATAGTATTCCATCGTGTATATGTGCCACATTTTCTTTATCCAGTCTATAATTGATGGGCATCTGGGTTTGTGCCATGTCTTTTTTGTGTGTAAATAGTGCTGCAATAAGCATACATGTGCAGTTTCCTTAGAGTAGAATGATTTACAATACTCTGGGTGTATACCACATAATGGGATTGCTGGGTCAAATGGTATTTCTGGTTATAGATCCTTGAGGAATCACCACACTGTCTTCCACAGTGATTGAACTAATTTATACTCCCACCAGCAGCATAGAGCATTCCTTTTTCTCCACATCTTCGCCAGCATCTGTGGTTTCCTGACTTTTTAATGGTCACCATTCTGACCGATGTGAGACAGTATCTCATTGTGGTTTTGATGTGCATTTCTCTAATGCTCAGTGATGCTGAGCTTTTTTTATATATATTTGTTGGCTGATTAAATGTCTTCTTTTGAGAAGTGTCTGTTGATATCCTTTACCACTTTTTGTTGGGGTTTGTTTTTTATTTTCTTATAAAATTTTTTAAGTTCCTTGTAGCTTTTGGATATTAGACCTTTGTCAGATAGATAGGTTGAAAAAATGTTTTCACATTCTGTATGTTGCCTGTTCACTCTGACGATATTTTCTTTTGCTGTGGAGAAGCTCCTTAGATTAATTAGGTCCCATTTGTCAATTTCGGATTTTGTTGCAATTGTTTTTTGGTCTTTTTGTCATGAAGTTTTTGCCCATGCCTATATCCTGAATGGTATTGCCTAGATTTTCTTCTAGGGTTTTTAGGGTTTTAGGTTTTACATTTAAGTCTTTTAATTCATCTTGAGTTAAGTTTTGTATGTGATGTAAGAAAGGGATTCAGTTTCAGGTTTCTGCATATGGCTCGCCAGTTTTCCCAGACCAGGGAATCCTTCCCTAGTTGCTTGTTTTTGTCAGGCTTGTCAAAGATCAGATCACTGTAGATGTGTGAATTACTTTAAGCAGTATGGTCATTTTAGGATAGAGCAGGATTTCAATCCCAGCTTTTTTTTTTTTTTTTACTTTCCATTTGCTTTGTAAATATTCCTCCATCCTTTTATTTTGAGCCTATGTGTGTCTTCACCCATGATATCAGTCTCCTGAATACAGCACACCAAAGGGTCTTGATTCTATCCAATTTGTCAGTCTGTGCACTTTAATTGGCAAATTTAGTTCACTTACATTTAAGGTTAATATTTGTACGGGTCAATTTGATCCTGGCATGGCAATACTAGCTGGTTATTTTGCATATTAATTGATCCACTTTCTTCTTAGTGTTGTTGGTCTTTATATTTTGCTACTTTTTTTAGTGATGAATACTGGTTTTGTTTTGTGTTGTTTTGTTTTCTGAGACAGAGTCTCGCTTTATTGGCCAGTATGGAGTGCAGTGCTGCGATGTCAGCTCACTGCAAGCTCCAACTCCCAGGTTCCTGCCATTCTCCTGCCTCAGCCTCCTGAGTCCAAGTACCTTTGACTACAGGCACCCGCCACCATGCCCAGCTAATTTTTTGTATTTTTAGTAGAAATGGGGTTTCACCATATTAGACAGGATGGCCTTTTACCTTTAGTTAAATAAGTTAGAGTAGAAACAAAGGAATGCGGGGTGTTTACCTAAGTAGCTTGCTTAGTCATGTGGTCCTAAGACTAATATTTGACTTAGCACAGTGCTAAATTGCTTTCTAACTGGGAAGTCCACACTGTCAATTACCCTTTAGTGGTGTTAACTAGAGCCTTGGTCAATTAATCCTTACTGAATAAATGCAAGTCTCACTAGCTGGCTGGGGCCACAGTCAAAACTGTTTGCAATAATTTGCCTGTAGTCTGTAAGCAGCTTGATGTTCAGCTGGACTGGCAAAGCATAATATCTGTGTGCTTTATTCATCCATTTATTCATTGTAGAAATCATGAATTAAAAAAATAACAGGATAAATGCGACAATATGTACTAGCATATTTTTTTCTTTCTTTTTTTTTAGTTTTTACTAAGTAGAGCTTAGAATATGATCAGTTTTCTGTGGCACAACACATGCCTGCTTCTTTTGGCAGCAATTATAGAATAATGAGAAAACAATAATAACAAAAAGTGCCAGTCTGAAGAGATCATGTATTTTATGATCATATTTCTATGACATTATAGAAATGTCTACAGAGAAGGTAAGCAGACCTGTGATGTACAGTGGTTTGTAGGGGAAAGAGAGTGAGTTGAATAGGGGAATAGGATGTTGGAAAGGGGGTACAAATGGGCCAGTTAGACTTAGACTGCCTCTGGTTCGTGAGGTCATGCTTGGTGTGTGGAAGAGCCAGGAGTGTGTAGTACAAGCATGATAAGAAGGTTTCTACTCAGCCAGATGTGGTGGCTCACCACATCTGCAGTCCCACCACTTTGGGAGGCTGAGTTGGGTGGATCACTAGGTCACGAGGTTGAGACCATCATGGCTAACACGGTGACACCCTACCTCTACTAAAAATACAAAAATTAGCCAGGCATGGTGGTGGGCACCTTTAGTCCCAGCTACTCAGGAGGCTGATGAAGGAGAATGGCATGAATATGGGAGTTGGAGCTTGCAGTGAGCAGAGACCACACCACTGCACACCAACCTAGGCCACAAAGGAAGACTCTGTTTCAAAACAAAAACAAACACAAAACAACAACAGCAACAAAAAACAAAGGCTTCTACTCACTCTAGGAGAGAGAAGGGTCCTCTTCTTTCCACATGGAACTATCTCAGGACTAGTTCTCAGGAAGCCTTTTTGGTATGTGGTAAAAGAAACGTAACATAAATTTACCAATCTAAACATTTGTAGGTGTACAGGTAAGTGGCATTATGTATGTTCATGTTACTGTGCAACCATCACCACCATTTCACATTCTCACCAGCAATGCACAAGGGTTCCATTTTCTCCACATACTCCCCAACTCTCCCTTTTTCAAAAAAAAAAAAAAAGACATTCTAGTGGGTTTAAGGTGATAATCTCATTGTGATTTAGATATCCATTTACCTAATGGCTAATGATGTCGAACATATCTTTCTGCGCTTATTGGCACTGAACTTGTTAATGGTTTCCTGGGTATGACAGAGAATGCACAGAAAACAAAAGAAAAAATAGATAAATTGAACTTCATTAAAACTAAAATCTTTCATGCTTCAAAGGGCACTATCAGGATGGTCAATAGAAAACCAACAGCATAGGACAAAATATTTTCAAGTCATATATAAGGGTAAGGGCCTAGTATCCAGGATATAGGAGAAATTCTTACAACTCAAGAACAAAAAGACAATCAACCCAATTAAAAAAATGATAGAGAAATTGAAAATACTTTTCTCCAAAGATACACACACACACAAAAACACATAAAAATTAGCTCAACATCACTTATTTCAGGGAAATGCAGATCAAAACCACAAGAAGACACCACTTTTCACCCATTGTAATTATTATTATTTAAAAACCATGAACGAACAAGGGTTGACGTGGAAGTGGAGAAAAACAAAAGTAAAATAGTTCATCTGCTGTGGAAAATAGTTTGGTGTTTCTGCAAAAAGCTAAACATGGAACCATCATAGAAACCAGCAAATCCCCCCCACCTCAGGTATATACACAAAAAATATAAAGCAGGTATTCAAACAAAACTGTGTGTGCACATATACTCATGGAAGAATTATTCACAATAACTAAAATGTGGAAACAAACCAAATGTCCACAAACAAATAATAGGAAAACAAAATGTAGTATACCTATACAATGGCATAATATCTAGCCATAAAAAGATTGAGACACTCATACTACAATGTGAAGATACTGCAAAACCATTGTGTTTAAAGAAGCTAAGCACAAAAGTCACATAGTGTATGATTTTATGTATATAAATGTCCAGAATAAGTAATTTCATAGAGAAAGAAAGCAGATTTGCTAATTGTCAGGGGTCAGAAAGAGGACAGATTGGGTAGTAGTTCCTTAATAGGTAGGGGATTTACTTCAGTAAAAAATATCCTATCCCCAGTATTCCAACAGCAGGCTGAGCTCTCATTCCATGGTGTCCCCTTAACCTGGGGTTCAAGTCCCCCCACAGTCCGGAAGTGCCTGGGGCCTGAGCAGGCACATTCTGGACACATACTCCAGCCATTGTGTCCACCAGCTCCTAGACCTGTTACCGGTGAAAAGTATCTGAGTTACTGGCAGCAAATCCGTCCGGGTCTTTAGCAATATCAATTCTTGCCTCCTCAGGTGAAAGAATTCAACTGGTGGGCATAAAGAAGGAAGAAGGAAGAAAATGCCATGGCAAGTTTCACAGCAGGAGTGGACGTTTATTAAAAAGCTTTAGAGCAGGAAAGAATGAAAATTGCACTCGAAAGAGATCCAAATGGGTGACTTGAAGAAGTGTGGCCATTAACCTTCCTTCTGGGACATTTTAGGCTGGCCTACCGCCAGCATCTGGTGCACCCTTTCCCATGATTCTTCCCCTAGCATGGGCTGCCCACAGGCACAGTGCCCTCCTTACCCTTGGGAAGTAAGTATAGACAGTGTGTTTAAGCAGTTATATGTATGCCCATCTGAGGCTTCCTCCCTTTTATTGGTGGGGTGACCCCAGAAAGTCATACTCCACCATTTTGTCTCTTAATGTGCACTCCTGGGTTCAGTCATCCAATGTCTGAGATTTTATGGGACGCCCTTTTTCCTCCTCTCTGGCATGTGAGTTTAATTAACACTTTAATGTTACCAGCTGTGTATCAGGCTATCCCTGGCCCCAGCCGCTAAATTATTATTTTTAGAGAAGCAATATGATAACTGTCCAACCATCACCCGATGGCCTGACATTCCTGGTATGCGGATGTGGAGAACCCGCTCTTGCCCCACTCATGACTGTTTAACCAACTGTAACAAACCCACGGGCCAATTTCACTTCCAGGTCAGTTTTTCTCTGCTGCCTTTCCGGACACCCAGTGATCAGTGATGCCTCCTCAGGGTTTACAAGGTCTTCAGTATCATGCTCTATTTTGATCCAGACCTCAGCACATAATATCCATGGGTTGTTCCATTTCAATAAAGGGAAATTAACATTTTCTGATCACAAGTGCATGCAGGTGTCTTACTCAGGTGAACTCACAGCAACTCTGCAAAGTATGGGTAGTCCCACATGTAGAGAAAAATGCCAGGATCCAGTGACTGAGTGACTCACTTTCAATCACACAGCTTCCAAGTAACTTCATACTCACATTCCAGCCCATGGCCTGGTCTCCAGTTGTCATTTAGAAAAGGTTTGCGAGTACTTGAACATATGCCCAGGCCACACCCAGACTTATTTGTAACAACAAAGATGAGCTCCAGGGACAATGGTTGACAAGACCCACCCAGTCATCTTTCTTCCATTCAGAGCCATTGTAGTACTCGATACTCATCAGAAACAGTCTCTTATCCCAAAGCCCTCTCATACATAGGGTGTATCAATGGGAATGGGTCACACATGGGGCACAAAGGGCAAATTTAGTGAGGGAATCAGAGCCAGCACATAAAGAAGGAGCTGGTGATTCCAAGTGTAAAGAAAGGCGGTATGCTAAGAAGTTATTGCCCTGGAGGGTGAAGGATACAAGAGGTTTGTATGACTAAATCAGAGGGAGCAAGAGAGAAAGCAGGCAATGGACCAAACACTTAGCACAAGGGACAGTGATTCCTTAACAAGGTCGATGCAGACCTACCATGACATGATGTGGCCACTGCACTCCTAGGAATGAACCATGAGAAATGAAGGCAAGCTCACAGGCTACATACATAAATAAATATTCATGACATCCTTACACATAATGGTCCCAAACCAGGAGCCCAAATGCCCATACACAGAAGAAGGGTGAACAAGCTGTGGCACATCTATACAATGGCATGTGGCTCAGCATGAAAAGGAATGGACTGTTGATGCACTCAGAACAGAGTGACTCTGAAAGTAGTTCTGCTGAATAAAAGAAGCCAGATCAGAACGACGCACAAAGACCCAAGTACATACTGTATTTACCTGTAATTCTATAAAATACCCACAAGTTTTTAGTGAAAGAAGCAGATCTGTGGTCCTAGGGTGGCCAGGGAGTGATCGTTATTGATGGGAGGAAGATGTGTTTTCATGACCTTCATCACACTTCTGGCCTTGCGGTGAATGAAATACTCACATGGAGAAACCATCAGTTCTTCCATCTACACAGGTGCAGTTTACCATATGCCAATCACATGCCAACAAAGCTGTTTTTAAATAAGCAATCATGATCCAGAGCAAGGAATAAGGTTGGGCAGGAGACCTGATGAGGCAGATTGTTTTCTTTTCCTAATCTATAAGGCTGCACACTGAAATTAAGTTGGCCCTGAGCTCAGACACTGAACAGGCCTTTGGGAAAGGCTCACACAGTCCTTCCTCCTGAACAGAAGAGTGACCACCTAACACAATACCCAGCTGCCCCTCAGGAACTTTATATGTCAATGTGACCTTCCCATCCTTGTGTCTGTTTTCTGCAATTTCCTCTTTCAGGCAGAAGCCAATGTGGCCTCTGATGTAGAGGAAATAATGTTAAAGTTCTAATATGGACATTCTGGTTCCATCATAGTAGAGAAACGGGTTGCATCTTCTCTCTTCACGACAAAGAGAAGGGAAAAGCCATGAGAACAATGTCCACAGTTGTGTGATCAGGTTGCAAGTGGAGGAAGAACATCGCCATGCCAAGGAAGCAGCAGGGCAACTGAAGGTGAAGGTTTCTGCAGAGGAAAGAAGGAAGCTTAGGGATTCCCAGAGGAAATCATCCTTCCCATTTGTAGGCCCCTGGTTTGAAGGCCAGTTCCTCTTGTCCCAATGTGAAATGAGCGTGTGACAATCCCCATTTCAGCCTTAATGCTAATTACAGAGGCAAACGTGAGAGACCAACAGTTTTTAAAAAATGCAAACAAACAAAAAAAACAAACAAAGGCAAATATGATCAACAGACAACTCACCTCCAGAGAAATGAGTCTTTAAGATCCTTCTTCCTTCTGGCCTCAAGACCTCTGTTCAAGGAAAGTTCAGAACACATGCTCCCCGTAGTCTCAGAGAAGTATAAAATATTGCATCCCTGAAAAATAACAAAATTTAGGAAGATAATAGGAAAATTCAGAGATTAGGAACAACAGCTTGAAATTCTCTTAAAATGTGTAACTCTCAAAAATTGGAAGACAGAATCTAAAAAATATTTCAAAACCACATACAATTAACAAAATAAACCTAAGAAAAGTGGTTAGCTCTCTGGGAGATTTGTCCCATAGTTGCAGTAGCGAAATAGCATTTGACATGTAAAAACCCAGGGAGGCAGTTATAAAAGCTCTGGGAATGACAGCTCCACCCCAGGCCTAGAGAGATGTTGGTGGGATAGGAACAGGAAAACGGAAGGTGTCCACCAGTGATTTTTCAGGTGGGAGGTTAGAAATGAGGGAAGATGATAAGGATGTGATAAAAGGAGATTTAATTTGAATTTTAATTTAGTTCCAACTTAATTTAATTTAATTTTAAATTTAATTTAATTTTAATTTAATTTAATTTTAATTTAATTTTAAATAGAAAGAAAGAAGAAAAGGCAATTAGAAACTCCAAGAAAAGAGAAAGCTAAAGAAAAAATATGTATATACCTATAGAATACCAAGAAATGTAGGTGAATTCAAAGTGCCAATATACTTCCTACAAGAAGAAAGTCACAAGATTCTATTGCATTGGATTGAAAAAATATATACATAAATATACATATACTCTACAGTTACTTTCAACATCAATGATAACTAAGAAAGAAACTAAAATCATGATATTTCTATCATTGTGTGAGGGTGGAGGAAAGGTCAGAGGTCTAAGAAACTCAGCCTTCCTCTGTTGTACCAGGTGTTAACAGGTAATTCAGGGGACTAGGGTTAGGTGCACATGGTGGCAGTTCCTTCTGAGTTACCCTTGCCTCATCTCTGTATTTTTCAGTCATGTGCATATATTTTTATTTTCAAAATAAAATATATGGGAAGTAATTTGTGGTGTCAGAGACTCTAGGAAGATTCTCTGTTCCAGGGTACGGGTTCCACATCTAATTAAACACCACAGATTCCAGCAGAAAATCCTAGCTCTACCCACACTTCCACTCCCTCAAACAAGACTCAAGTAATCACCACATCCAGCTCAAAAACTCAAGATCTGTCCAAAGCAGATCCACGTGTAGCCATCAGCAAGGGTATCAATAGACACAGCCACAGAGGTGTCTGCAGTGCATCATGAAGTCCAGCCGCTAGCAGTAGACCAACTGCACAGTCTGGAAGGAAATTTTCTTGGAGGATGCCAATGCTAGAGGAACCAGCCATGATGCAGGTGCAGCCATAGAGGGGTCCATCATGTTACTGCAAGCAGCCAGAGGGCAGAGGTAATGAGCAGGAAAGATGAGGGGGAGGGTGGCGACATCATGGTTGGGCCCCTACTGGTACATGTTGCCACCCTGCAGTGGCCTGTGGGAAACAGAGAACACCGTATTTTGGTGGGCAGAGGCTCTCTCAGGCCAGAGCAGTAGGACCTGGAAAGAAACTGAAGCCAAGCTCAGGAATGTGGGTTCCTGTTTCAATTTGGCTACTGGTGGCTGTGGACCCCAGGATATAACAAATTACATGCCTTTACCGTTTTCCCTGTGGCTGCAAAGACTTGGGTCAGGCTCTGAATTACCTGGCCCCCTTGAGGCGCTTAATAAAGCTTATTACTGGAAACTGATAATATATTAGCACTTTATTTACAATGACCTTCAATGAAGTGTTGTCCTCCAGTATTGAAAATAGGAAAACAATTATCAAGAGCTTAATAGTTATGGGATTAAATGATGGTTGATCCTCAAGAACTATTAGGCAGCACTTGATAATAAAGCATTGGTATTTCATGAATGCTCACTGTGTCTCAATTGTACTCCTAGGCTTTTGACAACCAGCCTGACTTAAGCTTTGCAAAAATCCCCATGGCAGATCCTGGCACCATCTCTATTTTACAGGTGAAAGGTCACATGAACCTGCTTAGGGACACATACCTGGGCAGGGCAGGATCTAAATGGAAGCAGGCCCAAGAGGTGTCAAGAAAGATGCTAATATCCTAATGGTATGTGGAAAGGAGGAGCAAATGTGCACATGGTGTGAAGGCCAGACAAGATTTAGGACAGCCCTAAATGTAGAACAGATCCACAGCAGGCCAGCCTCCAGTTTTCTTATTCTTAAATGATCCTCCTCATCAAGTAAAGATCACAGAGTGCAGGGAGGCTGCTCAAAAAAGTACTGATATGTAGCAGAAACATGAGAAAAGCAAAAGAAACAAAATACTAAAAATAAACACACCACAATGACAGCTGAGTTTGTCTTTAGGTGGCCGGCCTACAAGTGTCTTTTTCTAAGTCTGTTTTCACCATTCTCCAAAATAGACATAAATTTAGGTAATGTGTCCAGCTGCAGGAACAAGTGTTGGGTCAGAGGAAACTGCTTCCCAAACCTGGCCCCTGACCCAGGCTCCTTGCTGGCAGCTTCCCCTTCCCTGTGGTCTGTCCTGATCCCAGTGACAGGGCACTATCATCCCTACACATATTCCATGTCCTAGTCCCCACTAAAATGTAGAGGGGTACTGAACAGGTGAGATGTTCTCATGGCCCATATGATGACAGTACCTGGCAGTCAGTGCCATTCAAATTGTCTTGTCTCCAGGAAAGTAGAAAGCCAAGCCCAGTGGCTCCCATTGTCCTTGAGTGGTCTCTTGGGATTGTTGAGGCCCATTTTATTCATGTCTCTCTAAAAGAGATAAGATGGGAGAAGAGGTTTTGTGGGACTCTGAGGTACATCCTTCTTCCCAGCAGGTAAAGCAAGCCTGCTGGCTGGAAAATGCTGTTACCACAGGGGCACCCCAATATTCTTTGTTCATCTCTGGCCCTATCTTTGGTCTAAACCAACAACCCATAATTACTAACTGTGGGAAACAAAGTTTCTGGGGTGCCAATTAAGTTGGTCTCCCCTGTATGAGACACCCATGGGGAGCCATGGGCAGCCTCTGAGAAGAAAAATCTCCTTATTACCTTCATGTATTTATGCCCCCAGAGCATAACCACTCAGCGGCATTCCACTGGTTGCTCAGGAAGATAACGTTCCCTTGAAGCAGTGGAATATAATAAAACATCTTGGCTCCTCCTGAAACCCACTCCCACCCATTTCAGTCATGATAAGTTGAAGATCTTAAGTAGTTTAGACACATGCCTTTGCTCAAGGAAATTCACAGAAACCACCAGTGCTATACATCTTATTGAATGGCTGATGAGTTCTCCTTCACTGCTTAATCCTTTTCCTTATTCCTTCCTCCCCCTCCCATCTCCTTAAGGACAAAGAATTTGTAAACCAATAAATTGGGTGGAGCCTGAGAGCTCCAGGCCATGAGCAAGTCTCCAATGCTCTGGTGCCCTGGACCTACCTTTTAAGTGCTTATTCTGTCTCTTTCTAACACCTTTGTCTCCTCCAGATTCGGGGTACACACTGGGTCTTATGTGGCTGGTTTCCCCAACACTAACCTGGGACATTCCAAATCTTGGTGCTTGTGTTGTCTCTCAAATCAACTCACCAAGCCCTCCTCAGAAAACGCAATGCCCTTTTCTGCAGCCAAAGACCTCATTATGCCACACAGTGACCTTGAAATGCAGAGGGGCAGCCACAACCCCACTTGGGCCTGTTCTGAACCTGAGATCTCTGGTTTCAGTGATCTCACAGCCAGTTGATTGAAAGGGACAGGGAAGTGTGTGGAGGAAGCACTCTCCACACCACTGCACTGCAGCCTGGACAACAGAATGAGACCCCATCTCAAAAAAAAAAAAAAAAAAACCTTTAAAAATGCATCCTATTTTTTTCTGAGGGTGTTCCAATATGGCCAAATAGGAACAGCTCCAGTCTGCAGCTCCCAGCATGATCAATGCAGAAGATCAGTGATTTCTGCATTTCCCACTGAGGTATCTGGTTCATCTCATTGGGAATGGCAGGGCAGTGGGTGCAGCCCACAGTGAATGAGCTGAAGCAGGGCAGGGCATCACCCCTCCTGTGAAGTGCAAGCAGTCGGGGAATTTCCCTTTCCTAGCCAAGGGAAGCTGTGACAGACTACCTGGAAAAACGGAGCACTCCTGCCCAAATACTGCACTTTACCCAAGGTCTTAGCATCCAGCAGACAAAGTAATTCTCTCCCATGCCTAGCTTGGTGGGTCCCATGCCTGGCTTGGTGGGTCCCATGCCCACAGAGCCTTGCTCACTGCTAGCTCAGCAGTCTGAGATCAAGCTCTGATGTGGCAGCCTGGCTGGTAGAAAGGCGTTCACAATTGCTAAGTCTTGAGCAGGTAAACAAAGCACCCAGGAAGCTAAAACTGGGTGGAGCCCACCACAGCTCAACAAGGCCTACTGCCTGTAGACTACACCTCTGTGGGCAGGGCACAGTTGAACTAAAGGCAGCAGACAACTTTGGCAGACTTAAATGTCCCTGTCTGACAGCTCTGAAGAGAGCAGTGGTTCTCCTAGCATGCCATTTGAAGTCTGAGAATGGACAGGCTGCCTCCTCTCATCTGTCCCTGACCCCTGTGTAACCTATCTGGGAGACAGCTCCCAGTAGGGGCTGACAGACACCTCATATAGGCAGCTGCCCCTCTGGGATGAAGCTTCCAGAGGAAGGATCAGGCAGCAATATTTGCTGTTCTGAAATATTTGCTGTTCTGCATCCTCTGCTGGTGACACCCAGGCAAACACAATCTGCAGTGGACTACACCAAATCCCAAAAGTCCTGCAGCTGAGGGACCTAAGTGTTAGAAGGAAAACTAACAAATAGAAAGGAAGAGCATCAACATAAGCAAAAAGTTCATCTACACCAAAACTCCATCTGTAGGTCAACAACATCAAAGACACAAGGTAGATAAAACCACAAAGATGGAGAGAAACTACAGCAGAAAAGCTGAAAGTTTTAAAAATTGAGTGCTTCTTCTGCAATGGATCACAATTCCTCACAAGCAATGCAACAAAACTGGACAGAGAATGAATCTGATGAGCTGACAGAAGTAGGCTTCAGGAGGTTGGTAATAACAAAACTATTTGAGCTAAAGTTTCATGTTCCAATCTATCACAAGGAAGCTAAAAACCTTGGAAAAAGATGAGATGAATGGCTAACTAGAATAAATAGTGTAGAGAGGATTTTAAATGACCTGACGGAGCTGAAAACTGTGGCACAAGAACTTTGTCATGCATGCACAAGCTTCAGTAGCTGATTCAATCAAGTGGAAGAAAGGGTATCAGTGACTGAAGATCTCATTAATAAAAGAAACTGAGAAGACAAGGTTAGAGAAAAAAGAGTAAAAAGAAACAAAATCTCTGAGAAATATGGGACTAAGTGAAAAGACCAAATCTAAGTTTAATTGGTGTATCTGAAAGTGATGGAAAGAATGGAACCAACTTAGAAAACACTCTTCAGGATATTATCCAGGAGAACTTCCCCAACCTAACAAGGCAGGCCAACATTCAAATTCAGGAAATACAGAGAATGCCACAAAGATACTCCTTGAGAAAAGCAACCACAAGACATACAATTGTCAGGTTCACCAAGGTTGACATGATGGAAAAAGTGTTAAGGTCAGACAGAGAGAAAGGTTGAGTTACCCACAAAGGGAAGCCCATCAGACTAACATTGGATCTCTTAGCAGAAACCCTACAAGCCAGAAGAGAGTGGGGGGCGAATATTCAACATTCTTAAAGAAAAGAATTTTCAGCACAGAATTTCATATCCAGCCAAACTAAGCTTTATAAGTGAAGCAGAAATAAAATCCTTTAAAAATAAGGAAATTCTGAGAGATTCTGTCACGACCAGGCCTGCCTTACAAGAGTTCCTGAAGGAAACACTAAACATGGAAAAAAACAACCAGTATCAGCAACTGCAAAAGCAAATTTTAAAGACCATCGATGCTATCAAGAGACTGTATCAATTAACAGGCAAACTACACAGCCAACGTCATAATGACAGGACCAAATTTACACATAACAATATTAACCTTAAGTGTAAAGAGGCTACATGCCCCAGTTCAAAGACACAGATGGGTAAATTGGATAAAGAGTCAAGATCCATCAGTGTGCTGTATTCAGGAGACCCATCTCACATGCAAAGATGCACATAAGCTCACAATAAATGAATGGAAGAAGATATACCAAGCAAATGGAAAGCAGAAAAAAATATAAGTAGGAGTTGCAATCCTAGCCTCTGATAAAACAGACTTTTAACGAACAAAGATCAAAAGAGACAAAGAAGGCCATTACCTAATGATAAAGGGATCAATTCATGAAGAAGAGCTAAGAATTCTAAATATATATTCACCCAATACACAACCCAGATTCAGAAAGTAAGTCCTTAGAGACCTACAAAGAGACTTAGACACCCACACAATAATAATGGGAGACTTCAACACCCCACAGTCAATGTTGTCTCATTAATCAACAGATCAATGAGACAGAAGGTTAACAAGGATATCCAGCACTTAAACTCAGCTCTGTAACAAACTGGCCTAATAGACACCTACAGAACTCTCCACCCTAAATCAAGAGCATATACATTCTTCTCAGCACCACATCACACTTATTCTAAAATTGACCACATAACCTGAAGTAAAGCACTCCTCAGCAATTGTAAAAGAACAGAAATCACAACAAAGTGTCTCTCAGACCACAGTGTAATCAAATTAGAACTCAGCATTAAGAAACTCACTCAAAACTGCACAACTACAGGGGAACTTAACAACTTGCTCCTGAATGATTGCTGGGTAAATAACAAAATGAAGGCAGATATACAGACATTCCTTGAAACCAATGAGAACAAAGACACAACATGCCACAATCTCTGAAACACATTTAAAGCAGTCGGCAGAGGGAAATGTATAGCAGTAAATGTCACAAAAGATAGCAGGAAAGATATAAAATTGACAACCTAACATCAGAACTAAAAGAAATAGAGAGGCAAGAGCAAACAAATTCGAAAGGTAGCAGAAGGCAAGAAATAACTAAGATCAGAGCAGAGCAGAACGGAAAGAGATAGAGACACAAAAAACCCTTCAAAAAATCAATGAATCCAGGAACTGGGTTTTTTTTTTTTTTTTTTTTTTTTGAAAAGATCAACAAAATTGAAAGACCCCTAGCAAGGCTAATAAAGAAGCAAAGAGAGAAGAATAAAATAGAAGCTATAAAAAATGATAAAGGGGATATCACCATCGATCCCACAGAAGTACAAACTACCCTCAGAGAATACTATAAACACCTCTAACAAAATAAACTAGAAAATCTAGAAGAAATGGATAAATTCCTGACACATACACCCTTCAAAAACTAAACCAGGAAGAAGTTGAATCTCTGAATAGACTAGCAACAGCCTCTGAAATTGAGTAAATAATTAATAGCTTACCAACCAAAAAAAAGCCCAGGACCAGGTGGATTCACACCCAAATTCTACCAGAGGTACAAAGAGGGACTGGTACCATTCCTTCTGAAACTATTCCAATCAATAAAAAAAAGAGAGAATCCTCCCCAACTCATTTTATGAGGACAACTTCATCCTGATACCAAGGCCTGGCAGAGACACACAAGCAAAAAGAGAAGTTTAGACCAATAGCCCAGATAAACATCCATGCGAACATCCTCAATAAAATACTGGCAAACTGAATCCATCAGCACAACAAAAAGCTTATCTACTACTATCACATCAGCTTCATCCCTGGGATGCAAATGTGGTTCAATTTATGTAAATCAATATACCTAATCCATCATATAAACTGAACCAATGACAAAAATCACATGATTATCTCAATAGATGCAGGAAAGGCCTTTGACAAAATTCAACAACCCTTCATGCTAAAAACTCTCAATAAACTAGGTATTGATGGAACATATCTCAAAATAATAAAAGCTACTGACAAACCCACAGACAATATCCGACAGAGTGGACAAATACTGGAGGCATTCCTTTGGAAAACCGGCACAAGACAAGGATGCCCTCTCTCACCATTCCTATTCAACATAGTGTTGGAAGTTCTGTCCAGGGCAATCAGGCAAGAGAAAGAAATAAAGGGTATTCAATAAGGAAAAGAGGAAGTCAAATTGTCCCTGTTTTCGGATAACATGATTGTATATTGAGAAAACCCATTGTCTCAGCCCAAAATCTACTTAAGCTGATAAGCAACTTCAGCAAAGTCTCAGCATACAAAATCAGTGTGCAAAAATCACAAACACTCCTGTACACCATTAACAGACAAACAGAGAGCCAAATCACAAGTGAACTCCCATTCACAAGTGCTTCAAAGAGTATAAAATACCTAGGAATCCAGCTTACAAGGAATGTGAAGGACCTCTTCAGGAAAAACTACAAAACACTGCTCAACGAAATCAAAAAGGACAGAAACAAATGGAAGGATATTCTACGATAATGAGTATGAAGAATGAATACCTTGAAAATGGCCATAGTGTCCAAAGTAATTTATACAAGCAATGCCATTCCCATCAAGCCACCAGTGACTTTCTTCAGAGATTTGGAAAAAAAAAGGTACAGTTCATATGGAGCCCAAAAATAGGCCATATTGCTAAGATAATCCTAAGAAGAAGAAGAAAAAAAAAGCTGGAGACATCATGCTACCTGACTTCAAACTATACTACAAGCCTACAGTAAACAAAACAGTATGGTACTTGTACCAAAAGAGATGTATTGACCAATGGAACAGAAAAGAGGCCTCTGAAATAATACCACACATCTGCAATCATCTTATCTCTGATGAATCTGACAAAAAGAAGAAATGGGGAATTGACTCCCTATGTCGTAAATGGTGCTGGGAAAAGGGGCTGGCCATTTTTAGAAGGCTGAAACTGGATCTCTTCCTTACACCTTACATAAAAGCTAATTCAATATGAATTAAAGACTTAAATATTAAATATAAAACCGTAAAAACCCTAGAAGAAAACATAGACAATACCATTCAGGACATAGGCATGGGCAAGTACTTCATGACTAAAACACCAAAATTAATGGCAACAGAGGCCAAAATAGACAAATAAGATCTAATTAAACTAAAGAACTTCTGAATGGCAAAAGAAACTACCATCAGAGTGAACAGGCAACGTACAGAATGGGAGAAAATTTTTGCAATCTACCCATCTTACAAATGGCTAATATCAGAATCTACAAAGAACACAAACAAATTTTCATTAAAAAAAAAAAACACCTCATCAAAAGGAGGGCAAAGGATATGAACAGACACTTCTCAAAAGAAGACATTTATGCAGCCAACAGACACATGAAGAAATGCTCATCATCACTGGTCAACAGGGAAATGCAAATCAAAACCAAAATGAGATATCATCTCAAGCCACTTGGAACGGCAATCATTAAAAAGTCAGGAAACGACAGATGCTGGTGTGGATGTGGAGAAATAGGAATGCTTTTACACTGTTTGGGAGAGTGTAAATTAGTTCAACCATTGTGGAAGACAGTGTGGTAATTCCGCAAGGATTTAAAATTAGAATTACCATTTGACCCAGCAATCCCATTACTGAGTATATACCCAAAGGGTTATAAATCATGCTGCTATAAAGATACATGCACACGTATGTTTATTATCGCACTATTCACCATAGCAAAGACTTGAAACCAACCAAATTGTCCATCAATGATAGACTGGATTAAGAAAATATGGCACATATAAACCGTGGAATACTATGCAGCCATAAAAAGGACAAGTTATTAATGGTATTATAATTAATATCTTGAATTAATAATAATATAGTGTGAATTATAACAACTGAGCATTGACATTATACAAAAATCATTTTCCCATACTGTTTTCCCCAACTTTCTATTTTTTTGTCAAAAATAGTTTGTTATGCAACATTTGCTAACAACCCAGATGTGTAATTATTGCTTTATTTTTTGTCATTTCTTTATTTTATTATTGTATTGTATTTTAATTCATTGAGACAGGGTTTCAGTCACACAGGCTAAACATGGTTCACTACAGCCTCGAGCTCCTGGGCTCAAGGGACCCTTCCAACTCAGTGCCCTATGTTCTGGGGACAGAAGTCCATGCCACCACAGCTGGCTAATTTTGTTTATTTTCTCAAAAGACGGTCACATTTTGTTGCCCTGGCTGGTCTCAAACTCCCAGACTCAAGGAAATCCCCCTACTTTGTTGGGATTACAGTTGTGAGATACCTTTAAATCCAGTAGAAAAATAAAGTCACAGAAAACCCAAATATAATAATATTGGCTTTTCTATTTCGTGACGTAATTATTTTATTGATGTTCTTATTTCTTTATTTGCACATGAGGCACTATTTTTCTTTCATTCCTTGCTTGTTTTCATCATGTTTTGTAAGGCTGATCTAGTAGTAATGTACTCTCTTTAATTATGTTTGCTTGGAAATGCCTTATTTGCTCATAAAGTTAAATTTTTGTTTGGCCAGATATTGAGTTTATGATTGACTTTATCTTCTTATTCCAGCACTTTAAAGATCTCATCACAGTGACTTCTTTCCACTATAATTTTTAATGAGAAATTGGCTGTTAATGTTATGAAGGATAACTTGCATGTGGTGAGTTACTTCTGTCTTGATTCTTTTAAAGTTCTCTATTTATTTGTCTTCTGTCAATTTCAGTGCATGTGTTTCAGTGTGGATATCTTGGATTTTATTCTCCCTGGAGTATTGTGTTCTTTAGAGATACTTGGATCAGTAGATTTGCATCTATCGACACTTTTGGGAAGTTTCAACCACTATTCATTTAAATATTCTTTTTTTCCCCATCTCACCTATTCCAGTGGGACTCCCATTATGAATATGTTGATATTCTTGATGGTGTCCCATGGAAACCTTAGTTTTGATCATTATTCTTGTTTCTCTTCTTGTTCCTTACACTGAACAATATCAAACAATCCATCTTCAAGTTGCCTCATTAGGCTTTCTACATGCTCACACATGCTATTCAGTCCTTCTAGTTACAGATTATTGATTTCATTTTTCAAAATAATTCATACATTTTTATTGATATTTTCAATTTTGAATCACTGTTCTCCTGGGTTCCCTTAGGTCTTTGAGAACACTAAAATGAAATGAATTGAAATATTTCCCTGGTTACTACCATGACTGAGTTTCCTGAAATAGTTTCTTTTAATTATGTTTTGAGTGTAACCTTTTTTTTTTTCTTTGAGTGCCTTTTATTTTATTGTTGAACAGTGAACACTTTGGATATTATTCAGCATATTTGGATAACAAAATATTGACCTCCATAACTGTTTACTTGGTGGGTTGTTTACTTGTTTAGCAACCCTTTAAAGCTATTTTTGTAGTCTGTACTCTTTGTCATGTATGGCCACTTAACCTGTGTTCTGTCACCCTTTTGGTCATCTACTCCTCTTGACATATTTTAAAAGAAAAAAAGAGGAAAATAAAGAAAATAAAATAAAAACCACCCAGACTTCGCATATGGACTCTGTGAGGAACTCTAGTGTTTAGCCCAAAGTCAGGGAAAACGAAAAGCTTTGGGGTCTTCTCCGTGCATGCATCCAAAAATGGACATACTTATATTCTTCTAAATATACAATAGGAGTCTGGGTGTGGTGGTTCATATCTGTAATCCCACCAATTTGGAAAACTTAGGAGAACAAATTACTTGAGCCCAGAAGTGCGAGACCAGCCTTGACAACATGGCAATATCTTTTCTATAAAAAAATAAAAAAAAATAAGCTGGTTGTGGTAACACATGCCTGTAGTGTGAGACGCTGAGGTGGAAGGATAGGTGGAGTCCAGGGAGGTGAGATGGTCAGGAGGCTGAGGTCGGAAGATCAATTTGAACCCAAGGAGGTTGAGGCTTCAGTGGGCCATAATCCCTCCAATGTGGGCCACAAGGCAAGCTCTGTCTCTATTTACAACTCAATCCAAAATGAAAAACAACAAACTGTGAGAGTTTTTCAAAGCTGATTTTGCTCATCAGTTTTCTTCCTCAGCCTCTTCCTTCCAGGCATTTTCTTTGTGTACTGCTTGACCTGACTCTTATTCCTTGCTACAGACAGCTCTGACTAGTGTATTCCCTTCCCACAAATGCCTCCTGAGAGTCACTTTCTGCCCCCAAGAAAAATCTGAGGTGGGCTAAAGGAAAGCCTCTGAGCTAATAATCACCAAGGGAACCTCAGACATTTTAAATCACACAGCCCACATTCTGTCTTGCCCAAACTTAGAGGTCAGGTCTTTCTTCATTAAACACTCCCCTGATTACTTAGTTAGATTCCAGAGCTCTGAAAATCAAGTCTGAGGTTTTTTTCTATTCCTTATATCTCTTCACTTTTAACCTAATGAACTTTAATGACAGCATAAAATAGAAAGTTGATTAAATTCACCTTGCTTTTTAAAGTTCAGAGAGATGTTTTTGAGATGAGTTTCACTCTCTCACCCAGGCTAGACTGCAGTGGTGAGATCTCAGCTCCCTGGAACCTCTGCCTTCCGGGTTCAAGGGATCCTTTTGCCTCAGCCTCCTGAGTAGCTGGGATTACAGCCATGCACCCCCATGCCTGGCTAATGCTCTTACTTTTAGCAGAGAGGGAGTTTCACCCTGTTGGCCAGGCTAGTGACAAACTCTTGACCTCAAGTCGTCCAGCTGCCTCAGCCTTCCAAAGTGCTGGGATTACAGGCATGAGCCATCATGTCCAGAGTGTTTTGTAAGATTTTATTTGAGGCTGCTTCCATCATTATCATGAGACACATTATGTCTTTCATATAATAAGAAATAGTTGAAAGATGGCTGAATAGGAACAGCTCTGGTCTACGGCTCCCAGCGTGAGCGACGCAGAAGACAGGTGATTTCTGCATTTCCTTCTGAGGCACCGGGTTCATCTCACTAGGGAGTGCCAGACAGTGGGTGCAGGACAGTGGGTGCAGCACACTGTGTGTGAACCAAAGCAGGGCGAGGCATTGCCTCACTCAGGAAGCGCAAGAGGCCAGGGAGTTCCCTTTCCTAGTCAAAGAAAGGGGTGACAGATGGCACCTGGAAAATCGGGTCACTCCCATCCCACTACCGCGCTTTTCCAATGGGTTTAAAAAACAGTGCACCAGGAGATTATATCCCACACATGGCTCAGAAGGTCCTACGCCCATGGAGTCTCACTGATTGCTAGCACAGCAGTCTGAGATCAAACTGCAAGTCGGCAGCGAGGCTGGAGGAGGGGCGCCCACCATTTCCCAGGCTTGCTTAAGTAAACAAAGCAGCCCAGAAGCTCGAACTGGGTGGAGCTCACCACAGCTAAAGGAGGCCTGCCTGCCTCTGTAGGCTCCACCTCTGGGAGCAGGGCACAGACAAACAAAAAGACAGCAGTAACCTCTGCAGACTTATATGTCCCTGTCTGACAGATTTGAAGAGAGAAGTGATTCTCCCAGCATGCAGCTGGAGATCTGAGAACCGGCAGACTGCCTCCTCACCTGGGTCCCTGACCCCTGACCCCCAAGCAGCCTAACTGGGGGGCACCCCCCAGCAGGGGCAGACTGACACCTCACACGGCCGGGTACTCCAACAGACCTGCAGCTGAGGGTCCTGTCTGTTAGAAGGAAAACTAACAAACAGAAAAGACATCCACACCAAAAACCCATCTGTACATCACCATCATCAAAGACCAAAAGTAGACAAAACCACAAAGATGGGGAAAAAACAGCAGAAAAACTGGAAACTCTAAAAAGCAGAGCACCTCTCCTCCTCCAAAGGAACGCAGCTCCTCAAGAGCAATGGAATAAAGCTGGACGGAGAATGACTTTGACAAGTTGAGAGAAGAAGGCTTCAGATGATCAAACTACTCTGAGCTACAGGAGGAAATTCAAACCAAAGCCAAAGAAGTTGAAAACTTTGAAAAACATTTAGATGAATGTATAACTAGAATAACCAATACACAGAAATGCTTAAAGGAGTTGATGGAGCTGAAAGCCAAGGCTTGAGAACTACATGAAGAATGCAGAAGGCTCAGGAGCTGATGCAATCAACTGGAAGAAAGGGTATCAGTGATGGAAGATGAAATGAATGAAATGAAGCGAGAAGGGAAGTTTAGATAAAAAAGAATAAAAAGAAACGAACAAAGCCTCCAAGAAACATGGGACTATGTGAAAAGACCAAATCTACGTCTGATTGGTGTACCTGAAAGTGACGGGGAGAATGGAACCAAGCTGGAAAACACTCTGCAGGATATTATCCAGGAGTACTTCCCCAATCTAGCAAGGCAGGCCAACATTCAGATTCAGGAAATACAGAGAACGCCACAAAGATACTCCTCGAGAAGAGCAACTCCAAGACACATAATTGTCAGATTCACCAAAGTTGAAATGAAGGAAAAAATGTTAAGGGCAGGCAGAGAGAAGGGTCAGATTACCCACAAAGGGAAGCCCATTAGACCAACAGCAGATCTCTCAGCAGAAACTCTACAAGACAGAAGAGAGTGGGGGCCAATATTCAACATTCTTAAAGAAAAGAATTTTCAACCCAGAATTTCATATTCAGCCAAATTAAGCTTCATAAGTAAAGGAGAAATAAAATCCTTTACAGACAAGCAAATGCTGAGAGATTTTGTCACCACCAGGCCTGCCCTAAAAGAGCTCCTGAAGGAAGCACTAAACATGGAAAGGAACAACTGGTACCAGCCACTGCAAAATCATGCCAAATTGTAAAGACCATTGAGGCTAGGAAGAAACTGCATCAACTAATGAGCAACATAACCAGCTCACATCATAATGACAGGATCAAATTCACACATAATGATACTAACTTTAAATGTAAATAGACTAAATGCTCCAATTAAAAGACACAGACTGGCAGATCAGATAAAGAGTGATGACCCATCAGTGTGCTGTATTCAGGAAACCCATCTCACATGCAGAGACACACACAGGCTCAAAATAAAAGGATGGAGGAAGATCTACCAAGCCAATGGAAAACAAAAAAAGGCAGGGGTTGCAATCCCAGTCTCTGATAAAACAGACTTTAAACCAACAAAGATCAAAAGAGACAAAGAAGGCCATTACATAATGGTAAAGGGATCAATTCAACAAGAAGAGCTAACTATCCTAAATATATATGCACCCAATACAGGAGCACCCAGATTCATAAAGCAAGTCCTGAGTGACCTACAAACAGACTTAGACTCCCACACAATAATAATGGGAGACTTTAACACCCCACTGTCAACATTAGACAGATCAACGACAGAGAAGGTTAACAAGGATACCCAGGAATTGAACTCAGCTCTGCACCAAGCAGACCTAATAGACATCTACAGAACTCTCCACCCCAAATCAACAGAATATACATTTTTTTTCAGCACCACACCACACCTATTCCAAAATTGACCACATAGTTGGAAGTAAAGCTCTCCTCAGCAAATGTAAAAGATCAGAAATTATAACAAACTGTCTCTCAGACCACAGTGAAATCAAACTAGTACTCAGGATTAAGAAACTCACTGAAAACAGCTCAACTATATGGAAACTGACCAATCTGCTCCTGAATGACTACTGGGTACATAACAAAATGAAGGCAGAAATAAAGATGTTCTCTGAAACCAACGAGAACAAAGACACAACATACCAGAGTCTCAGGGACACATTCAAAGCAGTGTGTAGAGGGAAATTTATAGCACTAAATGCCCACAAGAGAAAGCAGGAAAGATCCAAAATTGACACCCTAACATCACAATTAAAAGAACTAGAAAAGCAAGAACAAACACATTCAAAAGCTAGCAGAAGGCAAGCAATAACTAAAATCAGAGCAGAACTGAAGGAAATGGAGACACAAAAAACCCTTCAAAAATTAATGAATCCAGGAGCTGGTTTTCTGAAAGGATCAACAAAATTGATAGACTGCTAGCAAGACTAATAAAGAAGAAAAGAGAGAAGAATCCAATAGACACAATAAAAAATGATAAAGGGGATATCACCACCGATCCCACAGAAATACAAACTACCACCAGAGAATACCACAAACACCTCTATGCAAAAAAACTAGAAAATCTAGAAGAAATGGAGAAATTCCTTGACACATACACCCTCCCAGGACTAAACCAGGAAGAAGTTGAATCTCTGAATAGACCAATAACAGGCTCTGAAATTGTGGCAATAATCAATAGCTTACCAACCAAAAAGAGTGCAGGACCAGATGGATTCACAGCCAAATTCTACCAGAGGTACAAGGAAGAACTGGTACCATTCCTTCTGAAACTATTCCAATTAATAGAAAAAGAGGGAATCCACCCTAACTCATTTTATGAGGCCAGCATCATCCTGATACCAAAGCAAGGCAGAGACACAACCAAAAAAGAGAATTTTAGGCCAATATCCGTGATGAACATTGATGCAAAAATCCTCAATAAAATACTGGCAAACTGAATCCAGCAGCACATCAAAAAGCTTATCCACCATGATCAAATGGGCTTCATCCCTGGGATGCAAGGCTGGTTCAATATATGCAAATCAATAAATATAATCCAGCATATAAAGAGAACCAAAGACAAAAACCACATGATTCTCTCAATAGATGCAGGAAATGCCTTTGACAGAATTCAACAAAGCTTCATGCTGAAAACTCTCAATAAATTAGGTATTGATGGGATGTATCTCAAAATAATAAGAGCTATCCATGACAAACCCACAGCCAATAACATACTGAATGGGCAAAAACTGGAAGCATTCCCTTGGAAAACTGGCACAAGACAGGGATGCTCTCTCTCACCACTCATATTCAACACAGTGTTGGAAGTTCTGGCCAAGGCAATTAGGCAGGAGAAGGAAATAAATGGTATTCAATTAGGAAAAGAGGAAGTCAAATTGTCCCTGTTTGCAGATGATATGATTGTATATCTAGAAAACCCCATTGTCTCAGCCCAAAATCTCCTTAAGCTGATACAAAATCCATGTACAAAAATCACAAGCATTCTTATACACCAATAACAGACAAACAGAGAGCCAAATCATGAGTGAACTCCCATTCACAATGGCTTCAAAGAGAATAAAATACCTAGGAATCCAACTTACAAGGGATGTGAAGGACCTCTTCAAGGAGAACTACAAACTACTGCTCAATGAAATAAAAGAGGATACAAACAAATGGAAGAACATTCCATGCTCATGGGTTGGAAGAATCAATATCCTGAAAATGGCCATACTGCCCAAGGTAATTTGTAAATTGAATGCTATCCCCATCGAACTACCAATGACTTTCTTCACATAATTGGAAAAAACTACTTTAAAGTTCATATGGAACCAAAAGAGAGCCTGCATCTCCAAGTCAATCCTAAGCCAAAAGAACAAAGCTGGAGGCATCACGCTACCTGACTTCAAACTATACTACAAGGCTACAGTAACCAAAACAGCATGGTACTGGTACCAAAACAGAGATATAGATCAATGGAACAGAAAAGAGCCCTCAGAAATAATGCCGCATATCTACAACAATGTGATCTTTGACAAACCTGAGAAAAACAAGCAATGGGGAAAGGATTCCCTATTTAATAAATGGTGCTGGGAAAACTGGCTAGCCATATGCAGGAAACTGAAACTGCATGTCTTCCTTACACCTTATACAAAAATTAATTCAAGATGGATTAAAGACTTAAATGTTAGACCTAAAACCATAAAAACCCTAGAAGAAAACCTAGGCAATACTATTCAGGACACAGGCACGGGCAAGAACCTCATGTCTAAAACACCAAAAGCAACGGCAACAAAAGCCAAAATTGACAAAAGGGATCTAATTAAACTAAAGAGCTTCTGCACAGCAAAAGAAACTGCCATCAGAGTGAACAGGCAACCTACAAAATGGGAGAAAATGTTCACAACCTACTCATCTGACAAAGGGCTAATATCCAGAATCTACAATGAACTCAAACAAATTTACAAGAAGAAAACAAACAACCCCATCAAAAAGTGGGTGAAGGACATGAACAGACAATTCTCAAAAGAAGACATTTATGCAGCCAAAAAACACATGAAAAAATGCTCACCATCACTGACCTTCAGAGAAATGCAAATCAAAACCACGGTGAGATACCATCTCACACCAGTTAGAATGGCAATCATTAAAAAGTCAGGAAACAACAGGTGCTGGAGAGGATGTGGAGAAATAGGAACACTTTTACTCTGTCAGTGGGACTGTAAAGTAGGTCAACCATTGTGGAAGTCAGTGTGGTGATTCCTCAGGGATCTAGAACTGGAAATATCATTTGACCCAGCCATCCCATTACTGGGTATATACCCAAAGGACTATCAGTCATGCTGCTATAAAGACACATGCCCACGTATGTTTATTGTGGCACTATTCACAATAGCAAAGACTTGGAACCAACACAAATATCCAACAATGATAGACTGGATTAAGAAATTGTGGCACATATACACCATGTGATACTATGCAGCCATAAAAAATGATGAGTTCATGTCCTTTGTAGGGACATGGATGAAACTGGAAATCATCATTCTCAGTAAACTATCGCAAGGACAAAAAACCAAACACTGCATATTCTCATTCATAGGTGGGAATTGAACAACAGGAACACATGGACACAGGAAGGGGAAAATCACACTCTGGGGACTGTTGTGGAGTCGGGGAGGAGGGAGGGATAGCATTAGGAGATATACCTAATGCTAAATGACAAGTTAATGGGAGCAGCGCACAAGCATGGCACATGTATACATATGTAACTAACCTGCACATTGTGCACATGTACCCTAAAACTTAAAAGTATAATAATAAAATAAATAGTTAAGAAATATAGTTTTTTTAAAATAACTTTTAAGTGAAATAACTTTATTATTTTCCAAATTATTAAGATTTCAGTTAATTCATTTCACCACAGTATGGTAGTTGTTACAAATAATTAAGTTCCATCTAGGGCCAATTTAATTTCACAGTCTCTAACTAAAGTATTTGAGTGTAAAAATTAACTCTATAATTAGACTACGTAATGAACAGCTCATATATTATTCTCACTTTAGTGGTGTTTTATATAATTAAATGTAACAGTGATATTTTAGGACATTATCATATTGATCCTGTAGAGTCATACCCTCCAAAGAAGACAGAATTATACTGTGTAGTTGTAGGCATATCACTAGGGAATTCAAAACACACTCCTCAGATTTCATTGGGAAATGAAAAGTGACTGTTCTGTAAATATGACCCTAACCAATAAGGAGATGGCTTGTATCTTCTATGATAAGAACAACGATAATGAATTACTTGAGATTTTCCCACATGTTTGTTTCTTATATTGAGTTTTAAATAATGAAAAATCTAAATAATATTTGTTATAATAAATTTAAGTAATAAAAACATTTAAACAAATTTTAAATATTAAACATTATATTTAGCTATATGAATTAAATGGTCATTGTACATTTCTTTATTCATATAACCTCAACAGACTCTCAAGTATAGGGAAGAATATGCCACTTTCACACCTCTAAATGTCTTATAGCTAGTATGGATAGAAATGGAAGGAGTGAGTTAAAAAAATAACAAGCTCATCTGCAACACAACTAAAATCTTGTTTCATAAATAATCTATAGACTTAGTATTCAAAAATTTAATGCTGAAATTACAAAGTTGTGTTATTTATTATAATATTAAACACTTATAGAGAGGTTATGATATCTCAGACTTTTAGCTTAAAATTGTGGTATAATAGGAAATAACACTGAAATGGCTCCTCTCTCATAAAGTAACAGTTAATAGTAAAGCAGAAAGGAAGAATAAAAAGAAAAAGAAAAGCGATGTGCTTTATTCATTGAAAGGAAGAATAATTCTAGAACCCTCAGTGAAAAATAAATTGAATATAGTAACACAGAAGGAGGAAGTAGATTAAGATGTTGATACTACAATTTAGGGAGCAATGAATGATGACCTCCAGTAGAATGTATAAGCAGCAACAAGAAAAACACATTTGTAAGTGGTAGATAATAAAAAAAGTTATTATAGGTAAAATGTGAAAGAGATGAGGGAAAATAATGTATTTGGAATATTTTTATGTTATATAGATGATGTATTTTGGGACAAAAATGATGGAAGGGAGAGGTATGTAGAAAGTGTAAGGAAGTTCAGGGGAAGCTTTCAATTTAGCTGTCTTAATCTTGGAACGCTCATAAGAGAAAAAAATCACAATGTATAGGAATTCAGAGGTCATATCACTGAATTCCTTAGAACTACAGGTTTAAAACCTTACAGGCTTTTGTCTCAAAACATCAATAAAAAGCCAGGTGTGGTGGTGTGCATCTGTAGTCTCAGCTACTGAGGAGATCAAAGCAGGAAAATTATTTGAGCCCAGGAATTTGAGGTTGTAGTCAGTCCAGGTCTCACTACTGCACTCCAGGCTGGGTGGCAGAACAGTTTCCTAAAAAAAGAAAACGAAAAAAAAAAAAAAAAAAAAAAGAAAATGGGAAGGGAAAAGGGAAAGGAGAAAGGGAAAGAGAAAGAGGTATTCTGTGTAGTTAGATTAGTGGTCTAATGAATAGATATCTATGAGATAAAATGAAACCAAAGGCACTGACAATTAAATAGAGAAATCAGAGGAAAGTTGAGTCATGTAATCCAAAGCAAAATAGTATTTCAGGAATGAGGGTGTGAATCAGTTTTACAGATACACATGACGGTTTGAGTAATATGCAACAGATAAGTGAAATATGGTATTTAGTGAGAAGTATAAGATATGATTCTAAAAAACAGGGTAAATGCCTGAAGAAAGGAGGGTTAAGAGAAATAAAATTAAACCTTGTCAGGGCCAACTCTTTCCATGAGTCTTGCTATCACAGAAAATAAATACATGAGTTGAGAGTGGCATATCTAAGGCTAAGACAAGCAGCATGTAGATCTGGCAAAGAAAATGATCAAGCCGGATGTAGTGTCTCATACCTGTAATTCCAGCATTTTGGGAAGCTGAGAGGGTAGATCACTTGAGGTCAGTTCAAGACCAGCCTTGGCAAAATGGTGAAACCCTGTCACAATTAAAAATTCTAAAATTGGCCAAGCATGGTTGTGCATGCCTGTAATATCGGATACTCAGCAAGCTGAGGCAGGAGAACCACCTGAATCTGGGAGGCCCAGGTTGCAGTGAGCCGAAATTGTGCTGGAGACTCTGTCTGAAAAAAATTAAACTAAAATATAATAAAAAGAAAAGATCCTGCAGGTAGAGCGAAGAAGTAATGGTACAAGGAGACAACAAATAATAAGTAAATCAGTGTTTTAAGAAGCTGTGAAATCCAAAGCAAAGGTGAAGAGGGTCATAGCTAGGGGCAGAAAAAAATATTCGCAAATCTACACGAGCTTTATTTTTGGTGGTGATTTCTCATGAGAAAGAAACAGAAAAGAAAGTGTGACAAGAAAGTTGTCACCATTGCTTTGGTAGAAAAAAAAGGAGAAAAAAGAACAAAAAATAATGTAAATTATATACTATTTAGCTTTAATGTTCTTCATCCGTTCCCATGGTGTTTGTTTCCCCAAGAAATAACAGAAGCCAAATAGCCAAAATAGAAGAAAACATTTGCATATATTACTGTCTATATATATTAAGCCAAGTTTATTTTAATTTTAATTCATTTTTAAAAAATTTTTATTTTAAATTAACAATTGTAAATATTTATGGGATGCAAAGTGATTTTATAATGCATGTATATATTGCAAAAGAATTAAATTGGGCTAGTTACCCTATCCATCACCTCACATACTTATCATGTCTCTCTTGTGGTACGAATACATAAATTCTGCTTTTTAAACAATCTGTTTTTTTGATATAGTTTTGCTCTTGTTCCCCAGACTTGAGTGCAGTGGTGCAACCTCAGCTCATTTCAACTGCCACCTCCTGAGTTGAAGTTATTCTTTTGCCTCAGCCACTCGAGTAGCTGGGATGACATGCACATGCCACCAAACCTGGCTAATTTTTATATTTTCAGTAGAGACAGTGTTTCATCATTTTGGCCAGGCTGGTCTCGAACTCCTGACCACTAGTGATCCTCCCACCATGTCTACCCAAAGTGCTGGGATTTCAGACTTGGGCCACCATGCCTGCCCTTTTTTTTTTTAATTAAGCAATTTTGAAGTTGGCATTCATTAACTGTGGTCACCGTTCTGTGCAACGGATCACCAGAACTTCTTCCTATCTCACTGAAATTTGTTACCCTTTGATGAACACATCCCATTTCTCTATCCACTGCCATCTCCACCCCACACTCCAATCTCTGACTACATTTTGTGTATTTGTATAAAGAGTCAGGGCCTTGTTGCATTGCCCAGGCTGGAGTACATTGACACAGCTATGGCTCACTGTGGCCTCAAATTTCTGACCTCAAGTGATCCAACCACCTCATCCTCCCAAAGTGCTGAAGTTACAGGCATGAGCCACCACCGCTGGCATATTCACAGTTTGAATGAGTTCAACTTTTTTAGATTTTACATATAATTGTGATCATTCTTTACTAGTCTTTCTGTGCCTCTCTTAGTACACTGAGCATAGTATCTTCCAATTCCATTCATTTGGTCACAAATGTATAACAAAACTTCCTCCTTTTTTAAGGCTGTATAGTATATCTCATTGTGTTTATGTGCCACACTTTATCTGTTGATCTGTTGATGAGCACTTGGGTTGTTACCATATCTTGGCTATTATGAATAACGCTGAGATGAATATAGGAGTGCAGATATCTTTCTGACATGTTAATTTTATATCCCTTGAGTACACATTCTGAAGTAGAGTAGTTGGATCATGTGTTAATTCTATTTTCAATTTAATTTAATTTTTGAAACCTCAATGCTATGGCCCCAAAAGCACAGAATACAAAAGCACAACAAAAAACAATTGAATCACGTTATATCAAACTAAAATGTTTCTGCACAGCAAAGGGAAAAGGGAAACAAATAGTAGAGTGAAGAGACAACCCAAACACTTGCAGAAAATATCTGCAAACCATATATATGATAAAGGGTGAATAATAAATACATACAAGGAACTCAAGCAATTTAACAACAACAACAACAACAACAACAAAACTAAGCCTATTAAATATGGTCAAAGACCTAAATTTATATTTCGCTAAAGAAGACATATAACTGGCCAACAACTCTATATTTAATATTGATTGATTGTTTGATGGATTGATTGATTGTTTGATGGATTGATGGATGGATTGATTTCATTTCTATTCTCACTCTGTCACCCAGCCTGGAGTGCAGTGGTGTGATCTTAGCTCACTGAGTCTTCTACCCACTGGTTTCCAGCAATTCTGCCTCAGCCTCCCTAGTAGCTGGGATTACAAATGTACGCTACTTTGCCCAGCTAATTTCTGAACAACTGTATACTTAAAGATGCTCAACACCACCAATCATCAGGGAAATGCAAATTAAAATCAACAATGAGCTCTCCTCTTACACATGTTGGAATGCCTATTACTATCAAGATGAAAGATGACAAGTGTTTTTGAGAATGTAGAGCACAGAGAATTCTTGTGCACTATTGGTAGGAATGTAAATTTGTATTTTAAATTATTAACCTGAGTATTTCCTCTTAATAGAACAGGTTTTGTCCTTTAAGATGCATTAATATGAGTTGCTTTCTGTTAGTCAAGGTTTAATGAGAAAGACTTTCGATATCTTAAATTAATATAAATAGGATTGTACTCATAAGACTTCTGTTTCAGGCTCTTCTTAAGTACAGAATGAAATCTGCGGTAAGTACTCTTTCTGAAAAGAAAATGTTCTCTGATAATATATGTGCTAGATTACAAACACTTGTTAAATTAAAAACATAGGTACCAAAAATATACTAGGTGAAAAATTCATTATGGTTATTTTTTCTGTTCAGTTTTTGGACAGAGATGGATTTTTTATTTTGTTTTGTTTAATAAGTTGTACAATTATATTTAAGAAAACAAAAATTACTTATGCATAGTCACAGGAGAAAGATCAATCTTATTGGAAGCTACTTCCAAGGTTTTGCTGTTTATAATTTTTATGAGTATCTTTGTAATGTCATATTCAGCCTCTTTACTCTTTGTTCTGTGAAAGTATATATGGATAGTTTATGGATATTGCATATGTTTTTTATTGAAAATATCCAACCCTTCTCCATGAGTGATATTAATTCCTCAGCTGCTTATTTTTATTCTTTTAATTGAGTTTTCTCCAGATGTTTACACAATATCACAGTGCTTCTGAATGATTTTCAGTATGTCCTCGCAAAAATTTTCTTGACCACCTTGGGTGCAAATACTGACAGAAGAGGAGCATAAAGCCAATGGCTAATAGTTAGGTTATGATGAACTACATGGCAATTAATGAGTCACAAGACTTCAGTGAAATTTTCCCTCCAACGAACATAAATATCAATATTATTATCACATTTTCTAAAAACTAGAAGCTGTAGTGTAGGATTCTATGGCCCACCTCAGTCTCTTGTCAATTACTTCCTCATTTGAGAGCTGCAGTTTCAGTGCTGACCAGCCAGAGAAGTTGATAGCAGCATATAGTAGCATGATTAAGGTAAGCATCCGTATGTACCCACCATGCTGGAATTATTTTCTGTGTTGTTATGAAGATGAGCTCCACTTTTCCAAAACTCCAGCCATGGTGCCAACAATAATACAAAATATATGATTAATAGTAAGGGTAGGCTCCTCTGTTTCAGAGATGCAGGAAAAAATTCCAGAGTCACTACACGTGAGATAATCACCAAGGAACACCGTATCATGACAGATGAATTTTATCGCTTGTAGCTTAATGTCAGGAAAGTCGTTGCTGGTATGGATGGCCAGTGTATTGCAGTGAATGGCCGCATACACAAGTGGTAAGAAGGAACATGTCATCAGCAATGCTACTAAAGATAAACAAGAAAATGTTAGAGAATAATTTTCATTAGTAATGACCACTTTCTCTTTTAAAGTTTCCATGTTAAGGTATATTCCTCCCAACCCGCATCCTTCAGAAAATAATTTACTTAAAAAAAGAAAAAAAAAATTGTTAATTTTACATTATCAGGGATTTAGTAAATATATGCATGCAAAACCTATATTACACATGGGAAAAACAAATAATAAGTAAATACATACATACCCATGTTTGTAAATGTACATACACATCCCCCCAATAAAAAAAATAACTGGAACACATGCAATTGGATAGAGACATTCATATCTGATACTATAAGGTGTGAAAGCACATAGAAAGAAGTCTCAATTAAGAAAAAGCAAAATTACCTGATTAGATTTTGAAAAGGTAGTTACCTTCTCATAGAAAGCTAGAGTGTAAAGAGGAAATTACAATGCAAAGTGGAGGCAAATATAATGTAAACTGTGTTTTAGACTATGGTGATAAAGGGAAATAGAAATAAGCTGTGCAGTTAAAGTAAATCCTGGAAGTGGAGCTGACAGATTTTGCTGAGTGATAAAATACAAGGTATCAGAGAAGCAGAAAAATTAAACATTTTAGAAATTAAGTGGTATGAGTGTGCATGTTTTTGTTTGTGTGTATTCATGTAATTTTATCAGAAAGTTTTTAATAAGCAAATTAATTTAATTTTGACATTGTTCTCCCAATAATTAGACTAATATGCAAAAGGAACCAAGTCAAAATTATGAAGTAGTTGAATAATCAGTTTAAACAATTTTGTACTACCTTTAGTTGAAAGAGTAAAATTTCATTTCCCATAAACAGGTGGGTTAAAAAATACACTCTTCATACACAATGAAATGAAGCCAGAAAACAAAAAGAGGCCATATAGTCATTACTCATCTAAAGTAATTATTCATTTTCTAACACCATTTAGAAAATGAATATCAAGAGTTCATTTATTCCTTCAGGAATACCCAGAGAGAAACTAAAGCAATAACATGCTTAATTGCATTTATCAGAAATAAGACTGAATAAAAGTAAATGACCTAAAAATTAAATTTTAGAAAGTAAATTTTAGCTGGGTGTAGTAACTCATACCCTTAATCCTAGCACTTTAGGAAGCTGAGGTGAATAGATCACTTGAGCCCAACAAAAACAAAACCCAAAAAATATTAGCCAGGCATAGCTGCACATGCCTGTAGTCTCTACTACTCAGTAGGTGGAGGTTGGAGGATTCCTTGGGCAAAGGAAGTAGGCATAGGACTTTTTTGCCTTGGGACTTTGATTTGCCTGTCCCCTGACCCCAGCACTTTGGGAGGCTGATACCCAGGGGTAATCTTGCAGACCAACCGCAGCAACAGACTAGAAACTATGACCTCAGCCGAATGGACTTGAGTTCGAGTCAATATTCCTGCTGATTGACTACTGTAACCTCAGGCCCCGAATAAGGAGCAGAGGGCAGACCATGGAAGCTACAGGCCTTGAGTGCACCAAGTGCTCAACTGTGTGCTACAGGTACAACCTGGCACTGAGTCAGCTTTGTGTATAAATTAATCCAGCCATGAAAATCTGCTCATTAGTGTTTCCCCTAGTGCTACCAGGGCTGAAGGTATCATAGGCTTAAAGACCTTAATTTCCTTCTTCTCCTTGCCCTGAATCTCTGGACAGGCTTACTGTGGGAGAAAGCATCCAAACAAAGCCAAAGCGTGAACACTGAATTAGGCACCTACATCACTGCACAGATTTCCATGCATAGTCACAAGGATTAGGATCAATGAGAAAAACATGACATCAAGTGGTCAAAGTAAGGTGCCAGTGGTGACTGACCCAAAAGAGATGTGTATGGACACATGGCCCAAAAAGGAATTTAAAATAGTTATTTTATGACAATGCAGTGGACTTCAGCAAAACACAAAGAATTCCGAAATTTATCAGAGAAACTCACCCAAGAGACTAAAATAATGGGAGGAAAAAACAAACAGAAATCTTGAAGAATAAAACACAACAAAATAAAAAATGCAATTGACAGCACTTACAACAGAAGTGGTCAAGCAGCAAAACTCAGACAGGTCAATTGAAAATATACAGTTAGAGGAGAAAACATAAATAAGATTCATGAGATTAATGAGATAATATCCAAAGAGCAAAGGTATTAGACACTGGCATTTAAGAGCTTGGTAGAGCTGGGCATGATGGCTCATGCCTATATCTCCAGCACTTTGGGAGGCCAAGGTGGGTGGATCGTATGTTGTCAGGAGCTTGAGAGCAGCCTGGACAATGTGGTGAAAACATTTTTCTATTAAAATACAAAAATTAGTCAAGTATATTGGTGGACACCTGTAATCCCAGCTACTCATAAGGCTGAGTCAGGAGAATCACTGCAACCCAGGGTGTCGAGGTTGCAGTAAGCCACAATCACACCATTGTACTCCAACCTGAGAGACAAGAGCAAACCTCCATCTCAAAAAGAAAAGGAAAGAAAAGAAAAGTACAAAAAAAAGAGTAGAAAGCCTATTTAGAGAAATAATAACAGAAACCTTTCTAAACTTAAATAAAATACAAATATTCTGCTACAGGAATATCGAAGACTTCCAATCACATTCAATTTCAATAAAAATATCCCCATAGCTTAATGTAATCTTAATGTAATCAAACCACCAAATATCAAAGACAAAAAGAAGATACAGAATTAAGGAGGAGAAAAATAAAAGAAAATATTATACCAGGAATATACCTATATAACTAATATAAGCATACATATAATTCAAATGTTAATAGATCAAAAGGAAGAAAAAAAGTGCAAGATAATACTGGAAAACTTCAGCACCTTACTTTCAGCAATGAATAGATAATGCAGACATAATTCAATAAGTAAACATTGGACTAAAATGCCCTGTAGGACAAATGCTAAAAACAGGCACTGAACTATCCATCCAAGAGCTATGGAATAAACATTCTTCTCCACTGCATATATGGAACATCTTCCAGGATATATCATACATTAGGCAAAAATCACTTCTTAACGAATTGGAAATGATCAAAGTCATATCAAGTATCTCTTCTGAAATCACTAATTCTTAAGTACATCAAAATTAAATAATATACTCCTGAAAAACCAATGAGTCAATGAAGACATTAAAGACAAAACACCATATTTCTTGAGACAAAAATAGAAACACAACACACCAAAACCTAAGGGATACAACCAAAGCAGTTTTCAGAGTGAAGTTATGGCAATAAATGCTTTCAACTAAAAGAAGATACCAAAAACACAACCTGATGTTTCAATCAAGGAATTAGAAAAACAAAAAGCTAAACTCAAAAGTACAAAAAAAGCCCCTAATAAAGAAAATCAGAGTCAAAAAAGAGATACCATAACTCATACCAAGAAACAAATTAATGGTAAGAAATCAAATCAGCAGTAAAAAGTCACCTATTAAAGATAAACCTATTACCTGATATATTCACTGCTGCATTCCTCTTACCACAAAAAAGAAACTACTGCAACTTTTTTTAATGTAGTCAAAACAAAACGAAAAAAAAACAAACAACAAAAAAGAAGATATGGGAACTGTTCCAACTCATTTCATTGGGATGGCATTATTCTGATTACAAAAGCAGACAAGGATACAAAAAAAAAAGGAGAAAACTATGGGCCAATATAATGTAAAAATCCTCAACAAAATACTGGGAAAATGACTTATAATGCACGTTTAGAAAATCATTCACCAGGAGAAGAAGGCACTGCATTTAATGTTACCATGGGTTATAAATACTCACCTCTGGGCTTCAGACATGGACCTGGTTGTATCCATCTATAAACTGAAGTCTGGGCCACTTATCTTCCAGAGATCAACTGCAGAGGAACCAGGATATTTGGTCTTTGGCCTCTCCTTTCTCCTTTAAAACAAATGAAAGGAGGAGTAATGGGAGATACCCCATACTTTCAATATAAACCTGCAGGAAAACCATGCCTAAAAAATTTGGAAGGCCCATCTAAAACTTTAATCTGGGAAGACTGTGTTAACTCACATGCAGTAATATTTAAAAATGACTCATACAGTTTAGTAACAGACTGGGCCCAAAGGACTATTTAAAAAACAATTGCTCCACTGGTGGAAAGGCATGCCAGGAGGCTACTTATTTTATTTCTTATCTGGAGAAGGAGAATCATCACTCTACTTTGCATAGGAGATTCAGCTCATTCTTTCCCTTAAAATGGGAAGATAAAGGCATTAACCCCCACCAAGGCCTTGTATGATACTCCACATTCTGAGCCCAGAACACCCAGAATTTTGGAAATTGGCTATTGCCATGTCTGGACTGTGAGTATGGGAAGGGGAAATGATTCTGCTGTTGTCCCCACTACCATCCCACTCTCTCAGTATCAACGCAGATCCAGGCATTCCGCTTTATTTACCTCCAACCTGACTGTTCCCAAACAGAGTTGTGTTAAGTCTCATTACATGCTGTTAGTGGGAAATATCAAAATTTGGACCAACAATCAAACTGTCCAATGCATTAATTGTCATTTTTACACTTGTATTAACTCCCATTTTGACTCCAGGAAAAGTGTAATGTTGTTCGAGCTCAAGAAGGAATCTGGATGCCCAGACATTGGGAAACCTCCCCCTCAACACATTTAATTAATGAAGTGTTACAGCGAATTCTAAAAAGATCCAAGAGATTTATGTTCACTTTAATCACTGTGATCATGGGCCTAATTACAGTCACTGCAATGGCCACCACAGTCAGAATGTTGTTACATCAACCTATTCAAACGGCTCATTTTGTTAATGATTGTCAAGCCATTTCCACCTACATGTGGAATTCTCAACAAAGTTTTGATCAAAAATTGGCTAATCAAATTAATGATTTAAGACAGTCTGTTATTGGGCTTGGAGATTAAGTAGGGAGTCTTGAACATCACATGCAAATGCAGTGCAATTGGAATACTTTGGACTTCTGTATCACCCCGTATTCCTATAATGAGACTGAACATTCATGGGAAATGGTCAAAGGACACCTTCTGGGTAGCAAAGATAATTTATCATTGGACATCACTAAATTAAAGAACAAATTTTTGAAGCCTCTCAAGCTTGCATATGCATTACACCTGGAGCTGAGGCATTAGATCAGGTGGCTTTTTAGTGTGCTGGACCAGTCAAAGAATCCTGTGTCAAACTGAGAGAACAAACAAGCCTTCATCGTTATGGCACATTTGCATAAAAAGAAAGGCAGAGATGTTGTGGGAAGTCAGGGAGCCTGAACAGAGGGACCGGCTGAAGTCATGGCAGAAAAACATAAATTGTGAAGATTTCATGGACATTGTAGATCCCCAAATTAATACTTTTATAATTTCTTATGCCTGTCTTTACTGCAATCTCTGAACATAAATTGTGAAGATTTCATGGACACTTATCACTTTGGCAATCAATACCCTTGTGATTTCCTATGCCTATCTTTACTTTAATCTCTTAATCCCATCATCTTCATAAACTGAGGAGGATGTATGTCACCTCAGGACCCTGTGATGATTGCACTAACTGTACAAATTGTAGAGCATGTGTGTTTGAATAATATGAAATCTGGGCACCATGAAAAAAGAACAGGATAACAGCAATGTTCAGGGAACAAGGGAGATAACCTTAAACTCTGGCTGCCTGTGAGCTGGGTGGAACAGAGCCATATTTCTCTTCTTTCAAAAGCAAATAGGAGAAATATCACTGAATTCTTTTTCTCAGCAAGGAAAATCTCTGAGAAAAAGAATGCATCTCTAAGGGGAGGCCTATGAAATGGCCGCTTTGGGGATGGTTGTCTTTTATGGTGGTAGGTAAGGGAAGAAATAAGCCCCAGCCTCCCATAGTGCTCCCAGGCTTGTTAGGATGAGGAAATTCCCACCTAATAAATTTTGGTCAGACTGGTTGTGTGCCCTCAAACCCTGTCTCCTGATAAGATGTTATCAATGACAGTGCACACCCAAAATTTCATTAGCAATTTTAATTTCACCCCAGTCCTGTGGTCATGTGATCTCACCCTGCCTCCATTTGCCTTGTGATATTTTATTACCTTGTGAACCATGTCATCTCTGTGACACACACCCTATTTGTACTGTCTCTCCCCTTTTGAAAATCACTAACAAAACCTTGCTGGTTTTGTGGCTTGGGGGGCATCACGGAACCTGCTGACATGTGATGTCTCCCCCAGACACCCAGCTTTAAAATTTCTCTCTTTTATACTCTGTCCCTTTATTTCTGAGACCAACCAACACTTAAGGAAAATGGAAAAAAAACTATGTGAAATATTGGGGGTGAATTTCCCCTGATACACCATGATCAAGTGAGATTACAGGGATGCAGGAATGGTTTAATACACAAGAATCATTAAATGTCATAAATTATATAAAAAATAAAGAACAAAGTATATGCAGTCATTTCAATAAGTGAAAAAAATTTGACAAAATTCAACATTTTTTCTGAATAAAAACCATTAACAAATTATGCATAGAACAACTGTAACTCAACACAACAAATGACATAGACCCAAAGAACCAGGTAACATTCTATATACAAACCCTTAGCTAATATCACACTCAGTGGGAGTTAAAAGTTGAAAGCTTTTCTGTGAAGATCTGAAAAAAGACCAGGATGTTCACTTTCACTACATCTATTAACAGAATACTAAAATTCCTTAGCCAGAGCAATTAGACAAGAGAAAATAAGAAAAGGTACCCAAATTGGAAAGGAAGAAGTAAAATTGTCCATATATACTAATTACATAATATGGAAATCCATAAACACACCACTAGAAAGTACTTAGAGCTGACTCAGAAAGTAGGTAAAATTTCAGTTTACAAAATCAACATATTCAATTCCTTAGTATTTCCATAAACAAATAGCAAAATATAAAAAAAATTAAGAAAACAATCTCATTTACAATAGGTACGGGGAATAAAAAGGAGTAAATTTAAGCAAGGAATTAAAAAAATCTGCATTCTGAAAACTATGAAACATTAATAAAATGTTAGGATGACATAAAAATATGGAAAAATATCTATATTCATTGATTGGAAAAATTAATATGGTTAAAATGTTTATATGATCCAAAGCAGTGCACAGACTGAATGCAATCTCTATCAAAACACCAATGGCATTTTTCACAGAAATTGAAAAATATCCTAATTTAATATGAAACCACACACACAAAACCCTGAATAGCCAAAGCAATCCTGAAGATGGCAGTGGGGTTGGGGAGTGAATCCACAGAACTGGAGGTGTCACAATGCTATCAACCAATACAACAGAATGCAGTCAGCAAAAATAAATTTACACCTGTATAGCCAACTGATATTCTGCAGAGGTGCCAAGAACACAAAATGAAGAAATGTCAGTCTCTTCAATAATTGGTGCTGGAAAAACAAGAGAGCTATATGCAGAAGAATATAATTAGAACCCTAATTATATTCTCACAAAATAGAAAAATTAACGCAAATGGATTAAAAAGCCTATTGCAGTGGAGTCCACCTATAGTTTCAGTTACTTTGGGGTCTCAAATGGGAGGATCACGAGAGCCCAGGTGTCCAAAGCTGTAGCATGAAACACTTATGCCACTGTACTCCACACTTGGTAATATAGTGAGAGCTCACCTATAAGAATATATTTTTAAAAACATTTAAAAATAAAGATGTAATGAAAACACAAAACTGTCAATCTAGGAGAATAAATCACAAAACATATTTAACGACCCTGGTCTGAGCAAGAATATTTTTTGGATAAGACTTCAAAAACAGAAGTAAAAAACACACAAACAGAAAAATAGGTTACATCATACTAGAAAACTTCCATACACCAAAAAATAAAAACAAAATAAAATAAAATGAGAGCAAATATTTGCAAACTGTACATCAGACAAGGGGTTAATCAAAATATACAAGGAACTAAAAACAGATTCAAAAGAACAAGCAAATAATAACCTAATTAAAAATAAGTATCTTCTGTTTTCAAAAGAATATATATACACAGATAACAGCTGTGTGTGTGTGTGTGTGTGTTTGTGTGCTTGAGTGACTGTGGCTGTGTATATCTACATCTACATCTATCTATCTATCTATCTCTCTATCTATCATCTATCTATCTAATTATCTACATATCTCAACTTTTCTCATCATCACAGAATTGTAACCTCTACTTCCCAGGTTGAAGTTATTCTACTGCCTCAACCTCCTAAGTAGCTGGGATTACAGGCATTTGCCACCAGTCCAGCTAGTTTTGTATTTTTAGTAGAGATAGGGTTTCATCATGTTAGCTAAGCTGGTCTCAAACTGCCAACCTTAGGGGATCTGCCCGCCTCGGCCTTTCAAAGTGCTGGGATTAGAGTTGTGAGCCACCATTCCCGACCTATTGCAAGAAATTTAAGAAATTTTATAAATTTCTTAAATTAACCTGGTGAAAAAGAAAAAGTTGGCCAGGCATGATGGTACACACATGTAATTCCACTTTGGGAGGCCAAGGTGGGTGGATCACGAGGTCAGGAGCTTGAGGCCACCTGGGCCAATATAGTGAAACCCCATCTCTACTAAATACACAACAATTAGCTGGGCGTGGTGTTGTGCTCCTGTAGTCCCTGCTACTTGGGAGGCTGAGGCAGGAGAATCCCTTGAACCTGGGAGTTGGAGGTTGAAGGGAGCTGAGGTCATGCCACTGCACTCTAGCCTGGGCAACAGAGTGAGACATTCTCTCCAAACAACAAGAACTACAGCAACAAAATTAGGTACGTTTTTATGACACGGATATTTATTGGTTCTAATATTGTCAGCAGTTTTATTTACTTGTTGAGTTTTCTGGCTAATGTGTTGTTCATTTTTGGTTGTTTCTGCCTATGTCCTTTTCTTTCAGGAGATTCAGTCAATTAAACTTAAATTAGCTCCAGAGTATGGCCCACAATCACTTCATGCATTGTCACTGGGATTAACTCTTTGGCTTTGCAGAAGTGTTTCTTGCCCTGCTAGTGTTACTCATTACCCTTGCTATTACTAATTTTTATTTGCATAGAAGACTAAATCATGAGGTTGCACATTTTTGCATGTGTTTATAAAATTCTGCACTTACCATTTTAATGAAAGGTAACAGTTATCCCCAGTGACTCAATTCTATAAAATGTATGTAATTTTTTATACATTTTACTATCTTGGAACTCTAAATGCAGATCCGAATGAAATTAGTTTTTAAAAAATTTACAGTACATGTGCAAATCAGTATAGTAACAGACAGGAGACATATGGAAATGAATTGCTTAGCTATGTTTTGAAGTTCCAAGTCACAGCTACAAATGTAAGGATGTCTAGAAATCTACCACTAACATGTTAATACACGTCAGTTGACAAAAAAAATTTATGAGATTATTTTCAAGCCATACTCTCTTCTCACTCACACTATGCTCATTCCTTAATTTAAGATTATGTTTCTATCCCTCATAACTATTTAGAATGCCCATTAGGCTGAATGAGAATAATATTAAAAGGAACAGAAAAAATGACTGACTTAATCCCACTTGAATTTTTTAAAAACTATCATTACCTTATGACTGATAAAAATTGCATAGGAAAATTTTCAATATTGTGAAAACTAAACAAAACTAAACCACAGCGCATTTCAGTTAGAGGAACCATGATTATCACATTTTTAAGCTTATTAGCAAACCATTTATGTTCTACTTATTTGTTGGAAACAGAGAATGAGAGATATTTCTGTCACTTGCCTCGTTATAGGTCCTAAAGCAAGAATGTGCCAAAAAAAGTAATGCAGCTTTATTTCTCCTCACGTCTTTGTTGAAAAACGTTAGAGTAATTTGATCCAAAATTATCTCCACATCAACAAAGCTCATAGCAAATGATATCAGAATCTGTCACTAGCTTTTCAATTAATTTCAAACATATACAAAGCATAGGTGGCCTCACCACAGCAGAGGACAGTTGAGCAGAGAATCCTGAAAGGAAAGCTCATATGGTGTCTGTGCCCAAGGACCATTTCTTCTTCCAAAGATAAAACTCCTCCTGTACTTTCTTTATCACTTTCTTCAAACACTGTGTCCATTCTCATACTGCTGCTAATTCAAACTCTTCTTGTCAGTGAATCTAGTATAGTTCGCTATCAAATCGAAACAGAAGAAAACAAGATTCTGTATAATTCACTATTCATGGAAAATGCAGAAAGGTAAATATGTATCACTAATCACAATAAAAAAAAATCGATGTCTGGTTTAGGAAATATTGAACCACCATTTGACATAATTGAGTCAATTAAAGCAATTAAACTATTTGACATAATTTAGTCAATATGTCAAATAACTTGACATATTATTTATTCAGCAAACATTGTTTTAAGGAAATAGACAATCAAACTTCTACGAGGCATTAACTACCTCTTAACACCAAGATGATAGTCCTGTCTTCAGGTAGTATGAAAAAAGGTGTATATTTCTCATTAGTTTTCTTTTTGTGTTCTTCAGCCAGCGTGTGTGGCTGACATCGACTAAAACAAAACTTCACAAGGGATAAGCCCAGTCTAACCATGATGACACTAAGAAAACTATCTAGCAGATATTTCTGATTCGGAAAGGAATACAAAACAGTGAGCCGTTTAAGTTCCACTAATTGTTAGATGTTGGTCATTTTGCATTTAGTATACTGTTTCTTGGCTTGATTTAATGCTATGAAGTTATTAATCAAGTAAAGTTTCAATTTAAATAGATGTGAAATCCAGACTTTGCATGGCTAGAGAAGATCTAAAGTCTCTTTTGTTTGAGGGGGGTGGCAAAATAGCTCATATTAGATTATTTCTAGACAAACTGTCAGAGAAATTACTGATATATTGTGAAATTCAATTAGTCATTATGGGTGGGAAGCAATATTCAGCAAAAATGAATAAGAAGGAAGATAAAAGGCAACAGTTGTTTAAAATCAAGTAAATATTGGAACAGAATTTAGACGAAAATATTTCTGACTAAAAGTGCTGTTAATATGAGAAAAGAGCATGAAATGTGTAAGAAGCTAATGCAAATTACCAGAGAGAAAGCATAATATTTCCCCAGAAGATATTGGTCATTTATTAAAATATATCAATAGGAAAAATAGAAGTAGTAGTTTAAAAAAGTGGGAGAGAAGAATCAAGAAGTTGCCTATATTATTTTTATTTGATAAGATGTTCATTTCCTGAACTTTCTTTGCATTGCTTTTATTCTCATAGCTTATCATAAAAATCATTTCCTCTAATTTGTTAAGTTTTATGCTGCAGAGTATTAAATTCCTCAACTTCTGTTGTTTGTTACTATGATCTAAATCATACCTATATCTATATGCACTTATTTATTCAAAGACAAAACCTTTATCACATTTTAAAATACATCCTCCTGGACTCAGCCCATCAATATGATTGATCCTTTCCTCTTTCGTGTAATTTTTTATCCTCTTCTTCACTGCCTTGATTTCCTAATCACATATGTATAAAAAAACTCCATATTTTATGACACACAACAAAAACCGTCTCCTTTGGTACTGACTTTTTTGTCTGCTTTTAATTTCCACAGAGAATTTCTATTAGCTATTTTCTTTCCATCAGTTCTTATTGTCTCAGGTTTTATCCCACAACAATGAAGTCACAGTCCTTTCTCAAAGGTAATCAGTGACACCCTAATTGCTAAATTTAAAATGTTACCTTGAATTTCAGGTGAATCTTTTTACCATTGGTGATATGCTGTCATTTGAAAATTCCACTTACCTTTACCAGGCAGGCTTTCATCCCCAACAGTCTACCAAATATGTTGTATATTTAAAATAATCCACTTTGTTTTGACTAATATAATAATAGTTTTTTTTTAATTTCTAGTCTTTGTTGTCTGTTTGTTTATTGAGACAGGGTCTGCCTCTGTTGTCCAGGCTGGAGTGCAGTGGTGAGATCAAGAACTCACTGCAGCCTCAACCTCCCGTGCTCAAGTGATCTTTCCACATCAGCCTCCTGCTTGACTGTGACTACAGGCCACGCAGACTAGCTACTTCTGGTAGAAACAGGGCCTCTCCGTGTATCTCAGTCTGGACTTGAGTTCCTGGGGTCAAGCCGTCTGCCTGCCTCAGGCTCCCATAGTGCTGGCACTGGAGGTGTGAGCCACCAGGCCTGGCCAAATATAACCGTTGTTTCTTAGTCATCCTCTTCCTTAAATTATTGCTGATGAATTTACGCTCAATCTTCCAGTTATCTCTTCTTGTACAATGGATTTCTGAATGATATTGTGAGTCCCAAATTGTTATCTCCAGCCAATCTCTTACCAAAGCCCAAATCACATATGACTCTATTGCACATACTCATGTTTAACAGGCAATCTTGTCTCAAGGCTACACACTGAATTTTGATGCTACTTCCTAACAACTTTCCCCAAGTGTTTCCCATTTCACTTCATAGTAATTACATCCTGTTGCAAAGGCCTATAACTGTAATGTCATCCTACATGCTTTTTATCTCATCGTTTCTATTAATCCTCAAATTCTGCATGTTTTCCTTTTAAAACAGGTCAAGAATCTAAACACTTTTACCTATTTCTCCTGCTGTCAGCAAGATACAGGTTATCCACATTTCTTATCTGATTAACTCAGCCACTTTAGTGATCTCCTACCTTCTGCTATTACAACGATTACACTATTACTTCTATTAAACTATGTGAGTTATATTTCAGATACTATAAAATTAACAATTTTAAAGTATGCATTCAATGATTTCCAAGATATTCCCAATGTTTTGCAATCATCACTATTATTTAAATATATAATGTTGTCCTTACCTTAAAATAATTCTACCTATTAATATTCAATCCCGGCTTCACTTTTTCCTAAGCTTAAACCATGGTTTTTATAATGTAACAAACAACCATATATTATTTTCTTCTCATTCTCTTTTGCATATCTTCTTCTACCATACTCTTTCTTGTTCAGAGTCTTAGTATACACTACAACATCAGAGGTTTTGCTCTCTTTGTTGTTTCAAGAAATTTGCTCAAATCCCCTTTGAGTTTATACTATTCCCCTGCTAATAAATGAACCCACCATCCTTATCCTTCTGACTTAAAAATAAAATCACTAGATTTTGTCACTACTTTCCATTAAAGCCAAAATATAAGTTCCATCAGTACATGGATTTTTCTCTTTTGTTAGGTGAACTGGCATTATCAATACCTGATATATTCACAGTTGATTCGATCCTTTTATTTTTCTTATTTATTTATTTTTTGTTTGTGGCAGGTGGGTGAATTGTGATTAAATCTTGTTCTGTTGCTCAACCTGGAGTGACAGGATCTTGGTTCACTGCAACCTCTGCATCTCAGGTTCAAGCAATTCTCCTGCATCAGCCAACTGAGTAGCTGGGACCACAGTCACCCACCAGTCCAAATGGCAGTATTTTTTTTATTATTTTTTAACATTTTTAGTACACACGGGTTTCCTCATGTTGCCTAGGCTGGTCTCAAACTCCTCACTTTGAAAGAAATACATTACATACATAAGGCAATGCATACTGAGTTTTTAAATTATAAAACTGTTTTGTTCATTAATAATACTTTACTTTGAAAGTATATTTTCATTTGGAAAAAAATTAGCACGTGATTTTTTTGCTTGCTTTTGATCAACTAGTTGAACATTTGGTAGCCATCAGATATATATTTAAAACCCTTTATGTCCATGTCCTTCACCCACTTTTTGATGGGGTTGTTTGTTTTTTTCTTGTAAATTTGTTTGAGTTCATTGTAGATTCTGGATATTAGCCCTTTGTTAGATGAGTAGGTTGTGAACATTTTCTCCCATTTTGTAGGTTGCCTGTTCACTCTGATGGTAGTTTCTTTTGCTGTGAAGAAGCTCTTTAGTTTAATTAGATCCCATTTGTCAATTTTGGCTTTTGTTGCCATTGCTTTTGGTGTTTTAGACATGAAGTTCTTGTCCATGCCTATGTCCTGAATGGTAACGCCTAGGTTTTCTTCTAGGGTTTTTATGGTTTTAAGTCTAACGTTTAAGTCTTTAATCCATCATGAATTAATTTTTGTATAAGGTGTAAGGAAGGGATCCAGTTTCAGCTTTCTACATATGGCTAGCCAGTTTTCCAGGCACCATTTATTGAGTAGGGAATCCTTTCCCCATTGCTTGTTTTTCTCAGGTTTGTCAAAGATCAGATAGTTGTAGATATGTGGCCTTATTTCTGAGGACTCTGTTCTGTTCCATTGATCTATATCTCTGTTTTGGTACCAGTACCATGCTGTTTTGGTTACTGTAGCCTTGTAGTATAGGTTGAAGTCAGCTAGCGTGATGTCTCCAGCTTTGTTCTTTTGGCTTAGGATTAACTTGGCAATGCGAGCTCTTTTTTGGTTCCATATGAACTTTAAAGTAGTTTTTTCCAATTATGTGAAGACAGTCATAATAGCTTGATGGGGATGGCATTGAATCTATAAATTACCTTCAGCAGTATGGCCATTTTCAGGATATTGATTCTTCCAACCCATGAGCATGGAATGTTCTTCCATTTGTTTGTATCCTCTGTTATTTCCTTGAGCAGTAGTTTGTAGTTATCCTTGAAGAGGTCCTTCACATCCCTTGTAAGTTGGATTCCTAGGTATTTTATTCTCTTTGAAGCCATTGTGAATGGGAGTTCACTCATGATTTGGCTCTCTGTTTGTCTGTTATTGGTGTATAACAATGCTTGTGATTTTCGTACATTGATTTTGTATCCTGAGACTTTGCTGAAGTTGCTTATCAGCTTAAGGAGATTTTGGGCTGAGACAATGGGGTTTTCTAGATATAAAATCATGTCATCTGCAAACTGGGACAATTTGACTTCCTCTTTTCCTAATTGAATAACCTTTATTTCCTTCTCCTGCCTAATTGCCCTGGCCAGAACTTCCAACACTATGTTGAATAGGAGTGGTGAGAGAGGGCATCCCTGTCTTGTGCCAGTTTTCCAAGGGAATGCTTCCAGTTTTTGCCCATTCAGTATGATATTGGCTGTGGGTTTTTCATAGATAGCTCTTATTATTTTGAGATACGTCCCATCAATACCTAATTTATTGAGAGTTTTTAGCATGAAGCATTGTTGAATTTTGTCAAAGGCCTTTTCTGCATCTATTGAGAGAATCATGTAGTTTTTGTCTTTGGTTCTGTTTATATGCGGATTATATTTATTGATTTGCATATATTGAACCAGCCTTGCATCCCAGGGATGAAGCCCACTTGATCATGGTGGATAAGCTTTTTGATGTGCTGCTGGATTTGGTTTGCCAGTATTTTATTGAGGATTTTCGCATCAATGTTCATCAAGCATATTGGTCTAAAATTCTCTTTTTTGGTTTTGTCTCTGCCCAGCTTTGGTATCAGGATGAAGCTGGCCTCATAAAATGACTTAGGGAGGTTTCCCTCTTTTTCTATTAATTGGAATAGTTTCAGAAGGAATGGTATCAGTTCCTCCTTGTACCTCTGGTAGAATTTGGCTGTGAATCCATCTGGTCCTGGACTCTTTTTGGTTGGTAAGCTATTGATTATTGCCACAATTTCAGAACCTGTTATTGGTCTATTCAGAGATTCAACTTCTTCCTGGTTTAGTCTTGGGAGGGTGTATGTGTCAAGGAATTTATCCATTTCTTCTAGATTTTCTAGTTTATTTGTGTAGCGGTGAACAGACACTTCTCAAAAGAATACATGTATGCCGCCAAAAAACACATGAAAAAATACTCACCATCACTGGCCACCAGTGAAATGCAAATCAAAACCACAGTGAGATACCATCTCACACCAGTTAGAATGGCAATCACGAAAAAGTCAGGAAACAACAGGTGCTGGAGAGGATGTGGAGAAATAAGAACACTTTTACACTGTTCATGGGACTGTAAAGTAGTTCAACCATTTGGAAGACAGTGTGGCGATTCGTCAGGAATCTAGAACTAGAAATACCATTTGACCCAGCCATCCCATTACTGGGTATATACCCAAAGGACTATAAATCATGCTGCTATAAAGACACATGCACAAGTATGTTTATTGTGGTATTATTCACAATAGGAACAACTTGGAACCAACACAAATGTCCAACAACGATAGACTGGATTAAGAAATTGTGGCACATATGTGCCATGCAATACTATGCAGCCATAAAAAATGATGAGTTCATGTCCTTTGTAGGGACATGGATGAAATTGGAAATCATCATTCTCAGTAAACTATTGCAAGGACAAATAACCAAACACCACATATTCTCACTCATAGGTGGGAATTGAACAATGAGAACTCATGGACACAGGAAGGGGAACATCACACTCTGGGGACTGTTGTGGGGTCGGGGGAGGGGGGAGGGATAGCATTAGGAGATACATCTAATGCTAAATGATGAGTTAATGAGTGCAGCACACCAGCATGGCACATGTATACATATGTAACTAACCTGCACATTGTGCACCTGTACCCTAAAATTTAAAGTATAATAATAATAAAATAAAATTAAAAATAAATAAAACCATTTATGTCAGACAATAGTAAATTTAAAAAATATGTATTTCTTAAGTGCTCCCCTATATTTGGTGTTGGTAACCAAAGTGGGTTTTATTGAATCATGTGTTAAAAAATACTGAAACCTCAGAGTAATGGGAAGCCGAAGTTAGTGTTATGTTTATATTTAAAATGTATGCATTAAAAATATTTTCATAACCCAAGCCTTGAAGCTGCTTAATGTTATTTTAGTTAAAGTATAACAGAGGTATGGCTTTAAAAATCATAATGTGAGAAGAGAACTTTTGAGTGCATTTTATTACTTCTAAATGTCCACATCATGCTAAAAAAGTAAGTAGCAATGTTAAAATCTTACACAGAACTGAAACTCAGGTTGGGAAGTAATATAAGTAAATTAACGAATGATAACAAAATTTAGTTTATTTCAAGAGAAAAGTGAAGGTTAGAATACAATTAACAATAGCATTCTGTACAGATCTTTTATTGGAAAATGTGAAATTATATTCATGTATATTTTTCTTTGGGTGACTATATTTTCTACCACATTGTAGGAGTTTCTAGCTAAACTCACTCCTTAAAAGGTCCGATCTTTGTCTTGTGGGATCTATGTAGAGAGAAGCATTTCCTTTTTAAAAACTCATTTTGTTAATTTATTTAACAACTGAATTGGCACAGTTTATATATATATTCTAAAGAGATTTTTTTTAAACAAACACTTTTTTTAACAAATAGATGTAATATCATTAAAATACAGAACTAAGGGGTCTGTAGTTAAAAATCTATATGGTCACTCTATTTGTTGTTAATATGAAAATTCAAAGTGTTCTTTCAAAATGACTGTGTTGATGCTTTGTTGATGAGTTGTTGTTAATATTGTCAGTTGATGGAAATAAGAGTAGGCAGAATTATTATTTTCATAGTACAAGCATTATTTTTTCTTCTTATCTCAGGTTGTGAAGCACTTTTTGAATGGGAATATCTGCTCCCTCTTATATCTCACCCACCAGAAAATCTCGTGGGACTTCAAAATGTTGGTACTTTTTATCACATGAATTCTGTGATCCAGCAGCCATATATATATGTGTGTGTGTGTGTGTTTGTGTGTGTATATATATTCCAATGGAGACAGTATTCTTGCAATTGAATGCATAGGTAAAAATACAGACAATGATTTTATGAAGATGAGAAGCAGAACAGTGAGGTAAATTCTAATTATTAATTACTATTACCTTGAAGATTCTGATAGCAGCTACTGTTTTTATCTCTGAAATTATTTTACTTTAAAAGAATTATGTGGGAATTACTTTTCATAATATGGCTAAAATCTCTGAGATACTATGACTGAATATTTATATTGTCTGTGTATCATAAGATGTGCTTCTATTTAAATTCTCTAATATTTTTCTCAAATGCGAGGTTTTCCTGCTAAAGAAAAAAATTTATTCTTCAAATTTGCTATGTGAACTTGTAAAAAATATTAGTTAAGAATTATCATCAAACTGCCTATGAAAAGTATTCATTTGAAAATAAAGCAGTGAAAAAGTTAAGTTATACTGATAGATCACCTATTTAGGGCATACCTCCAAATAAGTGAATATGGAATACCTGAATTTTGCTGTTTATACTCAAACTCTTTATTATTGTTATTATATTTTTACTTTTCTTTATAGACACTGATAGAAACTAAATTTTAAGATCAGTATATTTTAACTGTAGTAAATGGTTTTCCTACAATTTCTTCATTTTTTTCCTTTCAGTGGGCAGAAATAATTTGTCTTTCAGCTACTAGTGTCTCCATACTTATCATTTATAGAGATTACAAAACACACACTGTCTTTCTCTTTGCTAGATCCGGTAAATTATACAATCCAAGCATCACAGTCGGGGTAGCTTTACTTTTAGTAGAGTCTTCATATATGATATTCACCAATACTTGGTTAACAGCCACTATTGGAAGAAAAATTGGAATGTAAGTTCTGGTACTATAGCATGTGTGACCCCTAGGGTGTTGAATTTAACACATATAAAGATGGTTAACCATACCAGCAAGAAACAAATGAAACAGACAGAATATAAAATTTCAGATTTGATGTCTTACCTTTGTACTTGGTTGGTTGTGCTTTATGTTTTCTCAGCACTGTACTCTGGCATGTATATCTGCCTTGTTCCTTTTTCTATGCAGTCAGCTTCTCCAGGGCAGGAATTGGATATTATTTACTTCTTTGTCACAAACCTAAGACAAAATGAAAAACACAGAAATGTCTTACATACTAGTAAACCAACTGTATTTTGCTTTATGGCTACAATCATGTTTTGACTATTGGAGCTTCTGTCTATGCTCCCTTTCCTTCCACAACTATCGTTAATAGATATACTTACTGAGTGTTAATAATTCTGATTTCACCATGTAAATAATCTTATCTAATTTGGAAAACACATTATTCTCAAAAGAAGATACTGAATCCTAGAAAGACTCAGTAACTTATTCCCCAAAAAGTTACTTATTCCCCAAAAGTTACTCATGGCAGATGACTCACTTGTCTTTACTCCTGCCTACTTGTTCAAACTTTACTATATTACTTCCAGTGTATGTTATTATTTTATTACTCTTTTATAATAACTTTTCTGTGAACTCAATTATAATAGCCCATGTTTGAAATAAGCAATAATAGTAAAAATTAAAAAATAAATTAAGTACTTTGAAAATTAGGAGTATAAAAATATATCATTTTATTCGGTAACTTTTGGTATTGGTTGCAACTTCTTTCCTTATATTTGTAAAGTTAAATTAGTGCATTACTGATTTCTTTTGGCGTTTAATGTTGATCCCCAAGATAATTTACTAGAATATTTTTATTAATTTGAAGACAAATCAGAGTTAAGTAAGACAGGAGGTAGAAAAGAGTACAATATTAGTGTCCTAAGGCACCTTCAAGACATCTTTGTTCATTTAGCTATTTTCAAACTACAGTCCTATATACCCAAAGAATTTTGGTAACAAGTTAAATTTTAAGTGAGTGATTATTTCAGTTTTATAAAAACCTCAATACATTAACTGAACATTACTCAGAAAAAGGCTTCCTATAAGGGACATTATATTAAGTGAAATTAGCCAGGAAATATAAGGGACAAGGATTGCATGTTTTTATTCATATTTGAGAAATAACAAAGTTGATCTCATGAAGGCAGAGAATAGAATGACAGTTTATTATAGGCTGCGAAAGACATTGAGCAAGCAAATAAGTGAGTCAGTTAATGGATAAAAAACACAATTAGAAGGAATAGGTTTTAAAGTTTGATTGTGTGGGAGGGATATTATAGGTATGAATAATTTCTTGTAGATTTCAAAACAACTAGACGTTTAGATTCGGAATGTTCTTTAAACAAATATGTCATATATGTCTGAAATTACTAATATACCAATTACTAATATGACATTTAAAGATTTGGTCATCTGTCGTTGTGTGCGTGTATACAAATAATAGTTCTACTTTGTAAATATGTAAAATTATAATGCATCCATTTAAAAACAATAAATGGTGGTCTATTTAAATAAGAAATTTCACTAAAGCTGGCCATTTCTGAATGGTAAAATGCTCTTTCTCTCTACACATTGGGTCTTTGTGATCCAAATTCTGATTTTAGAAGTACTTGCAACATGTTCCTGGGCACAGTGAGGCCATGGCAGAAAACCCACACATGCCCCTCTTCAGCATTAGCTGGAAATTGTGGTCCAGGGCACTCCTGGATGCCATGAAACAATATGTGCCATTGGAAAGATAATTACTAGCTTGTCTTGCCTTGGTATTGAGACTGCTTCTTTGACAGAAGACCGTAAAATAATTATAGAATTTGGAACACCCATAAGGTGTTGGGCATATTAAGGAAACAGTTTAATGAGGAAGTGCTCAGACTTCCAAAATAACATAAAAGATGGCTTTATAGAGTACAATGTTAACAGGGAAGTGCAAGGAGGTGCTTATCCTGTTCAAGGGCAAATAGTCTGGTATTTTCTAGCATCAAATTTGGAACAACCACAGGAATTACTGGATCCCACTCTTACATGGGCAATGCCCTTTGAAGAGCTCCCTATTGACTACAACAACCTGCTTGGTTGACAAATGACAGTTTCAAGGTGGATGAACAATATCCTGTTGGCAGGCTTTCACAGAGACCAGAAATAAAAAGACCAATTGAAGATGGAATGAGCAAATTAGCTCAATGATTGAACTGCAGGCTGCTTTTTTTTTTTTTTTTTCATTTTCTTTTTTTTTCTTTTCTTTTTTTTTTTATTATACTTTAAGTTTTGGGGTACATGTGCACATTGTGCAGGTTAGTTACATATGTATACATGTGCCATGCTGGTGCGCTGCACCCACTAACTCGTCATTTAGCATTAGGTATATCTCCTAATGCTATCCCTGCCCCCTCCCCCCACCCCACCACAGTCCCCAGAGTGTGATATTCCCCTTCCTGTGTCCATGTGATCTCATTGTTCAATTCCCACCTATGAGTGAGAATATGCGGTGTTTGGTTTTTTGTTCTTGCGATAGTTTACTGAGAATGATCACATATACACCATGGAATACTATGCAGCCATAAAAAATGATGAGTTTCATGTCCTTTGTAGGGACATGGATGAAATTGCATGCTGTTTTTTTTTTAAATGAAGGATTAAAACTTTAAACTATTATTTTACAAAGACAATTGTCTGAATGCATGAGTAGTAAATAATAATGAATGTCCTGGCCACATGAACAGTAGAAAACTGGACTTTCAAGCAGATGCCAGTATGTGACACTTGTACTTTCAATGGGCCGAGTGACATCCTGACATCTGCATAATATTAAAAATTTAAGAGGTACATTAAAGAAGGACATGTTGATTTCCATTTGAAGTATCCTCTCCAGGATGATTGGGAGGTGACTGGAACCAGGACAACATGATGTATTTACTTGAGGTGGCAAACTTATAGAGGTGCAGCAGTAATGCAGAGATAGCATTAATCTACACATATTTCTCTTGTACTCTCTAAGGAACAGAAATTCCAAAATCTAAGTCTAGGCCAGAAGAGAAATGTAGATGGCAAATAACAATAGGCCAAATAGGAAGGGCCATAACATAGTTGGACTAAAATGTACAAATATCAGTAGCCCTGATAGTGTATTTATAGGTCTTGACTAATGTAGACTGCATTTGGCATTCATAGTGGTCAATGCTAATGCTCATATACTATAAAAAGATTTAAAAACATAGTATATTCTAACCAATTTGAACAAACCAATTACTGTTCCTCAAGCTACGCAACACACTTCACATCCTATTGTTTCCAACAATGGGCATAGAGATATTACAGGAAATTAAAAAAAAATACAAATTTTTTTAAAATCAGAAGGCATTTATATCTTCAGTGAACACCACATCTAACAACAAAAGCTTTAAAATAATATAGAAATAAACTAGGAGACTTACTGATTTCAAGGAAAATTGTGCCTGGCTATCAAAGCAGTCAGAAATCTTGGCGCAATGGTACTTCAAAGTATGTGGATTCTGATGATATGCACTTCATGGGATTAGATGAAACCAAATTTTAGAAGCATCACTTAATAAATTCTACCACAACAGTGCCCCAAGCACAAAATACAACCTACCATGCTCCACACATTGTGACATATGAAACTTGTGCAGATTGGTTTTAATATTTTAGAATTTCTATTAAAAATATATCCATATTCTTTATCTTAACAAGAAATTAAACTATCAAACATTAAATGTAAAGAAAATGTAGAATGAAAATATCCTTGTTTTTTTACATTTTTCCCCTGTTTTATATTTTTTTCTGGTGATAAAATAAGGTTTCTGAGCAATACAGCTGTTACTCTGGGCACCTGCTGTAATTTAGGTAATTCCATTTCTTGGCTACATGAACTTGATGAGAAGTCATGCTAAATGTTACAAGAAAAGCTTTAAATGATTAACCTGGCCAGGTGCAATGGCTAACAATCTGTAATCCCAGCACTTTGAGAGGCCGAGGTGGGTGGATTGTGAGGTCAGGAGATCCAGACCACCCTGGCCAACACAGTGAAACACTTTCTCTACCAAAAATACAAAATTAGCCAGGTGTGGTGATGCATGATTCTAATCCCAGCTACTTGGGAGGATAAGGCAGGAGAATAGCTGGAATTCAGAAGGTGGAAATTGTAGTGAGCCAAGATCGCAAACATAGCACTTCAGCCCAGACAACAGAGCAAAACTCTATCAAAATAAAAAAAGAAAGGAAGGAAGGAAGCAAGGAAGGAAGGGAGGAAAGAAAAAAGGAAGGTAGCAAAAAAGGAAGGAAGAAGGAAGGAAGGAATGTGGGAAGGAAGGAAGGAAAGAAGGAAGGAAGGAAATGAAACAAGAAAGGAAAGAAAGAAAGAAAGAAAGAAAGAAAGAAAGAAAGAAAGAAAGAAAGAAAGAAAGAAAGGAAGGAAGGAAGGAAGGAAGGAAGGAAAGAAAAGAAAAGAAAAAAAGAAAGAAAAAGGAAAGTGAAAAGAAAACTACCTTACTTATGTTGTGGCTAATCTTCCTAGAATATTTTAACAAAAATATTTGTTTCAACTGAGAAGTGCTTATAAATGGTTTTTGTTTATATTTTTGGTGAGTATTTTTTTAAGTATACTTTGTATTACAGCTGTTAAAATTGTTAATTTTTACTCTCACTGGATTTTGAGAAAATGTAAATAAATTGCTTTATGCTCTTATTGAAATATCACACTTTTTATGAACTAGGACAAGGTAGTACCTAGTTACAAAAAAAAAAAATAAAAAAATCACAAGGGTAAAATAAAACATGACCCCACTTAAACTATTCTTCTGATCATCTTGTCAAAGCTGTCCTAGATAATTTTTTCTTAATTTGCAGTCACAGCTGATATGTTACAAAATATGTAAGAAAATAATAATTGAAGACTACATAAGTAAAGCATCAAAATAAGTTTGAAAAAGAAAATTATTATTATTATTTTTATTTTACCTGTTGATACATAGAGCCTGTTGAATGAGGAAATAATGGAGCATCTTCTGTTGGACAGGTCTTATGCCCATCTAAGACATCTTGGTCATCTGGCTCGAAATTCTAAATATTTAACAAGATTGACAATTTGATTATAAAAGTAACTTTGTACCTTATATTATATTTTCTTCATTTAGAATAAACTTTTAAGAAATGTAAGAAAGCTGACATCTATAACATATTTACAATTCCTGCAAATGATTTATAATAGAGGGGAAAAATCTGAATTATTTTAGCTACATCATTTTTAGACCATTTCACACAAGTTGTTTCCAAAAGGAAACTTACTTTTTAAGAACAAACAAACCAATGTTAATCATTTAACAAAATAAATATTTTCAGGGCAAGATTAATACATAAACATTGGCTTACACATTTAAAAATTACTTGTCTTTTTCCCAGATTTATATGCTGCCCTGTGGAGGCTTCCCCCCACCCCCTTATCTAGACAAAGTTCTCAAGCATTTGCAAATGTCATCCTAACACTATTTGATCTTTCTAAGAAATAACCACTTGCTGTTTTATTGTTTTGTACTGGAGGAGACCAATTTCTGTAGACATACTGAATTGTTTCCAGTATATGGCCTTCTTTCACCTTTCTATATACACTAAACGAGTCAATTTTCTTTTTTTTTATTTTTTTTCCACATGAAAGCACAAACACAGTCCTTCGCTTCCACAAATTATGCAGCTGAGTTTCCCACATTTGGAGAAATCTCAGGGGTCAGCACATCTGGAGTGCAATAAATCAGCCTTTCCCTGAGAAAGCCACCTTTGTGATCATGGTATCTCCCCTGGCAGAGAAGTTTCCATTTTCTTTTTAAGATTTCCGTTAGCTTTCAAAAGAAAATACAAATATAAATGTAATAGAATTTAGAATAATTTCCAGTATCAGATTAAAATGTTAATTTCAATCATCCATGATTACTGTCTTCTAAAAAAGTTCAAATTCTGACACAGGCTTCTACAAAATTGTAAGAAAAAACACTATGGTAAACAATGGAATAACTGCTAAATAAAGCTACCATACATTTTATGCACTGATATGCTCATTTTTGATAGTGACTCTTATGGCACCCTATTGTATCTAACAGCCTTTCCCAGCCTTCTGGAATTTTATTATGTGGTCTAAGAGCTTTAAAAATAAGCAGATGAAAAGAATTTATTATATATAGTAGTAGCTAATATTTTATTGCCTATTATGTGCCATTCAGAACAAGTGTTTGAGGTAATCTAATTAATATTAGAGTTAGTTTCTTAAGCGGGTAACCTTAGTAAATCCATTTAACAAATAAAAAAATTACAGTTAGGAGAAATACTTTGCCAGTTATTACAGATTTAGCCAGTTGAGGGGCTAGCTAGCAATCTGACTCAAATATCTGACCTCTTGACATATTACCAATTTAAAATGTTTTGCTAAATATACTATCCATGCATTACTATAAGTGAATTAAACACAGTAATGCTATATTACTTTTCATAGTTCCATTTGTTATTCTATACTTAGGATTATGCTCTGTGGCACAGGCTGGACTACAGTGAGAAGATTATAGCTCATAGCTCAATGAGGCCTCACACTCCAATGTTCAAGGAATATTCCTGCCTCAGCCTTCCAACTACTTTGGATTAGAGAAATGCACCACCATGTCCAACTCACCTCATTATTTTTACTAAATATGAGCAGTTTTTTATGACTACCTTTTTTAAGAAAAACAAAACTTACTTGGTGTTCACTCATTTTTCAGGGACATTTTAGAAGGTAAAGCAAGAATCCTGTGATTATAAAACAGCAATATTAATTGGCAGTACAAAATTGATTTCAATTCTGTTAATATAAGAACACACACGATGGGTAAAGCAATTTTCAATGGCAACAATAAAATTTGCCTGATTTGCTAATGATCAGTCATTTTCTTTCAGAGCTGGCTAAAATGCAACATATTTACACTGCTTGGTGTTTACTGTTTACTGTCTACTGTTATACTGCTTACTGTTTACTGTTCTTAGGAGTCAATTTTAAAAGTTGCAAAAAAATGGCTTGTCTTTTTTCTCATTACCATGACAAAAAAATAAAATAGTTTTTTTCTCTCTAGCATGTATCTTACTTAATATAATTATATTATATTCCAAGTCAGAGGCCAGGTTTTTTCTTTTTGCCATAGGAGCATTTATAATATAAATTTCTTTGGAAAAGGTAATTTTAGTAATCTAATTATTTAATGTAAAGAATAACACAAATAGGCTTCCTGTTACACTTATAGTACACATTTCACTATCTTATTCTCTTAAAAATTATAATAAAGGGAAAATCACGTCATTTGCCACATTATCAATAGTATCAAAAGTTTTCATGTGCAATTTGGATTAATATTATCTTTGCCTGTATTGTTATCTACTGCCTTGAACGGTGCTTGGTACACAGTAGATGCTGATATATACCTGTTGAATACTGCCTGTTGAATAGACTAAATGTTCATTACACAAACCATTTCAAACTTAATAAGGAGAATAATAAATTAATACATGAATCCCATATTAATCCAGGTAATTGATTTTCCATGTTAACCCAACATGTATACCTTTACGGTAATCACATCCTTCGATGAGATGAGGCTAAGATGTGATTTAGCCTTATTTTAGAGAAAATAAAAGAAGTTACATAGTAAACAATATATGACTACAAATAATTTTTAAAATGGCATAAATTAAATTCAATTGATAGGAACTCTTAATGTCATTTACAACATTAATTAATCTGCTTGAAATCTATGATGGTGGACAAAAGAAGAATTAGAAAATTTTCATTGTTAAAATCTAATATTTCAGTTGTTTACAATTTAAGGTGATCATCTGCCTTTAATCATTGTGTTCTACAGCTTTATAATAACTTCAGTTTATTATCAGTTTTTCAGTGTGCTTATTATAATGTCTACTGAGTGAAAATTTTGTGTGTTTGTGGGGGTGTGTGTACAGAGTTTCCAGATATATAGTATGATTTGTTTCTAGAATCCTATAACAATAAAACTTTGAATCTCCTGGTAGAGTTGGGCAACTAATTCTGGTGCAATTCTTAGGCTTCTTTTACTGCAGATGATACAACTAAGAGTTCTAGAATAATGCTAAAGATCAGTTTTTAGAATAAGCACAGTTCTTTAAAATTATCATTTTTCTCAAAACCAGTCTGGCCAAGATTGTGAAACCCCATCTCTTCTAAATATAAAAAAATTACCTAGGCGTGGTGGTGGGCGCTTGTAATCCTAGCTACTCAGGAGGCTGATGCAGAGAATTGCTTGAACCCAGGAGGTGGAGGTTTCAGTGAGCTGAGATTCTGCTCCTGCACTCCAGCCTGAGTGAGAGAGTGAGACTCCTTCTCACACACACACATCATCATAGTAATAATAATAATAATAATAATAATAATGATAAAAGTCTTCTCTGACATACTAATTAAACTAACTACTTAGAGGCTATGGATTGCTTTTTGGATAAGTTAATATTATCTACCATGATAACACTAAATTAAAAAAAATTCCATTCTAGGACATACCTTTCTGTGACAGTTTTTCATTATTACATCTGTGGTAACACACGTATCCTTTTAGATGATTCCAAATTGTGGACATATGTATCCAACTCCCCATTACAATTTTTTATTTGGTGTCCCATATGTTTCTAAAATGCAATCCACTCAAAGAGGTTCTATTTTTTCTATCAGTAAATTGCATTACTATTCCCACAGCTTATCAAATCACACCCAGGACATAGGTGTTAACATCTCTTTCCTGCTCCACTTCCTCAAATCTCCAATTACGAACACCTGGCTATCCTAACTCATAAAGAGCTCATAAATTTGTCTACACATATGTTCTACATTGCTAGTTTTTCTATTATGGAGCACCCACAATCTTTTTCTACAGATAATTTTGAATACTTCCTTACTGTGGTCTATTGTGGAACTTTCTATTTTATAGCTAATGACATGCTACTAATATATGCCTTTTGTGATCCTCTAGTGGTTTATCATGTTACACTGAATATCTCACATGATTGCTAAAAAGCCAAGTTATGTCAATACTAAGTCTGTACCCATTAGCTACTTAAAAAAAAAGCTTAACAAAGTAACCCTTTTCTACTGCAAGATGCTTTTTACTCTTCAAATCTGTCACATACTCCCTATAGTAGGCAGGAGAGCACTTTGTATTTCTCTTGTTTATTATGGTGCTTTGTAGCCACCTGGGCTGTTAATTCAGTACTGTATTTTCAAAATCATAATTAAGACAGATTCAAAATACTTTATCTGAAATGCAAAAAGCTCAATTAAGCAAGGCTTTTAAAACTAAGATTCATATGTAACTCAATTTCCAATGCAAAAAAGACTTAATTGAGGGAAGCTACTTAAGCCTTCATTCATGTACCCTTCACCCTTAAAGGGAATATCCATTACTTTTATAGAAGCATTAGTATGTTTAATTCTTGGGTACTTTTGGGAGCCTTACAGGGAATGATACACAATGTGATGCAAATGTGATGACTCAGTTTTCTCAAATCCAAAAATTCCTAAAACCTAAAACATACTACCTAAATGCCTTAAGATGTATAAATGTATATTGAACCTTGGCAATTAAATTTAAACTTACGTTATATCATAAACCAACCATGTGTTGTGTATGAGAAACTAAAATCTCAAGTTAAATTGAGCAAAACAAAAATTTTGTGAGTTCTTAAGTTTCATAATTTTAAATTTAAAATAAATATTGTATTTGTGTTTCTATAATGTATGCTTCTACTCTACTAGAAGTATCCCAGAATCTCAGATGTAGTCAGACTAGCCTGAGAAAAAGAAAGCACAGAGATGGTCAGAGCAGGAAGAGGAAAGGGTAAAATTTATTTCCTCCTGGAGGTATATATTAATAATAAAAATACACTTTCATTACAGGAATGTGTGACCATAGAACTTAGTTTTAGATAGTAAAATATTTGTGATTCTAACAAGTTACTTAAAATGATCTGCTAATTGTCTGAGTCATCATATAAATGTGACCTAATATTTATCAATATCAGGGAGATATTAACTAGTAATTAAATTCTAGCTATATCCATAAATTAGTAATTTTTGAAAAGTTGCACTAACACCTGAATTGCTGATATTCAAATTGGACAACAGCATCTGTAATAAATTTCCCCTTCTTTTCACTCATAAAAATGACATAAAATAACACTGAAAACACTACAAATATTTTTGTTGTACATTTCTGACAATCTATCCATGCCTTTAGTACTACTGTGCAATAGGTTGATGTGACAAAAATCAGGCTTCTCTAAGAGAGCTTTACTGAATATCGCATTTCTTAATTTATGCTAACATCAACAAAAAATTTAAGTGAATTATTTATTTACATTATCACTAAATTTCTTTTACTTTATTTTAACAAAAACATACATATATGGTAAGTTTCACATAGAAGTCATTTTTAAACCTGACAAGCAAAACAACCACTTGGGATCCCTTAAGGATATGGATTCCTTTTCAAGGTTCTAGAAATTCTGATTTAGATAGTGTGGATATGACCTGGAAGCCAGTACTTTTCAAAAAGCAACATTAAGAGATAACATCGGCTCGGCACAGTGACCCAAGTCTGTAATCACAGTACTTTGGGAGGGCGAGGTGTGCGGATCACAAGGTCAGGAGATCGAGACCATCTTGGTTAACATGGTGAATCCCTGTCTGTACCAAAGTATGAAAAAAGTTATACATATATATATATGTGTGTGTGTGTGTGTGTGTGTATACACACATATATAAATGTGTATATATATACATATATATAAATGTGTATATATATACATATATATAAATGTGTATATATATACATGTATATATATATGTATATTGGTCAGGCAGGTTGCAGTGAAATGAGATCATGCCCCTGCACTCCAGCCTGGCCAGAGAGTTAGACTCCATCTCAAAAAAAAAAAAATACAAAAGAAAAAGATAACATCAAGAGGTCATCAATCAGGCACAATATCTAATCTTAAAGGTTACCAGAAAAATGAAACAAGTGCATAAATATAAATTACCTGAGAATACATGAAATACATTAAAGTTACACAGATTTGCAAGGCATTTTGATGTGTATATGTGTATATGTACGTGGAATATTGCTTGTACATTAGGACACTTTACATGTTATAACTTGATTAAAATGTGCTTCTCATTTAATATATAAAAATAAAAACATCATTGATATAAAATTATGAAAATATCTTACCTGAGCTTGCATACATTACAAACAAATATATTTCTGTAAATATAAACCCTATGCTCTGAATCTTTTCTTCTCAGGAGATCAAATACTGCTCTTAGTAACTGACCACTCTTGCTAAAGTTGTTACATTTCTCTGAAAAGCAATTATTCATTGGTGTAATAGAATCAAGATTTAAAAACAACTTCTATTTGAATAATGAGTCCTGTTCTCATAAACAGCAAACATCTCACAAAGAAAATTATTAAATACAATTCCTCTTTGAGAGAAAAAATGAAGAGCTGTGGTAAATTTTATTGCAGATGTTGTATGCTGTTATAATTAAAACAAAAACAACAACACTTCCACAACTTCAAAAGAATAATTTAAGCCATGCAGTTATTTACATTGTCACTAATTTTAATTTTATGTTACAGGTTTTTTTTACTAAAATATATTTCAATTTAACCATTAGAAAAGGACATTTTAAAAAATATAAACCTCAGGGATTTCCTAAGTAACTGTGTATATTCAATACACAAAATCACTTAATCTTGTTTTTCAGAGAGTGCAGAAATCAGTATTCATTAGCATAAAATAATTTTTAGAACTCACAGGTGTTGTAATGTATTGTAAGCATGCATTTGTGTATGGAAAATACATCAATTAGAGTCATATAAGTTTGCTGATTTGAATTTGCAGACAACAGAATTTACTTGTAAGTATTTAATTACTCCAAAAAGCAAAACAAAAATAATAGCTGTACAATTACCTGACTAGAAGTGATAGAGCAGGAGCACCTTCATCCTGAACCAACACCATCACTTTAACATCCAGCTCTCTTTTTAGCCTCATGCATTTCAAGGAAATCACTTCTCTCCTAACTACAAATAACCAGCACATTCCTTTCCCTTCAGGTGCACTAAGATAAGGAAGCTAGAAGCAGACATGGGGGATATGCCTGCAACTCCAGAAAGATGTACAAAAACAGAAAAGGAACTCTCTCTCTCAGATAACCACAGCAAAGAGACACAGAGGCAGTGCAAGCCTCTGATAAACTCTCCGAGACTGAATTGTGAAAAATTCTTAATCCGTTAGTGTGTGGCTCTGACTTAACCTGGCTAGCCACCCCTCTCAGACTGATTCAAAATAAACCTGTCTGTGTTGACTGTCAAGTCACCATTCAGGTTTCTCTCCTCTTTCTTTACTTCTTACATTGGGTGCTGAAATCCGGGACCGGTGTTGGGGGCAGAGGCTCCCTTGCATCCCAGTAAGCTGTGGGCAATGGCAGTTTACCCTAAGTTAACTCGTGGATCCTGAGAGTCTCTGGCCACATGCCCCATCTTTTCTCTCATTTTACTCTTAAAGAGATTTGTGTGAGAAGGACAACTGACCTGAAGGGAACTGCAAGGCTCAGTTCAGGGCTCTAAAACCCTCAAGTCTCAGGAATCCACCTTTGAGCACCAACAATAGTTATTTCACTTCCTAACACTGGCTCCCTCTTTCCTCTTCTCTCTCTCTCTCCATCTCTCTCATTATCTTACTCTCTCTTCCTCATGTGGCTCCAGTCTGGGAGACCATTTGCCAATTCCAACTGGAACATCCAACAAACAACACTAATTCAGCCATCTGGTAAGATCTACCTCTTCCTGGCTTTCTCCTTGTACTGGAGAAAGTCTGGCCTGCTGTCCATTTCCTTGAAAGACCATTGGGACTAAGCTAGAGGAAATCTTGGGGACACACAGTGCTTTCTCAGCATAACTGTCCTCTTTCAGAAAGAGGATTCAGGGTTTCTGTCTATTGTCTGGGGACATCTAGAAGAAAACAGATCTTTTTCAAAGTAGCTTTATAGCAAATCCAGCTTCCCAGAAATTCTAATAGTTAAATATGTGAATGAACAAATATATCATTCACTTGTACCCATGGAAAAGAATATATCATCCACTTGTACCCATGGAAAAGGTTTAATGTTACTGCCATTTACAGGAAAAACAAAAAAAACAAGAAATAACAGGTTTTACATTAAATTTAAAAATTGCTAAAAGTTACATTATAATACATAATTGAAGGTGCTAAACATAAATTTTCATGCAAGCTGTATAAAACTGGTTTGGCCAGACACAGAGCTAGCTTGAAAAATTATTTTTTTTTCATACCCCCTTGACACCTGTAATGCCAGGAAGACAGAACCATTCACTCCCTTGAAAGGGAGGTGAATCCAGGGAGCCAAGAGGTCTAGCACAGCGGATGCCTTCCTCATGGAGCCCAGCAAGCTAAAATCTACTGCCTTGAAATTCTTGCTGCCAGCACAGTAGTCTTAAGTCAACCTGAAGTGCTTGAGATTGGTGGCGACAGGGACGTCAAATAGTACTGAGGCTTGAGTAGGTGGTTTTCCCTTCAGAGTGTAAACAAAGCCACTGGGAAGTCACTGCACCTCAGCAAAGCTACTGTAGCCAGATTGCCTCCCTAGATTCCTCCTCTCTGGTCAGGGCATCTCTGAATGAATGGCAGCAGCCCCAGTAAGGGGTTTGTAGATACAACTCCCATCTCCCTGAAACAGAGCACCTGGGGGATAGGGTGGCTGTAGGCACAGCTTCAGCAGACTTAAACCTTCCTACCTGCTGGCTCTGAAGAGAGGTGCAGATTTCCAACAGACTACTTACTTCCTCAAGTGGGTCCATGAAGCCCATGCCTCTTGACTGGGAGACTCCTCCCTGCAGGGATCCACAGACACTTCATACAGGAGTGCTCTGGCTGGCACCTGGCAGGTGCCCCTGTGGGAGGAAACTTTCAGAGGAAGGAATAGGCAGCAATCTTTGCTTTTCTGCACCCTCTGATAGTGAAACACAGGCAAAAATGGTCAGAAGTGGACCTCCAGCAAAGTCCAGCACACCTGCAGCAGAGAAGCCTGACTGTTAGAAGGAAAACTCATAACAGAAAGGCACAGTATCAACATCTACTAAAAGGATTTCCACACACGCACACATAAAAAACTATTCAAAAGTAACCAACATCAAAGAACAAAGGTACATAAATGCACGAAGATGTAAAAAAAAAGCACAAAATGGCTGAAAATTCCAAAAACAAGAAAGTCTCTTCTCCTCCAAAGGATCACAACTCCTCATCAGCAAGAAAACAAAACTGAATAGAAAATGTGTTTTAGGAATAGACAGAAGTAGGCTTCAGAATGTGGGTAATAAAAACTCTTCTGAGAAGAGGAGAATGTTCTAACCCAATGCCAGGAAGCTAAGAACCTCAAAAAAAGGTCAGGGAAATTGATAACTGGAATAACCAGTTTAGAGAAAAACATAAATCAAAAACACAGCAAAAAGACTGCGGAAAGATACACAATTATCACTTGCCAAATTGATCAAGTGGAAGAAAGATATCAAAGACTGAAGATCAACTTTTTGAAATAAAGCATAAAGAAAATGTCAGAGAAAAGGAATGAAAAGGAACAAACAACATGTCCAAGAAATACAGGCCTATGTGAAAAGACGAAACCTACTTGGTTTGCTTGTTTGTTTGTTTGAGATGGAGTCTTGCTTGCCCTGTCATCCAAGCTGGGGTGCATGTGTGCAATCTCAGCTCACTGCAACCTCCTCCTCTCGGATTCAAGGGATTCTCCTGCCTCAGCCTCCTGCGTAGCTGATATTACAGGCACACACCACCACCCCTGGCTAATTTTTGTATTTTTAGTAGAACAGGGTTTCAGCCTGTTTTTCATGTTGGTCTCAAGCTCCTGATCTCATGATCTGCCCACCTTGGCCTCCCAAAGTGCTGGGATTACAGGCATGAACCAACGTGCCTAGCTTAAACATGGCTCTTCTTTTTGGCTCAGATATAACTATAAAGTTTCTTGCTCTCTCAACACTAACCTCCATTACCTTTGTCATAAACATACTCCCTAAGGTATAAATCTTGCTGTATCAGAAACATACAATCTTTGCTCTCTTATCCATCTCTAACCAACAGTAGTGGAGCTTACTATGAGCAGAGAGGGGCTTATCATAGATTCACTGTTCATAACAAGAGCTTTGATGTCACATTTCAGCTAAAGTACCAGCTTCACAGTCAATTGTGACCTGATAAAGGGGAAGAGTGAGCCCTTTTTAGTTGTTTCAGAGAATCATGGTAGTATAGTAGCCCACACATGGCTGTATGCTCAGTAAACAACAAGTCTTATTTTTAGTTATTCTGTAGGTTTATGTGTGTTACTTCAGTTAAATGCTGATATTCGGCCAGGCATGGTGACTCACGCCTGTAATCCCAGCACTTTGGGAGGCTGAGGCGGGTGGATCACGAGGTCAGGAAATCAAGACCATCCTGGCTAACACTGTGAAACCCCGTCTCTGATAAAAATACAAAAAAATTAGCCAGTTGTGGTGGCAGGTTCCTGTTGTCCCAGCTAATCAGAAGGCTGAGGCAGGAGAATAGTGTGAACCTGGGAGGCAGAGCTTGCAGTGAGCCAGATAATGCCACTGCACTCCAGCCTGGGTAACAGAGTGAGACTCCATCTCAAAAAAAAAAAAAAAGAAAAATAAATAAAGCTGATATTCATACACTCATATAGATGAATAGGTAGGCAAAAAGGAATGTTATGGTGCCTTTTTATTTTCAAGGGTTCTTGAAGCTCTTGCAATTAACAGTGGCAGGAAATTCATCACTTTTTAAAGTAATTCTCTTTGGAGATGGTGGGGTTGGGAAGAGTTCACTTAGGAACAGATAAGTAACTATTAAGTTTGGCACTCAGCTGTTCCATGCAATAGATGTGGAATTTTAAAATAAGATTTGAAAGGGGTGGACATTTTGTTACCATACAGATTTGTGACATGGCAGGTCAGGAGAGATTCTGAAGCCTGAGGACACCATTTTACAGAGGTTCTGACAGTTCTCTGCTTATTTTTAGAATCAATGATTTAGGAAGCTTCCAGAACTTAAGTAATTGGAAAGAACCTGAGCGATTTCCTTTTGTAGTTCTGCATTCCAGGACTGGCATAAACGAAAGGCAGGTGTTTATAGAAGAACAGCTGCATTATGCAGGAAGGACAGTGACTACCCTTACTTTGCAACAAGTGCAAAAGATGCCACAAATGTGGCAGCAGCCTTTGAGGATGGGGTTCAAAAAATTCTTGTGACTGTGGATATGTCAGATCACTTGATGAACACAGGCATGGTCAACCTTCACCAAAAGCCCAAGCCTGGCACATCTTGTTATTGAATGTTAGAGATAAGGCAGATGCATGCTAACCAATTCACACATATACACAAAATCAACATGGACATGGAGAAGACAATTAGTGTTTGTAGCAGTGTATTACTTACTAATAAGATTCAACAAATGTATAGCCCTGTGTCATTAGTTGGTGGGAGATGGGACATATCCACTCATGGAGGAATATATTTTCTCAATAATGAAACCTTACATTTATAAATTGTAATGGTTGTCTAAAAAGTCTCTTTGATTTACACATGCAAATTAGAGAGCTAATAAATGAGAGGACCAAGACTTTAATTATAATTAAGATAAGATACTTGACTATTCTAGAATTTATACTTGAAATTTTTTCCTGGAAAAATGGGAAACTAATTTTTCTATGTACATGATTTTTGTGCAATTAACATTGTATTCTTGGTGAAAGAAAATGATTTCCTAAGACAATAATGTTGGATATGAAAGATTAGAATCTAACATATTTCCAATGCATTCTTATTTACTTATTTATCCTTTTCAAAATGACTTAACCTTTTTTATTTCCATTCCACATAGTATTATAATTATTCTTACTAGTAATTACTCTTCATTTGTGTGTCATTAATAAACTTATACCACCATAGGTCATGTTTCACAGCCCCAGGAGGAGGGATGGCCAACAGTGGCACAAGAGTTGCCTCATACACTCTGTCACACATCCAGCTAAATTCAAGCTGTCCATGAATAAAAAGCATTTCCATATACAACGTTCAGTTTTCAGATAAAGACCAACTACTGAACTTGGAGAAAAGACAAATCTGCATTTGATAACTGATTTAAGAAATATAATATGTGTTCAGAGGATACAAAATTACAATTCCACTAATGGGATAGCTAATATTTGTGTTACTTTCTTCACTCTTGTGGAAAGTCTCCTAGTTGAAGTTAAGCCATTGCTTTTGAACACAAGACACAAGCTAACTTTATCACTCTTAGAGGAAATACTAAGAAGGATTGTACTTTGTCAGAGGGTAAATAAAGATGTCTTTATTAGCCCATGTATTTGCTCAGTGTCTCCTCTATTACTGAACATCATTTAGTGATTCTCTCTCAAGGAATTTTGTGTTTGTTTAAAAAAAATATTTGCTGCAAAGATCAGACTTGATAAAGCAAATTGTGTCCTCTTATGGATGTTAATTTTCCATGCAGCTGGTGACTATCTGATTATACAGAAGTTAACTGAAGCTTGGACTGAATGTGGATGAGACCGGCAACTGGGGAGTGATGGGGATATCAAAGGACATGCTGGGTGAGGGGAGGTGGCTGTCATATAGGGGGTGGAGTTCTGAAAAATTACATCAAAACATTTCTCTTCCTGGCCCCACCCAATGTAGCCATTGGGAAAGATTTTATAAAAAATGCAATAGAAAATGCTAGGAGAACAAAGCAGGTGGTGAGTGTGGCAGCAGGAGCAGTGAGAAGCAGCTGCAGAGCCACCCTGGACAGAAGAACCATAGACGATACTTCATAGTTTGAAGGAAGGGTGGTTCCCAGTGGTACAGAAGTTGCTCCATACAGTCTGTCATATATACAGCTAGATTCAAGCTATGAATAGAAAGCTTTTCCATAGGCCGGGCGCGGTGGCTCACGCCTGTAATCCCAGCACTTTGGGAGGCCGAGGCGGGCGGATCACGAGGTCAGGAGATCGAGACCATCTCGGCTAAAACGGTGAAACCCCGTCTCTACTAAAAATACAAAAAAATTAGCCGGGCGTAGTGGCGGGCGCCTGTAGTCCCAGCTACTTGGGAGGCTGAGGCAGGAGAATGGCGTGAACCCGGGAGGCGGAGCTTGCAGTGAGCCGAGATCCCGCCACTGCACTCCAGCCTGGGTGACAGAGCGAGACTCCGTCTCAAAAAAAAAAAAAAAGAAAGCTTTTCCATAGAGAGAGTTCAGTTTATAGAAAAGGCTAACTACCGAACTTGGAGAATAGACAAATGTGCATTTAATAACTTATGTAACAATTACAATGTGCTGAGTAGAGGATATAAAATTATAATTCCATTCCAATTAAATAAATACTTTGTTAATTTTCATTCTTTGGGAAAGTTTCCAAGTTGAAGAGAAAACATTCCTACTGCTTCCTATCTTAGAAGAAAACTATTTACGTTTCTGGAAAAACCTAAATTTTCACTTTTGTATCATGACACCACCATATAAGTTTTCTCACAATAAACGTGTCAGGTAGAGTAGCAAAGTGGTAAGTAGAGAAACGCACCAGTGTGGTACCCAGTGAAAGGTGGTGTCTGGACAGTCAGTGCTTTCTGGAACTCTGGACTGACAACTAGGAAGTGTTGAAGTGACTGAAAAGATAAAGATCACAAGTACAGCATGGTCAAAAGAGAGATTGAGAATATCTGTGTCCATGGAAAAGGATGTATTCTGGAAGTTTCCAGGTATAACAAGAGGATGAAACTCCATATCCGCATTTCTTCTGGATCACTCTTGGAGCACTAAAGCAGATAACCAATTTAGTGGTAACATACATATTCTAACAGGGGACTGATTTTAAGACTGATTTCATTTCATTGCTCTTATGTTAAAGAGCCTTAAAGGGACATCACCTACCAGATCCAAGCTTTGCCAGCTTATCTTTCCCCATGATCAGCTCCTATCTATCAGCTGACAGTTCTACCCATGTGACCCAGTGCTCTTCTTCACACCTTCATGACTGCAATACTTTTCTCTGCAGCCCACATTGGAGGTCACATTTAATGCTCCACTTTCCTTGCAGCTCCTTCAAAGAATTTGTCACATATGAAATTTGGCACTTAACTTTACTACAAAATACCCAGGACATGGATTGCTATTCCTATTTCACCTTCATTAGCATGGAGAAAAGGCTATTTTCAATGTTCCACTGTCAGCAGCTGAGCCATGTCTTCCTGCTGTCACTCACCCTGCTGCTCTTGGATGGATGATATCCCTCTGGATTATATGCTCATTGAAGGCAGGAACAACTGTATTAAAAAATACATGCTTGCTGAAATTACTCCTAGATTTCTATATGAGTCTTACCTTTTTCTGCACCCATAGATCTGGGATTTAGTTTGTTTCAATATCAGTGCTGTATAACAGGTTAAGACATCATATTAGTTTGAACACTACCAATAGGGGAAATAGAACATAAACAGATGTGATGGGCAGCACATTAAATATGAATATTAAACTACCACAACCTTGAACAAACATCTTTATTTTAAAAATCAAATAAATGGTGTAAAAATGAAGGTAGTTATTTCACACAAGGTAAAAAGACAAAACTTAGAATTACTTGCTTAAAGTTAATTCAGAATGGAACAAAATTGTTCAAGTGCTCACCATTAGAACAGGTTGTATAACTTGATTTTCAATGGACATTACCTATTTTACAGTAAGATCTTATTATAGGAACAAGGAGACCATTCCCAGCCTCCTCTGGTGTATCACCTCGGACTCCAAAAATGCTGAGATTACAGGCATGATTCACCATGCCCAGGACAATTCCAAACATTTTATAAAAGTTCTGTGACTTCCTCCACTTTCCGTTCACCCACAAAACAAGCATTACTGAGAATTCCAATATATAGTACAAATAAAGCAACTGCTGTGACCAAAGTACCTACATTGATGTGAGTGTGTATTCATGTTCTGGTCAAATTTTACTTATTTAAATAGAGACCTTTGACACATCTAAAAGGCTGAGTATGAATGTTAATGTAATCCTGGCTTTTCTTTGACAACTCTCCTAAAAACTGCCTTACAGCTTTTTGCAAGGATGAATATCAATGATTTACTCTATGAGGGAAAGGAAATAATCAGCAGGACCACTATTCCTAGCCACTGGCAGAAGCCTATATGCAACACTTAGCACTGCACACATCTTTCCTTGGCTTCTTGAGTACTACTGTGTATACTGCCTATACATTTTTATAACATCTCTAAATGTATAAATGAATTAATGTGAAGGTATGTGCTATTACATTTCATTCCCAACTGCAGAATATGTTAGTTTTAAATCTATCTACAAAATCTTGACTGTGACATTTGTTTTTGGATTGTTACATTAAAATCAACCACCTGGGACTGTCACCGTGGCTCATGCCTGTACACTCAGGGCTTTGGAAAGCAGAGGCGGATAAATCACCTAAGTTCAGGAGTTCAAGATCTGTCTAGCTAACATGGTGAAACCACGTCTCTACTAAAAATACAAAAATTAAGCACGCATGGTGTTGGGGCCTGTAGTCTCAGCTACTCCAGAGACTGAGGCAGGAGAGTCACTTGAGCCCAGGAGGCAAACTTTGCAATGAATCAAGATCATGCCATTGCACCCCGGCCTGGACAACAAAGCAAGACTTAATCACAGCAACAACAAAATCACAAATTAACGAACAAACCAAACAAACAAGTGGCACCATTCTTCTTGAATGACTATTTGATCATAGAAAACTCAATTCCTGCCAGTTCATGGTCTTTATTAATAGCACAGCAACTTATTTGAAAGTAGATGGAGGGGGTGGAGCCAAGATGGCTGAATAGGAACAGCTCCAGTCTACAGCTCCCAGCGTGAGTGACGCAGAAGACAGGTGATTTCTGCATTTCCAAGTGACGTACCGGGTTCATCTCACTGGGGAGTGTCATAAAGTGGGTGCAGGACAGTGGATGCAGTGCAGTGAGTATAAGCCGCAGCAGGGCAAGGCATTACCTCACCCAGGAAGTGCAAAGGGTCAGGAAATTCCCTTTCCTAGTCAAAGAAAGGGGTGACAGACGGCACCTGGAAAATTGTGTCACTCCCACCCTAATACTGTGCTTTTCCAATGGTCTTACCAAACAATACACCAGGAGATTATATCCTGCACCTGGCTCGGAGGGTCCTACACCCTTGGAGACTCACTCATGGCTAGCACAGCAGTCTGAGATCAAACTGCAAGGCGGCAGCAAGGCTGGAGGAGGGGCGCCTACCATTGTGAGGCTTGAGTAGGTAAACAAAGCGGCCAGGAAGCTTGAATTGGGGGGAGCCCACCGCAGATCAAGGAGGCCTGCCTGCCTCCGTAGACTCCACCTCTAGGGGCAGGGCATTGCCAAACAAAAAGCAGCAGAATCCTCTGCAGACTTAAATGTCCCGGTCTGACAGCTTTGAAGAGAGTAGCGGTTCTCCCAGCACACAGCGTGAAATCTGAGAAAGGACAGACAGCCTCCTCAAGTGGCTCCCTGAACCTTGGGTAGCCTAACTGGGAGGCACCCCCCAGTAGGTGCAGACTGACACCTCGCAAGGCCAGGTACTCCTCTGAGACAAAACTTCCAGAGGAATGATCAGGCAGCAACATTTGCTGTTCACCAATATCCACTGTTCTGCAGCCTCCGCTGCTGATACCCAGGCAAACAGGGTCTGGATTGGACCTCCAACAAACTCCAACATACCTGCAGCTGAGGGTCCTGACTGTTAGAAGGAAAAATAACAAACAGAAAGGACATCGATACCAAAACCCCATCAGTACATCACCATCATCAAAGACCAAAGGTAAATAAAACTACAGAGATGGGGAAAAAACAGAGCAGAAAAATTGGAAACTCTAAAAATCAGAGTGCCTCTCCTCCTCCAAAGGAACACAGCTCCTCACCAGCAATGGGACAAAGCTGGACAGAGAATGACTTTGACGAGTTGAGAGAAGAGGGCTTCAGATGATCTAAGCTAAAGGAGGAAGTTCAGACCCATGGCAAAGAAATCAAAAGTGCTGAGAAAAAAATTAGATGAATGGCTAACTAGAATAACCAAAGCAGAGAAGTCCTTAAAGGACCTGATGGAGCTGAAAACCATGCATGAGAACTACGAGAAGAATGCACTAGCCTCAGTAGCTTATTCAATCAACTAGAAGAAAGGGTATCAGTGATGGAAGATCAAATGAGTGAAATGAAGCGAGAAGAGAAGCTTAGAAAAAAAAAAGAATGAAAAGAAATGAAAAAAAGCCTCCAAGAAATGTGGGACTATGTGAAAAGACCAAATCTACATCTGACTGGTGTACCTGAAAGTGATGGGGAGAATGGAACTAAATTGGAAAATACTCTGCAGGATATTATCCAGGAGAACTTCCCCTATCTAGCAAGGCAGGCCAACATTCAAATTCAGAAAATACAGAGAACGCCACAGACATACTCCTCAAGAAGAACAACTCAAAGGCACATAATTGTCGTATTCACCAAAGTGGAAATGAAAGAAAAAATGTTAAGGTCAGCCAGAGAGAAAGGTTGGGTTACCCACAAAGGGAAGCCCATCAGATTAACAGCTGATCTCTCAGCAGAAACTCTACAAGCCAGAAGAGAGTGGTGGCCAATATTCAACACTCTTAAATAAAAGAATTTTCAACCCAGAATTTCATATCCAGCCAAGCTAAGCTTCATAAGTAAAGGAGAAATAAAATCCTTTACAGACAAACAAATGCTGAGATATTTTGTCACCACCAGCCCTGCCTAAAAGAGCTCCTCAAGGAGGCACTAAACATGGAAAGGAACAACTGGTACCAGCCACTGAAAAAACATGCCAAATTGTAAAGACCATTGAGGATAGGACGAAACTGCATCAACTAATGCACAAAATAACCAGCTAACATCATAATGACAAGAGCAAATTCACACATAACTATATTAACCTTAAATGTAAAAGGGCTAAATTCTCCAATTCAAAGGCACAGACTGGCAAATTGGATAGAGTCAAGTCCCATCAGTATGCTGTATTCAGGAAACCCATCTCACATGCAGAAACACATATGGGCTCAAAATAAATGGATGGAGGAATATCCACCAAGCAAATGAGAAACAAAAAAAGGCAGATGTTGCAATCCTAGTCTCTGATAAAACAGACTTTAAACCAACAAAGATCAAAAGATAAAAAGAAGGCCATTACATAATGGTAAAGGGATCAATTCAACAAAAAGAGCTAACTCTCCTAAATATATATGCACCCAATACAGGAGCACCCAGATTCACAAAGCAAGTCCTTACTGACCTACAAAGAGACTTAGACTCCCAAACAATAATAATGGGAGACTTTAACACCCCACTGTCAACACAAGACAGATCAAAAAGTCAGAAAGTTAACAAGAATATCTAGGAATTGAACTCAGCTCTGCACCAAGCAGACCTAATAGACCTCTACAGAACTCTCCACACCAAATCAACAGAGTATACATTCTTCTCAGCACCACATTGCACTTATTCAAAAATTGACCACATAGTTGGAAGTAAAGCACCCCTCAGCAAATGTGAAACAACAGAAATTATAACAAACTTTCTCTCAGACCACAGTGCAATCAAACTAGAACTCAGGATTAAGAAACTCACTCAGAACTGCTCAACTACATGGAAACTGAAAAACCTGCTCCTGAATGACTACTGGGTACATAACAAAATGAAGGCAGAAATAAAGATGTTCTTTGAAACTGATGAGAAAAAAGACACAACATACCAGAATCTCTGGGACACATTCATAGCAGTGTGTAGAGGGAAATTTATAGCACTGAATGCCCAAAAGAGAAAGCAGGAAACATCTACAATTGACACCCTAACATCACAATTAAAAGAACTAGAGAAACAAGAGCAAACACATTCAAAAGCCAGCAGAAGGCAAGAAATAACTAAGATCGGAGCAGAACTGAAGGAAATAGAGACAGAGAAAACCCTTCGAAAAATCAATGAATACAGGAGCTGGTTTTTTGAAAAGATCAACAAAATCGATAGACTGCTAGCAAGATTAATAAAGAAGAAAAGAGAGAAGAACCAAATAGACACAATAAAAAATGATAAAGGGGATATCACCACTGATCCCACAGAAATATGAACTACCATTAGAGAATACTATAAACATGTCTACGCAAATAAACTAGAAAATCTAGAAGAAATGGATAAATTCCTTGACACATACACCCTCCCAAGACTAAACCAGGGAGAAGCTGAATCTCTGAATAGACCAAAAACAGGCTCTGAAATTGAGGCAATAATTAACAGCTTACCAACCAAGAAAAGTACAGGACCAGATGGATTCACAGTGTAATTCTACCAGACGTACAAGGAAGAGCTGATACCATTCCTTCTGAAATTATTCCAATCAATAGAAAAAGAGGGAATCCTCCCCAATTCATTTTATGAGGTCAGCATCATCCTGATACCAAAGCCTGGCAGAGACACAACAAAAAAAGAGAATTTTAGACCAGTATCCTTGATGAATATTGATGCAAAAGTCCTCAATAAAATACTGGCAAACCAATTCCAGCAGCACATCAAAAAGCTTATCTACCATGATCAAGTGGGCATCATCCCTGGAATGCAAGGCTGCTTCAACATACGCAAAACAATAGACATAATCCAGCATATAAACAGAACCAAAGACAAAAAACATATGATTATCACAATAGATGCAGAAAAGGCCTTTGACAAAATTCAGCAATGCTTAATGCTAAAAACTCTCAATAAATTAGGTATTGATGGGACAGATCTCAAAATAATAAGAACTATTTATGACAAACCCACAGGCAATATCATAGTGAGTGGGCAAAAACTGGAAGCATTCCCTTTGAAAACTGGCACAAGACAGGCATGCCCTCTTTCACCACTCCTATTCAACATAGTGTTGGAAGTTCTGGCCAGGGCAATTAGGCAGGAGAAGGAAATAAAGGGTATTCAATTAGGAAAAGAGGAAGTCAAATTGTCCCTGTTTGCAGATGACATGATTGTACATCTAGAAAACCCCATCGTCTCAGCCAAAAATCTTCTTAAGATGATAGGCAACTTCGGCAAAGTCTCAGGATACAAAATCAGTGTGCAAAAATCACAAGCATTCTTATACACCAATAACAGACAAACAGAGAGCCAAATGATGAGTGAACTCCCATTCACAATTACTTCAAAGAGAATAAAATACCTAGGAATCCAACTTACAAGGGATGTGAAGGGCCTCTTCAAGGAGAACTACAAACCACTGCATAATGAAATAAAAGAGAATACAACCAAATGGAAGACCATCCCTTGCTCATGGGTAGGAAGAATCAACATCGTGAAAATGGCCATACTGCCTAAAGTAATTTGTAGATTCAATGCCATCCACATCAAGCTACCTATGACTTTTTTCACAAAATTGGAAAAAACTACTTTAAAGGTCATATGGAACCAAAAATAGCCCGCATTGCCAAGTCAATCCTAAACCCAAAGAACAAAGCTGGAGGCATCACGCTACCTGACTTCAAACTATTCTATAAGGCTACAGTAACCAAAACAGCATGGTACTGGTACCAAAACAGAGATATAGACCAATGGAACAGAACACAGACCTCAGAAATAATGCTGCATGTCTACAACCATCTGAAATTTGACAAACCTGTTTTGCTTTTTTAACAAAAACAAAACAACCAAAACCTTGTTTTGTTTTTTTAACAAAAACAAGAAATGGGGAAATGATTCCCTTTTTAAGAAGTGGTGCTGGGAAAACTGGCCAGCAATATGTAGAAAGCTGAGACTGGATCCCTTCGTTACATCTTATACAAAAATTAATTCAATATGGATTAAATACTTAAATTATAGACCTAAAACCATAAAAAACCCTAGAAGAAAACCTAGGCAATAACATTCAGGACATTGGCATGGGCAAGGACTTCATGTCTAAAACAACAAAAGCAATGGTAACAAAAGTCAAAATTGACAAAAGGGATCTAATTAAACAAAAGAGCTTCTGCACAGCAAAAGAAACTTCCATCAGAGTGAACAGGCAACCTACAGAATGGGAGAAAATTTTTGCCATCTACTCATCTGACAAAGGGCTAATATCCAGAATCTACAATGAACTCAAACAAATTTACAAGAAGAAAACCAACAACCCCATCAAAAAGTGGGTGAAGGACATGAACAGACACTTCTCAAAAGAAGACATTTATACAGCCAAAAAGCACATGAAAAAATGCTCACCATCACTGGCCATCAGAGAAATGCAAATCAAAACCACAGTGAGATACCATCTCACACCAGTTAGAATTGTGATCATTAAGAAGTCAGGAAACAACAGGTGCTGGAGAGGATGTGGAGAAATAGGAACACTTTTACTCTGTTGGTGGGACGGTAAACGCGTTCAACCATTGTGGAAGTCAGTGTGGCAATTCCTCAGGGATCTAGAACTAGAAATACCGTTTGACCCAGCCATCCCATTACTGGGTATATACCCAAAGGATTATAAATCATGCTGCTATAAAGACACATGCACACGTATGTTTATTGCAGCACTATTCACAATAGCAAAGACTTGGAACCAACCCAAATGTCCAACAATGATAGACTGGATTAAGAAAATGTGGAACATATACAGCATGGAATATTATGCAGCCATAAGAAATGATGAGATTATTTCCTTTGTAGGGACATAGATGAAGCTGGAAACCATCATTTTCAGCACATTATAACAAGGACAAAAATCCAAATAGCGCATGTTCTCACTCATAGGTGGGAATTGAACAATGAGAACACCTGGACACAGGAAGGGGAACATCACACACCGGGGCGTGTTATGGGGTGGGGGAGGCGGAGAGATAGCATTTGGAGATATATCTAATGTTAAATGACCAGTTACTGGGTGCAGCACACCAACATGGCACATGTATACATATGTAACTAACCTGCACGTTGTGCACATGTACCTTAAAACTTAAAATATAATTAAACAAAAAGAATATAGATGGAAACATTTCAGATTAAATTTTAATTAGTTTTCCCTTATGTAGGCTGCTTCTTTGCTATCTTTATGGTTCCCTGATGAAATCAACTATGAACACTAAGAGGGAAAACATGAAAACAATTTGCCTTCACAATATTCTACAAATAACTATTGTAAGTTGTGTTCCTAAATACCCATTCAACTCGCTGTGAAGACTTGCCTGCCAAGGGAGTTGACAGACACAGTTCTTATGAGAAAACGCAGTCTGAAACGTAAGCTGTGCAGCCTAAGTGGGTTACTTGAAAAGGCCAGTTTCCTGACAAAGATCAAATCTTTTTTTCCATCATCAGATTTTTAAAATTATAGAACATGACTTACTTTTATATGTTAATCATGAACATCAGTAAGGAAGTGATTTATTCCATCTTCTTGCCTTATGCCATGAAGCATAATAAATCTCATATGTGACATAATTAAGGCAATATTTTTCTTAGAAGTAAAAAACAAAAAGCAACCAGTTCATTGATACAATATTCTTCAAATTAGTCACACTCCATGTATTTCTGATGGAAGACTTGAATACATTAACTGGGTTCAAAATTAGCTTAGTTTTACCAGAAAAAGAATATAAGCATTCTAAGTAAAAAAAGAAAAAAGCTAAAAGTAATGTAACATCAACCTTGATATGAATCAGATAAACTCTTTGGGGGTATGAGACTTAGTTTAATCATTAGCTGTTCAACAAAATATTTTCTCCCCTAATAAAACAAAGTAGTCCCATAAATGGAAACTTTTACATTCATACAAATTTTGAAGCACACAGACTCAGAGCCAGGCATCTGTGTTCCATGTTCCTCTAGTTTGTAAACCCAAACTTTAGTTAATTATCTTTACTAAAAAGGGAAAAAGGTATGCTCTGCAGTAATGAGTGCTGGCACAAACCAGTTATTGGACTTGTCCACACTTTTCAAGTACATGTTGTTCAAAAGCCACATGTTCTCGTCTATGAGGTCAAGAGCAGCATGAGCTATGAACTGGTGCAGACAGTGACGGTTGTCATAAATGACAGTGTGAGCAATAACAGATTAATGTATCCTTATGGAATGAAGAATGCCGACATTTCATTCTGTAAATTCTATAGATGGTTTTCTTGCGCAGAAAAAAAAAGTTTGATTTTGCTTTGTTTGTTATTTTCAAGAGACATAAAAGAGATCTGTTTTCACATTATATGGAATTATTTTTTAAAAAATATAGTTTTAAAATAACACCTCAGTTACGGGTGGAAGTGTATTCTCTTCAAAATTCTTTTGTTGATGTCCTAAGTGACAGTACCGCAGAGTGTGGCCTCATTTGGAAGGATAGGTTACATGTATATATGGTTATTTTAGATTAGGTCATTTTAGGGTAGGGTGAGCCTCTAATAAAACCACTCATGTACTTAGTAAAAAAAGGAACATTTGGATATGCACAAAGGGAGAAAAATGACACAGAAAGACTGGAGTTACACTGCTACAAGCCAGGGAACTTCCAGAAACTGGGAGAGAAACTGAACAGATTCTTACCTTAAGACCTGCATAGGAATCTTGTCACCACTGATATCTTGATTTTAGACAGTGGCCCTCAGAAATGAGGAAATACATTTCTGATGTCCAAAGCCACTACACTTTTGGTACTTTGTTACAACAGCCACAGGAAACAGAGACAGCCTCCTTGCCAAAGAAGCTGTTCCCAATCTTGGGCTGGAGGAGGGTAGCCCATTTTCCCAAAATCCCTCGGACATCTAAAGCATGCTTCACTTCACTCACATTGTCATGACAAACCTAAGTGAATCTTTAGATAAATGGATCTCTTCGTGTCTCGATCAAGCAGTGGTTTCTTTTACAATGATGATCAATTCTGAAAGATTAGAAGCAAATTGTGAAAATGCTTTAACAAGGTGAATGGTAGCAGGAGAAAGAATTAAAATCAATATATGCAACAAATTATTTTTATGTCTGCTCCTTTCTCCACAACAGGGCCAGTGGAATGCACAGAAATTATATACAAGTAGCTGCATCCTAGAAAGCAATACTGCTACAAGTACTCAAAACAAGTTTTAATGAGCAGTGTTCTCATAATATGAGAAAGTAATGCCACAATAATACCTGGCACATAATCCTGTCTACCATATTTTGGTGACAAGTCCTGAATAGTTAAAAAGTATCACCCACTTAAACATTATACATTGCAAGTAACTTACAATATCACTTCCTCAAATGTCATTAAAGCTGACTTGTGTGCTTGAGAGAAACAGTGCAAACATGCCAGCAATGTATTAGAAACATAAATTGGAAAGGACTGGGCTCTTCTCACGTCAAAAATCTATGGGCTGGTTTACTCTGAATAATAACATGTTCTCGAGCCAAGCCTGGTTTCTGGAAACATTCTTGACAAAAAAAGGTGTCATCATCTCTGGTACTGCTTTTGCGCTTCCTGTGCATTGCCAAGGTAGTCACTGGGGATGTAAGCATACATGAATCACCCAGTCAGGAAGTGCTGCTGAGGGTCACTGAGGGTCTTTTTTAACCCCGAAGGTCCTGATGAAAAACATGATTCATGAAAACTGCCTGAATTTTAATGGATGGAACACAATAGGTCCTGATGAAAAATATGATTCATGAAAACTGCCTGAACACTGATGGATGACATTTCAAAGCCACAACTTGCTACAGGTGGACTAGGGTTTTAAGTGTTCAAGTGGCAGCAATTCATGATGGATGACATAATGAACTGAACATCATGGGAAAGTCAGAGGTCATGCTAGTCTGTGCTGAATTAAAGTATAAATAAACAACTCCCAGGATATGCCCTGGTTGACTGCTATCAGTCTCTGGGACTCCAGTGCAAGCCTCATTTAATTGTGCTGGATTTCATTTACCTCCTCTGTCCAGATCTTCCAGTTCTAAAATCATATTACACTATATCGTTACAATGGAATAAAAATTCCTATGAAAACTAAGCTTCCACATGCACTTTGGATTCTGCCTTCCCAGCTCGCAAAAACTCCATTTCAAAAAGTGGATTATCATGGTGGCCAACAATTACAAAGTAGAAGCTCCTAGACATGGTCTTCAATATATGGCTCCTAATGAAGCAAAAAATAGTGCATATTTTTAGCAGTCAATATTGAAATTCAAAGATGACCAATGGGAAATGTAAAATTCTTCTTTTGTTTTGCTTTCTAACTTAAACCTGAAATACGCCAGTAAGCTTGTCACCATTCCCCACATACTAGTGAAGATGCATGACTTCTGGAATAAACAAATGATATAATTGTGATATTTCTTATAGAATCCTATGTATTTCCATAAGAAAACCAGAAGACCTCTAACATAACATCACAGACAATATTCTCACGATCTGAATGTATGGCACATTCAACTGAAAGGACCCTGAGTGTCTGGTGGAGTAAGCTAGGCTTCACTTGGACTGGAGCAGTTAGCACCAGCACTGACACTTAGAAGATTTAACAGAGGTAGATGGTAAGTTAAGGATCATAAAGAGTGGTGAGAAGATGAAGAAACTAATTAGCTTGCCTTAGAAATTTCCATAAGGCATCTGTTGGGGGAAGCTAAAATCAGCTTTCTCTCATGTGACTTACCTAGAAAAGTGAGGCAATGCAGCACTTTGTGCTCTATTTTTTTCTTTCTAACTGAACTATGTGTGTTATAAATACATGTCCGTGCTAATAAAAGAGACTATGATATGCCTCTTGATACACCAATTTATAAGAAAGGAAGTTTTCTATTCTATAAAGGATGAAAGAAATGATAGATAAAGGAAAATATTCTGAGGTACTGAGAGATCTTACAAAGAAGTTTAACAGATTGGGACAGGTGTAATGGCTCATGCCTGTAATCCCAGCATTTCAGAAGGCTGAGGCAGACAGTCTGTTGGAGTCCAGGAATTTGAGACCAGCCAAGGCAACAGCATGAAAGAAGAAACACTTCTCTACAAAAAAATACATCTCTACAGAAATACTAAAATTTCTGGGCATTGTGGTGTCTGCCTGTAGTCCCAGCTACTCTGGAGCCTGACAGGAGAGAATTACATGACACAACAGTAAGCTGAACTATCCTGCCTCAAACAAGAACAACAACAACAACAACAAACAGATTCGCAAAAGAAATAAACTCATGAGAAACGCTGGAAAAATTACAAGTGATTCCTTGGCTTCTAGCACAGATAATGAAAATATAGATGAAAGACGGATGGGAGGGAACATGGATGGATATACTCAATGGTAACCCCACTGTGTGTATTTTTAACTCAAGAGGATTGAAATAAAAAAAAGTTAGGTTCTATGTAGCTCTGCTACTTACTTGCAATGTTACCACAGGGAGCACTTAACCTATTGTTGGCTTTCTTCTTTATGGAATAGTAGTAACTTTGTAGCACCTTACAGTAAAGTACCCAGCACAGTGTCTGACTCACAGGACATGCTCAATTAATATTTTCTAGAATAACATGGAAGGCCAAATGCAAACTGAGAAGTGGTGACTGGTAAAATTCTCAACATGGGGTGGATATCAAGTAAGCGAGGAGTTAGTCAAACTCCTGGAAGATACATCTGAGGTGGGTTAGAAACCAAGGCTCATCAAGCCTCACTGGATCTTCTCCTGATTCACGTACACAAAACGGAATCAGAAGAAACATGATATGCATGTGCTAATGAATGATGCATTTCATAAATAAAATCAAGGCACAGCTGGCAGCTTTAACTTTAGAATTGGAGGGTTATGACTGTAGAAGGAAAGGCAAATAGAAGACTCTGGGCATGATGAAGTAGGATTTAAAATATCATGTGAGATGGGGGACTATAGCCTTGTTCACTTTCTCACTACCATCTAAGGTGCTCTCACCCTTCAAAGGCAGAGTTAAGTACCTGCAATCAGGTTATCCCACAGAGCCAACAATATTCACTATCTGGTCTTCCAAGGAAAACCTTTGCCCCTGCTTTAGAAAACAGATGAAAAACAGATTGAGGAAGAAAAATTGGGTAACAAAGACAAGCAAGAATGATACAAAAGCCGTGAAAAACTAGAGGAATTGGCAATAATTCTCCAGGGAAGGTTATGGGAGAAAGGATGGGCAGTGGAAAATTGAATAAAGTAAATAATGATATCATGAATTATTACTGGGCTAAATTTTAGAGCTGAAGTTTGCCAAAAGAAGTGCTTGTTACCTTCTTCTGCACAAGCATTGAAGCAGCAGTGCTAAAAAGAAGGGGGGCAAATGTGTGTGTTTGTGTGTGGGTGGTTTGCATGTGTGTGTGGGTGTGGATGTAGAAGTGTCAGTGTGTGTGTAAGGGAGATAACATGCATCCCCACACTCAGCCCTATATGAAAAGCCACAAATGGGTGAGCAGCATGGTGCTAAATCAGCAGGAGGACAGACAGAAGGGAACTCAAAGAACAATTGCATGATGGTGCTGTTATCAACTACACAGATGGGCAGAAGATCAGACGGAGTTTACTTTATATACATTCCATGTTTATCGTAAGTTGTCAGTTTGGTTTTCCTTTTGTAAACAGCTGAAGAAGCAAGAAGGCTATAGTTTTTCAGTCAATTTTGCAAAGAAAAACTGTCAGGTGAAGTGGGAGAATTTGAAACCCTGGGAGAAAATGACACCGTTGTCACAGAAAGGGAAGGGAATAGCTGCAACACTTAGCAAATACTTGAGGGTATGGGACAAAGGTGAGACACACATTAGGATTCTGCACTGTCCAATCTGTGGAACTTTCTCCAAGGATGCAAATGTACACCTGTGTTGTCCAATATGAAAGCCAGCAAGTATTAGAAATGTGGCTACTGTAACTGTAGAACTGAATTTTAATTAAAGAAGAAGAGCCACATGAGGATAGTGGCTATGTAATAGAAAGCACAGGTTTAGATAGAAGATTCCAAGACAGTGGCATGATCTTGGCTTACTGCAAATTCCACCTCCCAAGTTCAGGAGATTCTCCTGCCTCCGCCCTCCTGAGTAGCTGGGATTAATGGCATGCACCATCATGCCAGGGTAAATTTTGTAATTCTAGTAGAGACAGGGTTTTGCCATACTGCCCAAGCTGGTCTTGAACTCCTGGCCTCAAGAGATCTCCAGACCTCAGCCTCCCAAAGTGCTGAGATTACAGTCATGAGCCACCATGCTCAGCCCAATTTCAACTTTTTAAAATAAAATTTCTGTGATATCTCCATATTTCCTTCACCAACAAAACAAGTGTTACTTAGAATTCCAACACATAATGCAAATAAAGCAACAGCCATGACTGACATACCTGCATTGGCATGAATGTGTATTCATGGTCTTCTCGATTTTTCTGTTGCTTTAAATAAGGGCCTTTGAAGAATCTCCAAGGAACACTTGTCCCAGAGGCCCTGAGGACGTAGCTACATAGAATTAGATAATAGATTAAATTGGGAAATGGAGGACAAGAGGAGAATCTAAGATAGTTTTCAAATGTCTAGCTGAGAGGAACAAACAGATTGTGACCTCTCTTCTAAGATGCCCTCATCCAAATCTCTAAAACTTGTGAGTATGTGAGGGCTCATGGCAAAGAGAAATTAAGGTTGTTCAGCAGCTGACCTTAAGATAGGAAGATTGCCGAGGATCATGCAGCTTGATCAATGCCATTGGAACGACCTTAAATGTAGAAGATGGAAGCAAAAGAGGAAAGTCAGGGGGAAGTGACAGAAGAAGGAGAAAAGCAATGTGATGTTGATGGCTTTGAAAACAGAGGAAGGGGCTATGGCTAAAGAATGCAGCAGGCCCCTAGAAGCTAGAAAGTACAGGGAAACAAATTATCCTCTAGAGCCTCCAAGAGGAACACAGTCCTGTGCACACTTAGATTTTAGCTGAACAAGACCTCTATTGGACTCGTATGTTACAGAAGTGTAAGATGATACACTTGTATTAAGCCACTAAATTTGTAATAATTTGTTACAGTGGCCTATTGTTCCACCTTCGCTAGAGTTTTGTCATTTACTTTTTTTGCCCCCAAATCCACCTTGACTGTATCCACTTCAGAGTTACTACTGTTTCTGTCATCATCCCTGGAATGTTCTCCCTGATTCTGCCTGCAGCCTTTACCTATTTTTTAAAATTCAACTAAGTTTCTCCTCCTCCTCAATTATTTCCAACAAAAGCCTACACATTCTCCACGTGCTAAGAAGTCCTGTCACTCATACTGCTTCTTAAAGACTTTAAGTTTTTCACAGCCAGTGATCAAAACTCATTGTACACTTTTTCAATGTCATGTACAAAGGTGTCACTGATCAAATTTTGTCCTCACAGGGCTTAGATAGTTTCTCAGGCTTATATTTCCAGCATACAACTCTGGACTCGGGGTAGATTCCTCACTGCCCCCAGAAGGTCTTGGATTTTTGTTTGTTTGTTTTATTTGTTTTTTATTCCTTTGCTCATTTTCCCTCCCCTGCAAAGCTCTTCTTTTAGTGCACCACGCAAATCCTATGCATCAAGGTCCTGATGAGTTTACACTTTTTCTGAGAGATGATCTGGATCACTTCCATCTTCAACCACCTCCCCTTTAAACTCTTTACTCAGTTTATAATGTGATCTTAGCACTTGCTCAATTCTCTAGCTGTAATATTTTCATTATTGCTTCTGAGAGGTTTGGTTCCTTTTCTTTTTAATTAATGTAAGCGTCATGAGGTCAGGCTCATCTTTCCTCACAACACACAACGGTGGCTACTCAGAAAAAATTAGCTCTGTGGATCTCAATTCTGAGACATCTTGCTTCCAAGAGGACATCTGACAATGTCTGGAGACATTTTTGGTTGTCTCGCTTGGGGGAGAAGGTGCTATTGACAAAATAGAGACCGAGGACACAGCTAAATCTACAATGCCCAGGACAGCCCCCAAAACATCTGCTGGCTCCAAAAGGCAACAGTGGCTTCATTAAGAAACCCTGGGTCAGGTGAATGTTCGACTGTCAACCGCGAAAGCAGACTCCAAAGAGGGCAGACACTTGCAGGTGGAAGTGCTTAGAGCATGGATGAGCCGGTCAGGACGTGGCAGATCTGATCTGGCTACCCCAGGGAGGAGTGGAGATATGGCACCAGCCTGCGCCATCACGCAGGGCCAGTGAAGTCACGCAGGGCCAGTGAAGTCCCACAGGGACTCAAAACGCCTGTTTCGACTCACTCCATCCCCTACCTGCAGCGAGAGGCCGACGAGGGAAAGACAATCTAAGTCCAGCTGTGGAGTCCCGCGCTCCACTGCTTCAGCCACATTTCCCCGGGGGCAGTTCTTTGGATACCCTGGATGTGCTCTCCCGAGATATGGGTGGAGCTTCTGTCGGGTGCTAGGCAACAAAGTGCATGCACCATGTCTCTTCAGACGGGAAGACTGTACTTTGTAGGTCTCCAGGAGGGGCAGGATGGGGTGTGAGGGCTGTAATCTCGCGGTCCTGCCTCACTGCTTTCCATCCCTAGTCTTTGGGTCCCAGCCCTCCAAGCGCCTTTGAATTGTGCCTAGGTCACGGTCCTCATCCATGCCTCAGAACCACGAAGAGAGGAGGCTCACATGCTTGATAGAAAACCTATTTGGGACTGTGAGATTGAGAGTGTTAAGCACCCTTGCTCCTCACCTGGGACAGAGGCATGTCTCTGAGGCCAGGGATTCCCCCTCATCTTGGCCTTGCAGCCTGGACTGGGCAGTCAACTCGGCCCATAGCGGGGCCAGTGAGGCGGCTTGGGAGGCAGCTAGTGACTGGAGGAAGCTGGCGCCTGATGACTCAGGAATACACAACTGCCCCTCATCGGGGACAAGTAGAAATGAAGTATTGTTGATAGTCCTTAATACCCCTTTCCCTGCTAGGCCACTCAGGGTGTCCCCAGAGACCAGTGATCTTTTTTCCGTCGTTCACCTTTCCTCTATCCCCCAGGTAACCTGTAACCATTTTGTCTTCTAGTCCACCTTTCTCCCCATGTCTGACGTGTTGAGTCAAAATAAGCTGCACAGAAAGCTACACAGAATGTTGAAGGATTGGGGTGTACAGGGTACACTCAAGTATCAGATGTACGTTCATTTGCTCCATAACTTTTAAAAGTGTAACCTGTAAAAAGTAGTTCACATTTAAATTCATCCAATGTTTGGGTTTCAAAAGTCTATCCTGAAATATTACGGTCTCTTTGAAACTATTGAGAAAATGTTGCATTTGAGTCGACCTAAAGGAGAATGTTCAAATAATTAATTGAACCAACAATAAAATAGCCGAAAGCATTTATATAATGAACACATTTTAGTAAAATTAGGCCTGTTTTATAAATCTGGCTTACAGATTCCTAAACTAACAAGTGGGTTAGTAATACATTTGGATGAGGGACATTCACACCATGTAGAAAACACTAGTGTGCTGTTTTAATAGTTTGAGGAATGAACATTTTCATCTTTAAACTATGTAATGTGACTGAATATTTAACTTGAGCAGCAAATATCTGTAGATATACTTTATATTTTGATTAACAGCTAGAAATAGGATTAGCTCAACGTATTTTTATTGCAATATGCATTTAAAAAGCATATTTTACTTTTAAAATATGTAGATATATCCAGTGTATATGTCATTTTTAAACTTATGGTGTTTAAACTATTTTATGGTGTTTAAACATTTTAAACTATATGGTGTGAGCATTTCTCTGTTTCCTTAGAATTTTCTTGAAATCCTCATTTTTAGAGGTAAGAGACTTATCTTTGGATATTTTTGTAACATACAAACAGTCCCTTGCTGTCGAATATTTTGGTTATATTTTCCAACAGTCCACAGAAGTGTGATGAACTGGCAGAATTTTTCCTCATACTTTGTATCTCAAGCGTAAGCTTCTGAAATCACCTTCTAGGGAAGTTAAGAGTCTGCAAATGGGTCTGGCTAACCATCAGTTTCACTTGGAAGCTGAGGAAAGAAACATTTTTCTAGAACACACTGGCCTTCTTGTCTATGGGGTAAGAGTTTTGCAGGGGAAGTTTCCTAACTTCTGGATGTGGATCTAGAAACATTATGGAAATAAAAGGAAGATTTCCAATGAATGTAACACATCTGTGTATATCTCTACTGAGAAAATCCTACTGATTTTTTTTTACCTTAACTGACTGACTGACTTCCTTCCTTCCTTCTTTCTCCTTCCTTTCTTCCTTTCTCCTTTCCTCTTTCTCCCTTCCTCCCTTCTTTCTTCCTTCCTTCTTTTCTTTCTTTTTTTTTTCCTTTCTTTCTTCCTTCCTCCCTTGCAAGACACAAATTCAAAACCAGCTAATTCATGAGTTGATGCACCTTGTATTGAATGGAGAATAGTAGCTTCAGTCCATTTCAATGCAAGGGAACTCCCTCTTACTAAAAGCCTCTAACTCTTTAGTGGCCGATCACCAACAAAGATGTGGCTATGAGTCTTCGCTTTCTGTTTTCTTTCCAGAAATTGGTTTGGCAAAATAAAAGGTAATGTACTTCCTGTTCAGTTTTGAACATTTTTTATGTATCTTCTACTTTATTTTATGATTTTTTGGTTATAATTTAGGTTCTAGGGAACAAGTTCACAAAGTGCAGATTTGTTACATATGTATACACATGCCATGTTGGTGTGCTGAACTCATTAACTCATCATTTACACTAGGTATATCTCCTGATGCTATCCTTCCCCCTCCCGCCACCACACGACAGGCTTCAGTGTGTGATGTTCCCTTCCCTGTGTCCCAGTGTTCTCATTGTTCAATTCCCACCTATTAGTGAGAACATGTGGTATTTGGTTTTTTGTCCTTGTGACAGTTTGCTGAGAAGGATGGTTTCTGGCTTCATCCATGTCCCTACAAAGGACATGAATTCATCCTTTTTTATGGCTGAATAGTATTCCATAGTGTATATGTGCCACATTTTCTTATTCCAGTCTATCATTGATGGACATTTAGGTTGGTTCCAAGTCTTTGCTATTGCGTATAGTGCCTCAATAAACATATGTTGCATGTGTCTTTATAGCAGCATGATTTACAAACCTCTGGGTGTATATCTAGTAATAGGATGGCTGGGTCAAATGGTATTTCTAGTTCTAGATCCTTGAGGAATCACCACACCGTCTTCCACAATGGTTGGACCAGCTTACAGTCCCACCAGCAGTGTAAAAGTATTCCTATATCTCCACATCCTCTCCAGCACCAGTTGTTTCCTGACTTTTTAATGATTGCCATTCCAACTGGTGTGAGATATTATCTCATTGTGGTTTCATTTTGCATTTTTCTGATGGCCAGTGATGATGAGCATTTTTTCATGTGTATGTTGGCTGTATAAATGTCTTCTTCTGAGAAATGTCTGTTCATATCCTTTGACCAATTTTGATGGGGTTGTTTGTTTTTTTTCTTGTAAATTTCTTTGTGTTCTTTGTAGATTCTGGATATTAGCCCTGTGTCAGATGAGTAGATTGCAAACATTTTCTCCCCTTCTGTAGTTTGCCTGTTCACTATGATGGTAGTTTCTTTTGCTGTGCAGAAGCTCTTTAATTAGATCCCATTTGTCACTTATGGCGTTTGTTGCCATTGCTTTTGGTGTTTAGACATGCCCATGTCCTGAGTGGTATTGCCTAGGTTTTCTTCTAGGGTTTTTATGGTTTTAGATCTAACATTTAAGTCTTTAATCCATCTTGAATTAATTTTTGTATAAGGTGTAAGGAAGGGATCCAGTTTCAGCTTTCTACATATGGCTAGCCAGTTTTCCTAGCACCATTTATAAACTAGGGAATCTTTTCCCCATTTTTTGTTTTTGTCAGGTTTGTCAAAGATCAGATGGTTGTGGGTGTGTGGTATTATTTCTGAGGACTCTGTTCTGTTCCATTGGTCTGTATATCTGTTTTGGTACCAGTACTATACTATTTTGGTACCAGTGCTATACTGTTTTGTTTACTGTAGCCTTGTAGTGTAGTTTGAAGTCAGGTAGCATGATGCCTCCAACTTTGTTCTTTTGGCTTAGGATTGACTTGGCAATGCAGGCTTCTTTTTGGTTCCATATGAACTTTAAAGTAGTTTTTTCTAAATCTGTTAAGAAAGTCATTGATACCTGATGGGGATGGCATTGAATCTATAAATTACCTTGGCCAATATGGCCATTTTCACGATATTGATTCTTCCTATCCATGAGCATGGAATGTTCTTCCATTTGCTTGTATCCTCTTTTATTTTGTTGAGCAGTGGTTTGTAGTTCTCCTTGAAGAGTTCCTTCACATCTCTTATAAGTTGGATTCCTAGGTACTTTATTCTGTTTGAAGCAATTGTGAATGGGAATTCACTCATGATTTGGCTCTCGGTCTGTTATTGGTGTCTAAGAACGCTTGTGATTTTTGCACATTGCTTTTGTATCTTGAGACTTTGCTGAAGTTGCTTATCAGCTTAAGGAGATTTTGGGCTAAGATGATGTAGTTTTCTAGATATACAATCATGTCATCTGCAAACTGGGACAATTTGACTTCCTCTTTTCCTAATTGAATACCCTTTATTTCCTTCTCCTGCCTGATTGCCCTGGCCAGAACTTCCAACACTATGTTGAATAGGAGTGGGGAGAGAAGGCTTGCCTGTCTTGTGCCGGTTTTCAAAGGGAATGCTTCCAGTTTTTGCCCATTCAGTATGATATTGGCTGTGGGTTTGTCATAAATAGCTCTTATTATTTTGAGATCCATCCCATCAATACCTAATTTATTGAAAGTTTTTAGCATGAAGAGCTGTTGAATTTTGTCAAAGGCCTTTTCTGCATCTATTGAGATAATCATGTGGTTTTTGTCTTTGGTTCTGTTTATATGCTGGATTATATTTATTCATTTGCATATGTTCAACCAGCCTTGCATCCCAGGGATGAAGCCCACTTGATCATGGTGGATAAGCTTTTTGATGTGCTGCTGGATTCAGTTTGTCAGTATTTTATTGAGGATTTTTGCCTCGATGTTCATCGGGGATATTGGTCTACAATTCTCTTTTTTTGTGGTGTCTTTGCCAGGCATTGGTATCAGTATGATGCTGGCCTCATAAAATGAGTTAGAGAGGATTCCCTCTTTTTCTATTGATTGGAACAATTTCAGAAGGAATGGTACTAGCTCCTTTTTGTACCTCCGGTAGAATTTGGCTGTGAATCCGTCTGGTCCTGTACTTTTTTTGGTTGGTAAGCTATTAATTGTTGCCTCAATATCAGAACCTGTTGTTGGTCTATTCAGAGATTCAATTTCTTCCTGGTTTAGTCTTGGGAGGGTGTATGTGTCAAAGAATTTATCCATTTCTTCCAGATTTTCTAATTTATTTGTGTAGAGGTATTCATAGTATTCTCTGATGGTAGTTTGTACTTCCGTGGGATTGGTGGTGATATCCCCTTTATCATATTTTATTGTGTATATTTGATTCTTCTCTCTTTTCTTCTTTATTAGTCTTGCTAGTAGTCTATCAATTTTGTTGATCTTTTCAAAAAACCAGCTCCCGGATTCATTGATTCTTTGAAGGGTTTTTTGTGTTTCTATCTCTTTCAGTTGTACTCTGATCTTAGTTATTTCTTGCCTTCTGCTAGCTTTTGAATGTGTTTGCTCTTGCTTCTCTAGTTCTTTTAATTGTGATGTTAGGGTGTCAATTGTAGATGTTTCCTGCTTTCTCTTGTGGAAATTCAGTGCTATACATTTCCCTCTACACACTGCTTTGAATGCGTCCCAGAGATTTTGGTATGTTGTGTCGTTTTTCTCGTTGGTTTCAAAGCCATCGTTATTTCTCCCTTCATTTCGTTATGTACCCAAGCAGTCATTCAAGAGCAGGTTGTTCAGTTTCCATGTTGTTGAGAGGCTTTAAGTGAGTTTCTTAATCCTGAGTCCTAGTTTGATTGTACTATGGTCTGAGAGACAGTTTGTTATAATTCTGTTCTTTCACATTTGCTGAGTAGTGTTTTACTTCCAAATATGTGGTCAGTTTTGGAATAAGTGCAATGTGGTGCTGAGAAGAACATATATTCTGTTGATTTGGTGTGGAGAGTTCTGTAGATGTCTATTAGGTCCACTTGGTGCAGAGCTGAGTTCAATTCCTGGATATCCTTGTTGATTTTCTGTCTCGTTGATCTGTCTAATGTAGACAATGGGGTGTTAAAGTCTCTCATTTATTATTGTGTGGGAGTCTAGGTCTCTTTGTATGTCTCTGAGAACTTGATTTATGAATGTGAGTGCTCCTGTATTGGGTATGTATATATTTAGGATAGTTAGCTCTTCTTGTTGAATTGATCCCTTTACCGTTATGTAATGGCCTTCTTTGTCTCTTTTGATCTTTGTTGGTTTAAAATGTGTTTTATCAGAAGCTAGGATTGCAACTCCTGTGCTTTTCTTTTTTTGTTTTCCATTTTCATGTTATATCTTCCTCCATCCCTTTATTTTGAGCCTATGTGTGTCTCTGCACATGAGATGGGTTTCATGGATACAGAACACTGATGGCTCTTGACTCTTTATCCAATTTGCCAGTCTCTATCTTTTAATGGGAGAATTTAGCCCATTTACATTTAACATTAATATTGTTATGTGTGAATTTGATCCTGTCATTATGATGTTAGCTGGTTATTTTGCGCGTTAGTTGATGCAGTTTATTCCTAGCATCAGTGGTCTTTAGAATTTGGTAGGTTTTTGCAATGGCTAGTACTGGTTGTTCCTTTCCATGTTTAGTGCTTCCTTCAGGAGTTCTTGTAGGACGAACCTGGTGGTGACAAAATCTCTCAGCATTTGCTTGTCTGTAAAGGATTTTATTTCTCCTTCACTTATGAAGCTTAGTTTGGTTTGGATACGAAATTCTGGGTTGAAAATTATTTTCTTTAAGAATGTTGAATATTGTTCCCCATTCTCTTCTGGCTTGTAGAGTTTCTGCCAAGAAATCTGCTGTTAGTCTGATGGGCTTCACTTTGTGTGTAACCTGACCCTTCTCTCTGGATTCCCTTAACATGTTTTCCTTCATTTCAACTTTGGTGAATGTGACAGTTATGTGTGTTGGAGTTGCTCTTCTCGAGGATTATCTTTGTGGCATTCTCTGTATTTCCTGAATTTGAATGTTGTACTGCCTTGCTAGGTTGGGGAAGTTCTGCTGGATTATATCCTGCAGTGTTTTCTAACTTGGTTCCATTCTCCTTGTCACTTTCAGGTACACCAATCAGACATAGATTTGGTCTTTTCACATAGTGCCATATTTCTTGGAGGCTTTTTTCATTTCTTAATAAAAAGAATTTCTCTAATTTCTCTTCTTGCTTCATTTCATTCATTTTATCTTCAACCACTGGTACCCTTTCTTCCAGATGATTGAATTGGCTACTGAGGCTAGTGCATTTGTCACGTAGTTCTTGTGCCATGGTTTTCCGCTCCATCAGGTCCTTTAAGGACTTCTCTGCATTGGTTATTCTAGTTAGCCATTTGTCTAATCGTTTTTCAGGGTTTTTAACTTCTTTGCGATGGGTTGGAACTTCCTCCTTTAGCTCAGAGAAATTGATCGTCTGTAGCCTTCTTCTCTCAGCTTGTCAGAGTCATTCTCCATCCAGCTTTGTTCCGTTGCTGGTGACAAGCTGCATTCCTTTGGAGGAGGAGAGATGCTCTGATTTTTAGAATTTTCAGTTTTTCTGCTCTGTTTTTTCCCCATCTTTTTGGTTTTATCTACCTTTGTTCTTTGATGATGGTGATGTACATTTGGGTTTTGGTATGGATATCCCTCCTGTTTGTTAGTTTTCCTGCTAACAGTCAGGATCCTCGGCTGCAGGTCTGTTGGAGTTTGCTGGAGGTCCACTCCATTCCCTGTTTGCCTGCGTATCAGCAGCAGAGGCTGTAGAACAGCGAATGCTGCTGAATAGCAAATGTTGCTGCCTGATCATTCCTCTGTAAGTTTTGTCTCAGAGGGGTACCCCACCATGTGAAGTGTCAGTCTGCCCCTATGGGGGATGCCGCCCAGTTAGGCTACTCGGGGTCAGGGACCCACTTCAGGAGGCAGTGTGTCCGTTCTCAGATCTCAAATTCTGTGCTGGGAGAACCACTACTCTCTTGAAAGCTCAGTTGGAAATGCAGAAATCACCCATCTTCTGATTCGCTCACACTTGGAGCTGTAGACTGGAGCTCTTCCTATTCTGCCATCTTGGAACCACTCCACTTCTCTATTTCTTTTAATTGTGATGTTAGGGTGTCAATTGTAGATCTTTTCTGCTTTCTTTGTGGGCATTTAGTGCTGTAAATTTCCCTTTACACACTGCTTTAAATGTGTCCCAGAGATTCTGGTATGTTGTGTCTTTGTTCTCATCAGTTTCAAAGAACATCTTTATTTCTGCCGTCATTTTATTATGTACCCCATAGTCATTCAGGAGCTGTTTGTTCAGTTTCCATGCAGTTGAGTGGTTTTGAGTGAGTTTCTTAATCCTGAGTTCTAGATTGATTGCACTGTTGTCTGAGAGACAGTTTGTAAAAATATCCGTTCTTTTACATTTGCTGAGGAGTGCTTTACTTCCAAATATGTGGTCCATTTTGGAATAAGTGTGATGTGGTGCTGAGAAGAATGTATATTATGTTGATGTGGGGTGGAGACTTCTGTAGGTGTCTATTAGGTCTGCTTGGTACAGAGCTGAGTTCAATTCCTTGATATGCTTGTTAACTTTCTGTCTCATTGATCTGTCTAATGTTGACAGTGGGGTCTCAAATTCTCCCATTATTATTGTGTGGGAGTCTAAGTCTCTGTGTATGTCTCTAAGGACTTGCTTTATGAATCTGGCTGCTCTTGTATTGGATGCATTTATATTTAGTGTAGTTAGCTCTTCTTGTTGAATTGATCACTTTACGATTATGTAATGGCCTTCTTTGTCTCTTTTGATCTTTGTTGGTTTAAAGTCTGTTTTATCAGAGACTAAGGTTGCAACCCATACCCTGTGTTTGTTTGTTTGTTTTCCATTTGCTTGGTAGATCTTCCTACATCCGTGTGTCTCTGCATGTGAGATGGGTTTCATGAATACAGAACACTGATGGGTCTTGACTCTTTATCCAATTTGCCAGTCTGTGTCTTTTAATTGGAGTATTTAGCCCATTTACATTTAAGGTTAATATTGTTACATGTGAATTTGATCTTGTCATTATGATGTTAGCTGGTTATTTTGCGCATTAGTTGATGTGGTTTCTTCCTAGCCTCGATGGTCTTTACAATTTGTCATGTTTTTACAGTGGCTGGTACTGGTTGTTCCTTTCCATGTTTAATGCTTCCTTCAGGAGCTCTTGTAGGGCAGGCCTTGTGGTGACAAAATCTCTCAGTATTTGCTTGTCTGTAAAGGATTGTATTTCTCCTTCACTTATGAAGATTAATTTGGCTGGATATGAAATTCTGGGTTGAAAATTCTTTTCTCTAAGAATGTTGAATGTTGACCCCCACTCTCTTCTGGCTTGTAGAGTTTCTGCCAAGAGATCTGCTGTTAGTCTGATGGGCCCCCCTTTGTGGGTAACCCCACCTTCTCTCTGGCTGCCCTTAACATTTTTTCCTTCATTTCAACTTTGGTGAATCTCACAATTATGAATCTTGGAGTTGCTCTTCTTGAGGATTATCTTTGTGGTGTTCTCTGTGTTTCCCGAATTTGAATGTTGGCGTGCCTTGCTAGGTTGGGGAAGTTCTGCTGGATAATATCCTGCAAAGTGTTTTCCAACTTGGTTCCATTCTCCTCGCCACTTTCATGTACACCAATCAAATGTAGATTTATTCTTTTCACATAGTCCCATATTTCTTGGAGGCTTTGTTCATTTCTTTTTCTCTTTTTCCTCTAAACTTCTCTTCTCACTTCATTTCACTCATTTTATCTTCAATCACTGATAGCTTTTCTTCCAGTTGATCGAATCAGCTACTGAAGCTTGTGCATTCATCATGTAGTTCTCATGCCATGGTTTTCAGCTCCATCAGATCATTTAAGGAATTCTCTATGCTTGTTATTCTACTTAGCTCTTTGTCTAAACTTTTTCAAGGTTTTTAACTTCTTTGCGATGGGTTCAAGCTTCCTGCTTTAACTCAGAGAAGTTTGATCATCTGAAGCCTTCTTCTTTCATCTTATCAAAGTCATTCTGCGTCCAGCTTTGTTCCATTGCTGATGAGGAGCTGCATTCCTTTGGAGTGGGAGAGGCACTCGATTTTTCAAATTTTCAGCTTCTCTGCTCTGTTTTTTCCCCATCTTTTTGGTTTTTATCTACCTTTGGCCTTTGCTGATGGTGACATACTAATGGGGTTTTGGTGTAGATGTCCTTTCTCTGTTAGTTTTCCTTCTAACAGTCAGGATCCTCAGCTACAGGTCTGTTGGAGTTTGCTGGAGGCCCACTCCAGACTCTGTTTTCCTGGTTATCAGCAGTGGAGGCTGCAGTACAGTGAATATTGCTGAACAGCAAATGTTGCTGCCTGATCGTTCCTCTGGAAGTTTCATCTCAGAGGGGTACCTGGCCGTGTGAGGTGTCAATCTGCCCCCTACTGGGGGATGCCTCCCTGTGAGGCTACTCAGGGGTCAGGGATTCACTTGAGGAGGCAGTCTGTCCATTCTCAGATCTCAAACTCTGTGCCGGGAGAACCACTACTCTCCTCAAAGCTGTCGGTTAGGGACATTTAAGTTTCTGCTGCCTTTTTTTCAGCTATTCCCTGCCCTCAGAGGTGATGTATACAGAAGCAGGCAGGCCTCCTTGAGCTGTGGTGGTTTCCACACAGTTCGAGCTTCCCAGCTGCTTTGTTTACATACTCAAGCCTCAGTAATGGCGGGTGTCCTTCCCCCAGCCTCGCTGCTGCCTTGCAGTTTGATTTCAGACTGCTGTGCTAGCAATGAGTGAGGCTCCATAGGTGTGGGACCCTCCAAGCCAGGCACAAGATGTAATCTCCTGGTGTGCTCTTTGCTAAGACCAATGGAAAAGCACAGTATTAGGGTGAGAGTGACCCAATTTTCCAGGTGCTATCTGTCACAACTTCCCTTGGCTAGGAAACGGAATTCCCTAACACCTTGTGATTCCTGGGTGAGGTGATGACTCACCCTGCTTCAGCTGATGCTTGGTGGGCTGCACCCACTGTCGAACAAGCCCCAGTGAGATGAACTCAGTACCTCAGTTGGAAATGCAGACATCACTCGTCTTCTCCATCATTCACGTTGGGAGCTGTAGACTGGAGCTGTTCCTATTCGGCCATCTTGAAACTGTATCCTTGTACTTTTTATTAAGATTTTTTTCTTGGCTGACTGTAACATGCGCATTATAGGTAACTGCTTTTAAAGTAGGTGCATTTCTCATTCCTCTTTGAATTTGCATACATTTTTTATATAACAAGTGGTTACTAAATTTGAAATTAATTTCTTGGTATCACATTTAGTCTTTTGTAAGATTGTGATCTACAATCTCTAAATGTTTAAGAGCTAAAATTGATTTATCTATTTTCTTTGCTGTTTATAAAACTCTGCTAATCTGCTAAATGTCTGCTCTGAGCTTGGCACTGCAATAGACACACAACAGATATTTTGTGTGTTACATATGAGGAACCAGAATGTGGAGAGGTGAATCAAGTAAATTATGTGACATATTTCTTAAAACTCTGTAAAGTTTCCAAATAATAAAGAGACATTCATATCATTTTTAGTACATTTCTAATTATTTTAACTGCATTTCTTCACCATTATTATTGAACATTCATCCCAATTTATTATTTTAAATGTATATAGAGAAAACTTTCCCTGTGAATATGTGTGTGGTGGGGGTGGGGGTGTTTGTTTGTAGACTTTGTTTTTTAGAGCAGGTTTTAGTTCACAGCCATGTTGATGGAGAAGTACAAAGAATTCCTATACACCCACTGCTCCTACACATGCACAGTCTCTCCCACTGTCAATATCTTTCATCAAGGTGGTACATTTGCTGCAATTGATAAACCTTCCCCGAAAAGTCATTATTGCCAAAGTCTATCGTTTACATTAAATTTCACTCTTGGTGTTGTGTATATGTTTTTACTTTCTTTATTTTCTGTATAGTTATGTAAAACTTTCATATTTCAAAGTTTTAAGGACACAAGAAGCTTCATATTGTAATTATTTTCTTTGAAATGGAGTATCACTCTGTTGCTCAGGCTGGAGTGCGGTAGTATGATCTTGGGCTTCAAGCTTCACCTCTTTGTTTCAAGCGATTCTCTCACCTTAGCCTCCCAGGCATCTGGGATTACAGGTGCTCACCCAAGCACCTGGCTAATTTTTGTATTTCTAGTATAGGCAGGGTTTCACCTTGTTGGCCAGGTTTGTCTCGAACACCTGATCTCAAGTGATCCATTTGCCTCAGCCTCCAAAAGTCCTGGGATTACAGATGTGAACCAAAATGCCTGGCCTTAGTACAGTATTGAAATGAAAATTTTAAATGTGTTGTTTCTTCATAAGCAACCAAATTGTACTTAACCATTTTATGAATGTATTTATTTACATATTCATTTTTTAGTAGTAGGGTCTCACTTTGTCACCAAGTCTGAAGGGCAGTGGCATAATCTGAGTTTACTACAACTGCCCTCTGAGTTCAAGCAATTATACTACTGCAGCCTTTCAAACAGCTGGGATTACAGGCACACACCACCATATTCTGCTTTTTTTTTTTTTTTTTGGTAAGTGTAATTACCAATTGTATGATTCTTATAACAGGAATTCATCCCACTGAAACAACTTAATTGTTTCTACAAATATAAAATGCCAATTCAAAATGTTTTCTTTAAAGGAAATCCAGTTGAAAACATATCAGTGTTCTCAGGGTAGACATAATAATTGATATATACTTTTGTAGAATATATATAAATAGCTGCCCAAAATGTCTGTTTAACAGTATTTTAAGTGCACTTTCATCATGATTGCAAAGACAATGAAAATTTAGCTTATTTATATTTTAAACACTACTTTTAAAAAATTGTAATTGAATGACCTTTGATGTAAAATACTTAGAGGTTGATTGCAAAATCAAGAAAGGTATTTCAATGTGTTTTTGTATTTTATCTAACATTGTAAGAAAGAGCTTCAATTTTCCTTTGTAATCTTAGTTTTTTTTTCTGAAGGATGTTTCTCAATCTCATATTCATAAACATTATAATGTGTGATTTAAACACTGCTATAAAACCATGTCTAATTGGTAACCTTTTATTTTCTTAAGGTATTTACTATGCAGGATTGATTGCACTCAGTAAAAATTCACCCTACTTCCAGTTCCTAGAACTCACTGGTAAGTTTATTTAGTTTCTATAATCTATTTTGGTTTGTTAATTATAAACAAATAGCTTTATAAAAGTAAAATATTTTTTAACATGTGTCAGAGTTTGATAAAGAAACCCATAAAGGTAGGAGCCTATATCTTTTTAAACTGTAGCAAGATTTTTCTACGTACTTTTCCTTCTAAAAGAATGAAGCTAATTTTGAGTGAGAAGAGTAAGAAATTTAATTTGATTTAAATTACATGTTTTTCCTTGCTGACCATATCTTACTTTGTAAGCAATATTTCACCTGTTCTGCAGGTCATTATTCCCATATTTTCATTTTCATAATAACTTTTAGATAGTCAAATGAGAAAACTTCAGACAATATCAAGGGTCCTACAGACACACTGAAAGATACTGCCTGTAAAAATATCCATTGTTGGGAACATTTCCAAGAAAAAAAAAACCTTCAAAAAACTGTCTTTTAGGCCAAGTATCTTTGTATACTAGGTATGCCTCTCCAGTGCAATTGATAAGAGTATTAAATGCATTAATATGCCATTAATGAATAAAGTATGTGTTTAGTAATGTGTAATATAACTTTTGCTCTTAAGTGTATACACAGACCTGATTAATTGCCTTAATTTTGGCCTTCATACAAAACTTTTATAGTTTGTAACTACTGTGAGTTCTGGACCATTGGTTAGACTTCATAATGGACTTTGTAGCATGAACATAAGCTGGCAACTTGCCTTTTATGCTTAGTTATACCTTAGGACATTTAAAATAATATGTGAATTAGTAATGGTCCTTTTGTGTTCCTACGCCCTTGGGATTTTGTCTGTTGCATGCATTTCTATCATCCTGACAGAGACATTTATTCATTCATTCATTCATTCAGAACTTAATCATTTGAGTACATACTTTCTGTCAGCCACTGAGTCTGTGACTTAATTGCCAGGCTTCATTGTAGTAATGTTAGTAGAAGATAAATAAATTGAAGAACAAGACTTTCTAGGCTGCCTGCACACTAGACCATCCCTACTGAAATTCAGTAGGTAAATGATTCTATAGTCTGTGCTCTAGGCACCATTCAGAATAACTCAATGTGATGTTGGAAACGTCTTTACCTATACTGTTTAATGTGGTAGTTGCCAGTCTCTTGTGGCTATTGAGCAATTTAAATGTAGCTAGTGTAACTGAATAACTAAATTTTTAATTTATATTTAATTAGCTACATGTGCAAAGTGACTATCATAATGAACAGCATGATTCTAAGGTATATAGCAGCTATCTATTGCTTAATTGTTACTTCAAAATAAAATGAATGGCTTGAAGAGATATTAAGGAATAATCTACGGGCCAGGAACAGTGCCTTATGCTTGTAATCCCAGGATATTGGGAGGCTAAAGCAGGAGGATCACTAAAGTTCTGGAGTTTGAAATCAGCCTGACCAACACAGTGAAACTCCACTCCTTCTAAAAATTCAAAAATGTTTGAGTCGTGGTGGTAAGTGCATTTTATCCCATTTACTCTGGAGGCTGAGGCACGATAATGACTTGAACCCGGGCGGTGAAGTTTGCAGTGAGCTGAGATCATATGACTGCACTCCAGCCTGGGTGACAGAGCTAGATTCCATTTTACCCCTAACAAGAAAAAAAGAAGAAGAAGAAAGAGAAAAAAAGAAAGAAAGGTAGGAAGGAAGGAAGGAAGAAAGAAAGGAAGAAAGAAAGGAAGGAAGGAAGGAAGGAAGGAAGGAAGGAAGGAAGAAAGAAAGAAAGAAAGAAAGAAAGAAAGAAAGAAAGAAAGAAAGAAAGAAAGAAAATAAAAAAAACTGTGGTAGCACTTCTCACACTTCTCACACTGTGGCACCAGCACTGATACACAGATGTTCTGCTTTCCCAGTCCAGCTGAAGCTGGGTGTCTGAGCCACTTACAGACTCCAGTAGAGTGCTGTAAAACAGTTGCAACTTTGGCCCTGACCAGCTAGTGAGACTCGCATTTATCAGTAAAGATTAATTGAGAAAGACTTTAGTCAACACCACTGGGGCGTAATTGACATTGTGGTATTCCCGAGTGGAAAGCACTTAAGCACCCATGGTACCTCAAAGATTAGTCTTAAGACCACATGAGTAAAAAAGCTAGCTACATAACTTCCCCACATTCCTTTGTTAGTACTTTAATCTATTTAACTAAAGGTAAAGCAGGTCGCCTTCAACCATATTCAACCATATCTGTTACCGAAGTTATGCAAACTCTCTGACATTCCAAGATGGTTTGTGGCTATTACTATAACAGTCTTTAATATTTTTTCCACCAGCCTGACTGGGCCCCCAACATGAAATAATCTATATATTTACTATAATACATTATCTTTAAAAACAGTTTTTCCATCTTTACACAGTCTCTTTAAATCCATCTGGTTCAGAAATCTATCTGGCTGACAACCATTACAAGCTTTACCTAGCATCCCCGTAAAATTTCCAGAAGTCAGAAAAATGATGAGTAGAAAACATGTCAGTCATCCTAGTGTCAAAATTTGGATAGAATTCTTAGCTAACAATAAAATAGTTTCTGGTAAAAGAAAAATTATTTTAAAAATTTGTGGCTTCCAATTTGACAACAGAAAACTTATAGGAAGATATACTGTACTGAACAGTTTTCTGTTCCCTGATTCAGAGACATGTCATCCTATCCTATTTTAGTATACCTACTCTCAGGGGATGCCAAACTGTTGAATAGTCACAGTACTTTCCTCCTAGCTTCTAGTCACCCAGTCTTCCCACTGTTAATATTTCCTTTGAGAGATAAAGATATGCAGATAATGATACACACAAAATTTGGACGAGGAAAGAAAATGTGGACATTGGCCCTTTGCTTTTAGAAAGTTAAAATTCTTATCTATGATTGTCAAAAGAATAGACACATACATCAATGGGAATAGATATAGAGAATTCAGAGATAGATTCACACAAATATTGTCAATTGATTTTTTTAACAATGGTGCAAAGGCAATCCAATAGAGTAAATATGGTCTTTTCAACATGTGACTCTGAAATAATTGAATATTCATATGTATGGAAATGAACCGTAGACCTAAATGTAAATTGCAAAACTATAATATTTCCAAATAAAAACAAGAGAAAGTCTATGTGATCCTGAGTTTCACGATGTGATATGACACCAAAAGCAAGATATATGAAAGAAAAAAATAGATGTTAGACTTAACTGAAATTAAAATCATCTCTGTGAAAGACACTGTTAGGAGAATGAAAAGAACAATATGAAAGCCCATAATTTACATCACCATGAAGAAACATTAATATTTGCAAATTTTGTTCTTCTGATCCCTGGATAGAATGCAGACTGTCAAAGCAATCTAACTGTAATCCCCTCAGTGAAGACGATGGGGATGGGGATAAAGTGCTGAGCTGACTAATACTTTTAGTTTCAAGAAACTAAAAATTTCTTAAATAATTTATGCTTCTGGTTTAAAACAAAGTTTCAGATTATTCAGAAGGATATAAAGTGAAAATAAACTAGCAATTTCTGCCTGTGTTGTCTAATCTCACTCTCCACTGATAACTCGAATTTTAATAATTTTGTTTCTTTCTTATTTTTCTAGAATTGAGGTTAAAAGTCTATGTATTTCTAATTTAAACATACAATCAAATAAAATTATATTATAGATCCTGTAGGCAATTTGCTTTTTCTATCCACCAATATATCTATCTGTAGCAGTATATTGAGTTAATTGTTTTTAAAGTAAATATTTAACCCCCATTGATGGAAATTTAGTTGTCTTATTGTTTGCCCTTTTCCAATAGAGGCAACCAATATGCAATGTGCACACTCTGTGCACCTGTAAAAGTACAGCTGTGTGAATTCATAGAATTAGAATGAGTAGATGGAAAGACACTTGCATTTTGAATATATATAAGCACTGACACATACCTCTCCCAAGGGAATGAGGATAGCTACACTTCCACTCCATTGCCAACATTAGCGTTATCAAAGTATTAATCTTAATGGTGTTACAGGGAAAATAATGGTTTCTTTGCTTTATTAACTTGCATTTGTGATTTTGTTCATGTTTATTCAACATGTGATAATATTTCTCATCTTTGTTTGACATTTTATTTTTTCTATAATCTGTCCATGTTTTCTCCCATTTTTCAGTTTTGTTTTCTTTTGTCTTAACTGATTTGTAAGAGCTGTTTAACAATATTAAAATGTAATAACTTTAGTCCTGGTTATGCCTGCATATTATTGTAACTATTTTTCCAGTGTATTATTTTTGTTTATTCTATGCCATATGTAAATTTTTAATGTTTATGTAGTGAGGTTCATAAAGATATCTCCCTATTGCCTCCAGGTTTTGTATCATGCTTAGGAAGGACTTTCTTCAGATGTATTCTTAAAAGCTATAACCAGACAAAGTGACTAATTCTTGTGCTTTCAGCACTTCGGGAGGCCCAGGCAGGAGGATCACTTGAGGCCATGAGTTTGAGATCAACTTGGGCAAGCCACATAGCAAGACCTTGTCTCTAAAAAAAAAAAAAAAAATTAAATTAAATTAAATTAGTGAGCACAGTGGTTGCTGGTAAATGCCTAAGCATCTTCAACATAGAGAAAAGTTGAAACAATTCTAGTCAACACTTACATACCTATCATCTAGATTTCACTATTACATTTGCATTATATATGCTTCATCATTTTTTTCTGTTCATCTATTCATCTATCTTACATCTTTTTTTGTTTTTTTTTCAGAGTAAATTGCAGACACCCATGCTTTCCCCAAAGTATACTCTTTATTTTTGAACCAGAAGACTGGCCTCTTGCACACCTCACCATGTCTCTGTGTCCTAATTTGACCTGTTACTTTTTAATAGCTGGCAATCTTCAGCTTATTGATGATCAATTGCAGATGCTTATCCTCAGCATATAAAGTTTGAGTCTCTAGAAATAAAGCTAAATGAAGATACGGAGAAATAGAAAAGCAACTTCTGACAGGAATGTGTCAAAAGGTAATGTTTATCTTGTTACAGTTAACAAGAGTCATGTTTTTGTTTGTCATCTAAAGGTTTAATCTTATGTATAAACTTAGAGTATAATAAAAAAAAAATACCTGGAAATTTTAATAAAAAATGGAATACTTCAGTGCTGTGCATATCAATTTTTTTCTGATGAGATTTGTTTATACCTTTGATTGAGTTCTACAAATACAGTAAATGATATAAAACTATAGATTAAATAAATATAACATATTTGGACAGAGCATTAATGTGGAGCCTAGCTGTGGAGGGAGAATTTGTTGCTGTTCTTATGGTATAATGATTGGAACTTTTATTTTTTTGTAATCAATTTGCAGTTGAAGTTTTTTAATGGAAGTGGTAAGAGAGTATGCAAATGAATTAGCTATGTTCTGAAGTGATTTGGAGAAGATTTGTCAAGCAGAATCTGAAAGCCTCATTCTTTATAGAAAGAGTATCTTTGAGAGAAACCAAAAGCACCAAGAGGTGGTATTTACAAATATTTTACTGGGTGGATATTTCCTACAGCTATTATTGGATTGACTCAGGATCCAGGAATGAGATGTTACAATTGATGGAAAAAGGCCCCAGAAGAGCAGTAGGGACTGCGGCCAAGATTGCAAATAAAAGAACGGTGGGCCTTGAAACGGATACACGGATTTTCATCCTTTGAGACTGGTGGAAAGGGAAGAATTGCATAGGTGACCCGACAAGTTGGAATTATGAGAAACACTCGCTGAAAAGCTTCATCTTCTTAGACAAATTAAGGAGATAGATTAAGGGTTTCAGGAGCAGCTTGGAGGTGCAGAGTAGTTCCTGTGGGTAAGGTAAGAACAGCTCTTTAAAGGAGAGCTGACTGATTACCTGTACTGAAGGCCCAGCTATGGTTGGGGTAACCTGGAGTTGAGAGAGACAAAACCACGTGTTTCTGTTCTAGCTCTGGGGAGGAATTGCAAGGGTCTGTCTCTGCTGCCCCTTTCACTGAGGTTGGAAATATGGAGATGCTCTGGAAGTGGAGCTTTGCATAGCATAATTCATTTTCCTTGAGAAAGACAGCCTATTTAACTGAAGAATCTGTGGTTCTCCTGTGTAGTGAAGGTAAGCAGAGGAGAGGGCAGGGGGCGGGTGACCTAGGTGGAAAGGGAGTGTTGAGTGGTAGTCTCAGCGATCAAGAACTAGATCTGGAGAGACTGGCATGTGGAAGAATAAAGATGGTCCAGGAGTGCAGAACTACAGGATGAGATTTCAAGTGGAGACTGGAAATCAAAGGCAGTGTGCTGCCATTGGATGGAGCCATGGAAATGAGCAAGAGTAAATATCCCTGGGGTGAAGGAGTCACTAGGGACCCTAGGGTCATCCATGTGGCCATTTGATCTCATTACTGGTAAAGCAATTGGGAAGGATATGAAGAGGATGAGGAGTGACAGGGAGTTTGTGTTGGTAAGTGGGAATCTAACTATTCCTTTAAGAAATCTTATTTCTTTTCCAAGTGTGTGTCTTAGACCAAACAGTCTAAGAAATACAGCAGTATTTCAAACATACATCTAAAACTGCTGCTGCCGGATGTTAAAAGTAGGAAGTCTTCCCCCTTGCTTGGAGCTTCTCAATGAGACATAGGTTGTTTAATGCTAAGGGCACATGCTCTAAAATTTTCTATCTCATTTCTGGAAATAGGGCTTACCTCAGCTATAAAATTGAATGTTGGGTGCACAGATCTTTGAGATGATTCTATTGTGTTTAGACTAATAACTTCATCTTCAGGATAGGTGACTAACTAGATTTCTGTTTATTCAACTGTGAGTATCTGAAGTCTTTGAGGAAGATTGTCATTCCCATAAAAACCACCATGCCTGTATTTCGTCACCTGGAATATCAATCCCCTTCTCTCCCGGATTAAACCACAGTGTCATTCAAGGCCCAGCTTGGATGTCACCCCTGCAATGCCTTCCATGATTCCCACTTAGAAACTCATTTGAGGGCTCATTCCTGAATGTGGTCTTTATTTACCTGAGTTATAAAATTATCCTGTCTTAGTGTGATTGGTTCTCCCTGACTATACTGTGAGATCTTCAGAGATAAGGACTATACCTGATTACACTTTTGTATCCAGTCCCAGCGTGCTTCTTGATAGGTAGTTAGTAATTTATTGCTCTGTGAGGACATAAGTGGAAGGTTGGCTCCTTCATTTACAAGTTCATATGAGCTTTCTAACTCTGAATTATGACTCATAACCCATGAACTCAATGACTCATGAACTGAAACATTCAGACAGCACCACCATTAAAAACCAAGGAGATTTTATTCTTTTGGAGTTTTATTTCTGAATGTACATTTATTTTTTTTTTTCCTGAAGAACTTACAAAATTATAGTTAAGGGGACCAGGTGTGGTGGCTCATGCCTGTAGTTTTAGCACATTGAGAAGCTGACATGGTGATCTCATTTGAGCCCAGAGATTCAACACCAGCCTGGGCAGCGGCACAACCCCATCTCTACAAAAATATTAGCTGAACTTGGTGGTGCGTGTTTGTAGTCTCAGCTACTCAGAAAGCTGAGGTAGGAGAATCACTTGAGTCTGGGGGGCACAGGTTGCAGTTATCCAAAATCAAAACACTGCACTCAAGGCTGGGCAACAGAGCAGATCCCAGTCTCAAAAAAATACATAAGGGACTGAGAGATGTTAATTATGTAGTATAAATTACACAAGGCATGTTAAAAATATATGGAAACACAGTTTAACAGAAACTGAGAGAGTAAATACTTATGCAGCTGGAATAGGTAGTTGAGGAATACATTGAAGTGAATTTTTTTTTGAGATGCAGTTTTAATCTTTTGCCAGGCTAGAGTGCAATGGCACTACTTCAGCTCACTGCAACCTCTGTCTCCCAGGTTCAAGTGATTCTCCTGCCTCAGCCTCCCAAGTAGCTGGGATTAGAGATGCCTGCCCACCACCATGCCCAGTTAATTTTTGTAATTTTTGTAGAGATGTGGTTTCATGATATTGGCCTGGCTGGTCTCAAACTTTTAACCTCAAGTTATCAGCCTGTTTTGGCCTCCCAAAGGGCTAGGATTACATGAGTGGATCACCATGTCCAGCTGAGTTGGAATTATTTGAAGGTGAAATAGTTATTCTCAATTTCTGTACTTCGGTTTTTGGAATTTACGAAGCAGCATATTCATTTAAATTTGTTATGCTTTCATTAACTTGCTTGCTAAAACTTAATGCCTTTTTTTTGAGACAGAGTCTTGTGTTGCTACCCAGGCTGGAGTGCAGTGGCATGATCTTGGCTCACTGCAAATTCCACCTGTCAAGTTCAAGCAGTTCCATGCCTCAACCTCCTGAGTAGCTGAGATTACAGGTTCCTGCCACTAGGCCAGTTAACTTTTGTATTTTAGTAGAAATGAGGTTTTACCATCTTGGCTGGGCTGATCTTGAACTCCTGACCTCGTGACCTACCTGCCTCGGCCTCCCAAAAGGCTAGGATCACAAGCATGAGCCACTACAAACCAGCAAAAATAAATGCTTTTTTAGAGATTGAAACAAGAAAATTGATGCTCAAGGCTTCTTTTACTAAAAGATATGGATTTGTTAAGAGAAAGAAAAGCAGAGCTGAAGCAGAGAGTTGAAGATTTTGAACTGTAGGTATGCATGTTTATTCTGGATATTCAGAATGATGAGATTAAAAATAATTACTCAATATATGTCTCAATATTATAACATTTGTTGACAAATAGAATTCCTTTTTATAAAGGTGATATCACCCAGCATTAGAAGTTACATGTTAAGGAAACAAACACTAGGGCTGTGCTTTTGAAATATTAAACATTAAGATGAAAGGCAGAATGAGATGCTATCACCAGGCCACAGTAACATCATACAGAAAATTTGGAGACGCTGTTAGTACTTCAACAGATCATATATTTTAAAGTTAACTTCATTCCTTCAGGTCTGATAGTTTTGTGTGTTTATTTATTGTAACTGAATTTCAAATATCCAGGCCTGTGGTTTTTACCAGCTCTGTGCTCAAAAAAAGGAAGTATTGTGGTTTGACTTGACTTGTACTGCTGAAACTATTTCTCAATGCTATTCACTTTTTCTAAGTGCCCAGAAATGTTTCATCTGTATATTACCTGGGATTGACAGTAGGCTCACCTGTCTATAGTTTGCACAAGAAGCCTTCTTTTCCACTGGGAATGTGCTGTTAATTGACACTGATAGATACTTTAGGGATTTTAACTCATTAAAAAATTTGTCTCCATCTTATTTAATGTTGTTTTCTCACTTCTATAGGTTTGATTTTTTTTATTTCAACTCACTGTGTACTTTACTCTCTTTTTGGCAATAATGAAAAGGTAAATTAATCGAGAGAGAGAAAAAAAGAGAATCAACATTTGGGCAGAGAGAGTACATCACTTTTTTTAACCCACATTTTCTCTACTCCATTTCCCTTCTCTCAGCATATATATTAAATCAATGTAGTTTACCTCTCCATTGCTTTCCACATTACCAGCAGAGGGAGCTAATACCTGGATCCTTTTTTTTTTCTTTTTTTTTTTCTTTTTCTTTATTATTATTATACTTTAAGTTTTAGGGTACATGTGCACAATGTGCAGGTTAGTTACATATGTATTAATGTGCCATGCTGGTGCGCTGCACCCACTAACTCGTCATCTAGCATTAGGTATATCTCCCAGTGCTATGCCTCCCCCCTCCCCCCACCCCAAAACTGTTCCCAGAGTGTGATGTTCCCTTTCCTGTGTCCATGTGTTCTCATTGTTCAATTCCCACCTATGAGTGAGAATATGCGGTGTTTGGTTTTTTGTTCTTCTGATAGTTTACTGAGAATGATGATTTCCAGTTTCATCCATGTCCCTACAAAGGACATGAACTCATCATTTTTTATGGCTACATAGTATTCCATGGTGTATATGTGCCACATTTTCTTAATCCAGTCTATCATTGTTGGACATTTGGGTTGGTTGCAAGTCTTTGCTATTGTGAATAATGCCGCAATAAACATACATGTGCATGTGTCTTTATAGCAGCATGATTTATAGTCCTTTGGGTATATACCCAGTAATGGGATGGCTGGGTCAAATCTCAGACTAGTCAGTATTTTGCAGTACTTCTCAGGATGGCTGGATCTCATCATTTGTGAATCCATCTCCCTGGGTTTGGGAATTGCTGCAATGGGTGATTTGAAGTCTTACTATGAAGATCATTTTATTCTTCAGTATTTGGAAGCCCTGAGTGACCCGTCTTTCTGTTTCTGTCTCTTTTGGCACTTGATCAGTATTCCATCAACAGTTTTTTGTTTTGTAGGGTTTTTTTGTTGGTGATGTTTTGGTTTTAAGAGACACGATGTTCTATGTTGTCCAGGCTCGTCTGAAATTCTTGGGTTCATGTGATTCTCCTGCCTCAGCATTCTGCAAAACTGGGATTATAGTGGAAGGCCACCACACTTGACTAAAGCTGATAGACTATTAAGTGAGAAAAACAAACATTGTACCTTAAATATCTATGAGATAATTAATTAAATTCCAGAGTTACAGACAGCGTTATAGACGATTCAAATACATAGGTACACTTTTTTTTTTTTTTTTTAGAGGTGGAGTTTTGCTCTTGTTGCCCAGGCTGGAGTACAATGGTGCAATCTCAGTTCACTGTGAAATCTGCCTCTTGGATTCAAGGGATTCTTCTTCCTCAGCCTCTTGACTAGCTGGGATTACAGGCATGTGACACTATGCCTGGCTAATTTTGTATTTTTAGTAGAGATAGGCTTTCTCCATTTTGGCCAGGCTGGTCTTGAACTCATCCTGAGGTGATCCACATGCCTTGGCCTCCTGAAGTGCTGGGATTACAGGCATAAGCCACAGCTCCCAGGCCGTAAGTGCACTTTTATTACTTTGTAACTAATAGTATTATTCTTTCATCTCAGAATTGATTTGGACAATTTATCACCTTTAACTATTGTTTAAGTATTAATTATGGTCTATGAGAAACCACTTCTTTCTTGAGACTCTCCGACTCCCCTCAGTCAGAGATCCTCTCACTCTTCTCAGTTATATGCCGCAGCCCACTGCTTCTGCTAGTTTCAACACACTGTAATTAGGTCAGTTCATAAAATACACTGAGGACTTCTGGCTCTTTTCTTCTACTTCCCAGTAGTAATTGTCATGTAGCAGTTTTAGTCTGTTGAACTAAAACCATGTCACGTGATGTTTTTCCTAAATTTGTTAACTCAGCTATTATAGTTTATTTACTTTATGTTTCTCGCTAATTTCAGAACCCAGAAACTCCAGCAAGAAAAACCTAAAAGCATGACTGAGGACTTAGGAGATGGGAGCAGAATACAAAGTGTCTTGATGAGACCTATGACCGAAAGCTAAAAAACAAACTTCTAAAGTAATTGTTTGGCACATTTAAAGAAGTAAAAGGTTTAAATTACATTGGTAGAAACACAATAAACACTAAGGAAGTAGTCTATGATTAACATTTTATGGAAACTTTAGTGTTTAAAAAATGCATATGTTTATTAATAACCAATACTTTCCTGCGTTTGAGTTAGGGTAGCTTTTAAAAGATAAGGTATGGAAAAGCACATCCTCTGTTCTTCTTACTCATGGCTTCTCAAATATTTATCGACGGTGGTGATTTGCTTTAAATTTAATGGCACGTTGTGACTTGCTGAGGTTGCATAGTTGATAAGTTGTAAAGTTTGAATTGTAATCACTTTCAGTTAACTTTTCCCCTACCCCCCTCATACTGCCACAAAGATGGGGCTATCTAACAATGTATAAATTACACTTAGTGGTCAGATTGTTTGTCAGTGAACATGTGCCTTGTATTGCTTCATGATTCTGCAAAGCCATAATCAAAGGAAAAGAGCTAAAATTAACTATGTGAGGCAAATATTGATATAGGAAAAGGAAAATATGGACAACTATGGTTACCTTGGCTTTTCTTTTCTCTGATCTTGCGTATCAGTGAGTAATACCTCAGTGCTAAGACATTATGCCCATGTCATAACTTTTCAATGGGTTCGAAAGCATCTGACACATAAAAGGTACACAGTTAATATTTGCTGTTAATGTATCAGGAGGAAATGACTCAACTCAGGTGCTCTGGTCATTTATTTGGCCTCTTTTTATTGCCTACTTCATAATTTATCATCAATATTCCATTACACAGAACTTGCAAAGATTTCTTGAGATTATTCTATATAAAAAGTCTATTTTAAAAAAGTGTTTTTAATAGATTCTGAATTTCCAATATCTTCTCAATACATTTTGATTTATCTGTAGTTGTCAAGAAGTTGGCAGCAGCTTATTGCCTCTGGTACATATTACTCCTAACCATGACAAACATTATTTTTTACTTATGAAATTGATGCATTTCACCCAATTTTTTGTCAGTTTCTATATTAAAGTAGCTAATATGAAGTTTTTGTAGTTACTGAATTTTTAGGAAAACATGTATTAAAATATGTTTGTTAATTTTATATAGTTATGGAGCTAGTCAACTATTTGGTATCATTGTGACAGCTTCCATGGCCTGCATGGTGTCTTTCTGGCTTTGGGAGTTCTCGTATGACTTTGGCAAGTGTTGGAGTTTGGGGACTGTTCACCACAGGAGTGTTTCTTTATACTTTTGGAATCAAAAGGCAGCTTCTAAAGTCTGGGATAGAAAAGTAAAACCGTGAAAATGTACCTTTGGGTATCACTAATTCAGATATAATACTCTTAGCACCTGCTTCCCCGGACCATGCTTGGTCCCTGGGCACAGAAGTCCTTACATTTGTTTGTGCTGGGCAGATAGTACAGGTGGGTTGAAAGTGACTGTCTAATTATCATTTGATATTGAGTCTGTTGTGTGCTGTGTAAATTTAATTTTCTTCCATGCTCTTTGGGTCAGTTGAGACCAAGAGGAAAACGATGGTTTCAGTAGCCTTATGACAACATAGCCCTCCATTTTGTATGATTGTGATTTATAACATGAAGGCAGGGTTTTACTGTACATTTTATGTTTGAAAGTCATATCCCAGGCTTTAGTACTTAGGGACTTTGAAGTTCACACAATGTCGTGTTCAGTGCCCTCAGGTGCACCTGTACCATAGATAAGCTTCTGCATTGATAAACGTCTTTCTGGAAAGGTAACTGTGAAACTTGTATTTAATTGTTCTTATTCTCAGGTATCAACTTGAATTAATGGATGACTACATCATTAGAACTAACTGACTGATTGAAGAGCAAAGGAAGAATAAAGGTGAGGTTTGGGTGGGGTAAGAAGCCGTAGTTTTCAGTTTTGATACAGGTTATTATCTTCCCAATTTGAGTCTGTTTTATATTTTAAAAAACATAGCTTATGCTTAATTGTCTCTTTGATAGTTCACTTTTTTTAATTTTAATTATGTAAAATTAAAAAAAATTGTCTTCACTGCCTTTCGACAAACCATTATTTTTAATATTTTATATAATCAGAAAGGCCAGTTATTTTTTCTGTATATTTTCCTAAAGTTTATTTCAATATATTTTGATAAATCAGTAATTATCAAGAATTTGGCAGTAACTTATTGCCTCTGGCACATATTACTTTTCACCATGAGATACCTTGTATTTCACTTATGAAAAATTTTCTAACTTCTCTGTCTCCTGTGACATAGCTTCTTATTTCATTGGCTTCTAATATATTTTTTATTTATAATATTTTTACTTTATATATAACCTTCCGAATTCTTGTATATATTGCCCTTGAGACTGGAAGGTGAGTAATTTCCCAATCTTCAGATAATTTACATTTCAATATATTTCTAGGAAATTGCCTGTAAGGAGAGGTGACGTTTTGTTGGAATTTTCAATTAGACTATTGGGAGTACACCAAGAGTGGTTATTTGATGTTGTCCAGACACCCAGTGTGTGGCTTCCCCTTTTACTACTATCTTGTGGAGACTAACCCTTCTTTTATAAATTACTACCATCATCTATATAACAAATTATGCTTTAATAATATATCTACATAGATTCAAGTTAAATAAAATGAAAATAACAAAGTAATACCTACAATAAAATAACAATGTTGTCTTTTACAATATAGTAACAGAGAGATCTTCTTCAAGGAAGTTAAAACCTCTCTGGTTAGCAGGTGTAGATGGTGGAATTTCACCACATAGATGACAGTTATAGCTTCACATCACCTGTTAGGTAGCAGGGCTTATTTCTTACGTGCCTGTGAAAGTTTTGTCCCCTACACAGGCTATTTCATATTATAAAATAATGGTCATTAAGTCTGACATACTGGCCATAAATACTAAATAGCTTTTGTATTCACTAGGAAAACATTATAGTGTTTAAAAGGCTCTTTCTTTCAGGAAAAGCTGTTTACTTGCAAGAGGAGCTCATAGTTATTAATCCAAAAAAGGAGGAACTCAATCAATCTGTAATTTTTCTGTAATAAGTTGATATAATAATTTAGCGTATTTTTTGAAATAGATTTTAAGCAATATATAAAATTTTAGTCATACATAATTTATCCAAAATCTTCCTCTATAGATGTATAAACTGCCATTTCTATGGCAAAGAGGGGGATGACTAAAGTTAACTCAATAGTTCTTAATTTCAATCAACATCATATAGGAAAGTGTAGATAGTGCTTTGAGTCTTAGAGTCCTTCTTGAATCCTATCTGTTTGTCCAATGGCTTGTGTGCCTTTGGGCAGGCCCTTTGACTCCATATTCCTCAGTAGTAAACTCTAGGATATTTTCCACAGTATATGGTTGATGAGGGAATTCAGTGAGCTAACTTATGTGCCTAGATCATAGCAGGTGACCAATATTATTAGTTTATTTCTACATAAACCTGTTCTCTCTTGCATCAGCAGCAGCTAAAAATTTCTGTCATTACAGTGTTATCTCACAGATTAAAACAAAATGAGTTGCACTTATCACATGCCATTGCTTCTCTATTTTTCTGTTTATTCTTGTGCTTGCTATCTGAAGATGATGCTGGAACTTGAGGCACTTAAAATATTTTAAATATAAAGTTTATTTTTGCAAGTTTAACTTAATGTGAGAACTTTCTCTGCCTTCATACTCAAATATGAGATATACTAGAAAAGCACTACACAAAACGTTATGTTTTGTTTGTGGTTTTTTTTTTTTTTTTGAGACTGAATCTCATTCTGTCATTCAGCCTGGAGTGCACTAGTGTGCTCTCGGCTCACTATAATCATCACCTCCTAGGTTCAAGCAATTCTTGTGTTTCCACCTCCCAAGAACCTGGGATAATAGCCATGCCCCACCACATGAAGCAAATTATCTATTTCTTTTTTTTTTACTCTCTTTCTTTTTTATTTTTTAAGATGGAGTCTCATTCTGTTGTCCAGGATTGAGTGTAATGACGCGAACTGGGCTCACTGCAACCACTGTGCTCGAGTTCAAATGATTCTCCTGCTTCAACCTCCTGGGTAGCTGGGAATACAGACACCCCAGTACCATGCCCAGCTAATATTTGTAGTTTTAGTAGAGGTGTGGTTTCACCATGTTGGCTGGGCTGGTCTCGAATTTTTGACCTCAAGCGATTTGCCCATAATGATTTTCCAGTGTTCTGGGATTACAGGCCTGAGCCACAGTGCCCTGCTGTATTTTTAGTAGAGATGGGGTTTTTCCATGTTGCCCAAGGTGGTCTGGAACTTCTGAAATCAAATATTCCTATTATCTTTGCCTCCCAAATTGCTGGAGTTACAGGCAGGAGCTACCATGACTGGCCAGTTTTACCTTACCTTTTCATATTTGAATCAAATTTATATTGCTATGATGAGAGCTTGTTGTTAGGTCCTTCGTTGCCTCTCAAAAATGGGGTGATAATCTTAGAAGCACTTGCTTCATGAGATGTGGTCCATAAAACTTCCTCTGTCCCAACTGTAGTGCAGAAGGCAATTTCTGCTACTGTAGTTTGGGTCTTTTTGCAGAGGTTCAGACATCTGTTTGGTGACCTTAGTTAAATTGTGGCACTATACTTAAAGGAGCCTGCCATATTTTACTTTTGCAGCACTATAAAGTCAACATTCAAATGTAAATTTTCCTTTTAAATTTCAGGTTGAGTTAATGTCTCCATTCCCAAGGACTGCTGAGAGTGTGTTCCTGTTACTATCCCCGGGAACTCTGCCATCCTTTGTGGGTAACCTGCATAAGTCACTCTCTATTAAAAAGATCTTAGATGATTTTGACTGTGGGGCCCATCTTCTTTCTGCCTGGATCCCAGTGGCTGCTGCCAGATGCACAGATTATATTAGATCTTGGGTCTGTCATCAAAAGGTAGACCAGATAACTCCTTCTGTGCATGGTAAAAGAGAGAAACAGGCTTTCAGATTAATTTGAGAATTAGAAAGAGTTATTTTTTTCGATACCATCATACATTCCACAAGCAATGAATGAATTCCTGTTTTTCCTCCAGCAAATCATTTGTCATGTTTTAAAAATGGTTTATCAGTTCCAGCAAATACAGTTGGGCCATGCTAACTCATTGTTGTAATTTTCAGTCCCTTATAGATATATGAGTTTGAGCATCTTATTGTTTGCTTGCCATCTGTGTATTTTCATTGGTGAGTTCAGCTCTTTACACCTTATTAATTGGGTAATCAATCTTATTTTTAAGTTTCAAGATTTGTGTATTTTCAGTGCAAATTCTCGCTTAGATCTGTATTTTGCAGATTTTTTTTTCAGTCTGTTGCTTATCTTTCTATTTCCTGAACAAGATCTTGCTCAGAGTATAAACATTTAATATAAGAAAACAAATTATTAATTATTTTTTACCATTACTGGTCGGCTTTGGTATCATTTGTTAAAACTTTTGACCAAACCCAAGATCACATAAATTTCTTTTTGTGCTTTCTTCTAGAATTTGCATAGTTTTACATTTCCAGTTAATGCCTCCTTCACCATTAAAATTTTAAAAAAATGGGGGGGATTGCTGGCAAGATGGCTGAATAAAAAGAGCTCAAGACTTCAGCTCCCAGAGAGATCGATGCAGAAGTTGAGTGATTCCTGCACTACCAGCTGAGGTACACTGTTCCTCTTATTGGGACTGGTTGGACAGTGGGTGCAGCCCATGCAGCATGAGCTGAAGCAGGGTGGGGCATCACCTTACCCGGGAAGCTAAAGGGGTTGGGAAATTTTCTGATTTACCCAAGGGAAGCTGTGAGGGACTTAGCCACGTGCCCCGTTCCACATATGTGCCTCTCTTATGGTCTTCACAACCTGCAGACAGGAGACTCCCTTTGGTGCCTACTCCATAAGGGCTGTGCGTTTCAAGCACAAAATGGGGAGGCTGTTAGAACAAACACTGAGCTAGATGCAGGAGTGTTTTTTTTTGTTTGTTTGTTTTTGTCTTTTGGTTTCCTTGTTTGTTTTCCATACCGCAGTGGTGCCTGGAATGCTAAGGATACTGAACTGTTCACTCCCCTGGAAAGGGGTGCTGAGGCCAAGCAACCAAGTGGTCTGGCTCACTAGGTGCCACCCGCAACGAAGGCAAGCAAACTAAGGTTCACCGGCTTGAAATTCTCACTGTGAGCAAAGCAACAGTCTGAGATCAACCTGGGATACTCCAACTTGGTGGGGGAGGGGCATCCGCTATTGCTGAGACTTGAGTAGGCCCTTATACCCTCATAGTGTAAACAAAGCTGCAGGGAAGTTTGAACTAGTGAAGCCAACTGCAGCCCAGCAAGGCTCATGTGTTCAGATTGCCAGATTTTTCCTCTCTGGCTAGGGCATTTTTGTAAAAATGGCAGTAGCCCCAGTCAGGGGCTTATAAATAAATCCCCCCTCTCCCTGGGACAGAGCATCTGGGGGAAGGGGTAGCTATGGATGCAGCTTCAGCAGACTTCAACATCCCTGTCTGATGACTCTGAAGAAAGCAGCAGACCTCCCATCACAGCGTTCCAGCTCTGCTAATGGTCAGACTGTCTTCTCAAGTGGATCACTGACCTCTGTGTATTATGACTTGGAGACACCTCCCAGTAAGGGCTGACAGACACCTCATACAGCAGAGCACTGGCTGGCATCTTACAGGGGCCCCTTGGCGATGAAGCTTCCAGAGAAAAGAACAAGCAGCAAATAATGAGACAGAAAATTAACAAGGATATTCAGGACTTGAACTCAGCTGTGGACTGAGTAAACCTGATAGATATCTACAGAACTATCCACCAAAAATAAACAGAATCTACATTCTTCTAGGGGCCACATAACATGTATTCAAAATATGACCACATAATTAGAATTAAAACACTCCTTAGCAAATACAAAAAAAAAGGAAATTATAAAAAAGAGCCTCCTAGACCACAGTGCAATCAAATTAGAACCCAGGATTAAGAAACTCATTCAAAATCACAAAACTACATATAAATTGAACAGCCTGCTGCTAAATCCCTACTGGATAAATAACGAAATAGGCAGAAATAAAGATGTTCTTTGAAACCAATGAGAATGAAGACACAACATATCACAATCACTGGCACACATTTAAAGCAGTGTGTAGAGAAAAATTGATAGCACTAAATGCCCACAAGAGAAAGCAGGAAAGATCTAAAACTGACTCCTTAACGTCAAATTTAAAAGAACAAATGAAGCAACAGTAAATGAATTCAAAACCTAGCAGAAAACAAGAAATAACTAAGATCAGAGGAGAACTGAAGGAGACAGAGACGGAAAATCCTTTCAACAATCAATAAATCCATGAGCTGGTGTTTTGAAAATATCAACAAAATACATATACCACCAGCCAGAATAGTAAAGAAGATATAGGGAATATCACCAATGATCCCATAGAAATACAAACTACTGTCAGATAATACTATAAACAGCTCTATGCAAATAAACTTGAACATCAAAAAGAAATGGATAAATTCCTGGACACATACACCCTCCCAAGTGTAAACCAAGAAGAAGTTAAATCCATGAATAGACCATTAACAAGTTCTGAAATTGAGGCAGTAACTGATAGCCTACCAACAAGGAAAATCCAGGACCAGACAGATTCACAGCTGAATTCTACCAGAGATACAAAGAGGTAGCATTCCTTCTGATATTTTTACAAACCATACAAAAAGAGGAAATCCTCCATAAATCATTTTATGAGGCCAGCATCATCCTGATACTAAAACCCTGCAGAGACACACCAAAAAAGAAAATTTCAGGCCAGTATCCCTGATGAACATTGATGTGAAAATCCTCAATAAAATACTGACAAACTGAATCCATCAGCACATCATAAAGCTTATCCACCACGATCATGTCAGCTTTATCCCTGAAATGCAAAGATGGTTCAACATATGCAAATCAATAAACCTAATGCACCAAATAAACAGAACCAGTGACAAAAACCACATGATTATGTCAATAGATGCAGAAAAGGCATTCATCAAAATTCAACACCGCTTTTGATAAAAACTCTCAATAAAGTAGAAATGTACAGAATATATCTCAAAACAATAAGAGCTACTTATGCCAAACCCACTGCCAATATACTGATGGGCAAAAACTGGAAGAATTCCCTTTGAAAACTGGTACAAGACAAGGATGCACTCTCTCTCCACTCTTATTCAACCTAGTATTTGAAGCTTCTGGCCAGGGTAATCAGGGAAGAAAAAGAAATAAGGGACATTCAAATCACAAGCGAGGAAGTCAAATTGTCTCTGTTTGCAGATGACATGATTGTACACTTAGAAAACCCATCATCTCAGCATAAAATCTCCTTAAGCTGGTAAGCAACTTCAGCTAAGCCTCAGGATTCAAAATCAATGTGCAAAAATCACAAGCTTTCCTACACACAATAAGAGAGAACAGAAAGACAAATCATGAGTAAACTCCCATTCACAATTGCTACTAAGAGAATAAAATACCTCGGAATACAACTAACAAGGGATGTGAAGAACCTATTCAAGGAGAACTTCAAACCACAGCTGAAGGAAATAAGAGAGATAAAAAGAGATGAAAAATAAAAAGCTTCCATGCTCATGGATAGAAGAATCAATATTGGAAAAATGGCCATACTGCCCAAAGTAATTTATAGATTCAATGCTATCATCATCAAGCTATCATTAATTTTCTTCACATAATTGGAAAAAGAAAGCTACTTTGAAGTTCAAATGAAACCAAAAAAGAGCCTGCATAGACAAGACAATCTTAAGCAAAAAGAATGAATCTGGAGGCATCACGCTACCTGACTTCAAACTACATTACAAGGCCACAGTAAGCAAAACAGCATGGTACTTGTACCGAAACAGATATATAGACCAATAGAACAGAACAGTGGCCTCAGAAATAATACCACACATCTACTACCATGTGACATCTACTACCATGTGATATTTGACAATCTTGAAACAAGCAGGCAATGGGGAAAAGATTTTCCCTTTAATAAATGGTGTTGGGAAAACAGGCTAGCCATATGCAGATAACAGAAACTGGACCCCATCCTTTCACCTTATGCAAAGTCAACTAAAGATGGAATAAAGACTTAAATGTAAGAATTAAAATCATAAAATTCCTAGAAGAAAACCCAGGCAATACCATTCAGGACACAGGCATGTGCAAAGTCTTCATGTTTAAACACCAAAAGCCATGGCAATAAAAGCCAAAATTGACTAATAGGACCTAATTAAACAAAAGAGCTTCTGCACAGCAAAATAAACTATCATCAGTGTGAACAGACAACCTACAGAATGGGTGAAAAGTCTTGTAATCTGTCTATCTGAAAAAAGGCTAACATTCAGAATCTATAAGGAAATTAAACAAGTTTACAAGAAAAAAGCAAAAAACCTCATCAAACAGTGGGCAAAGGATATGAACAGACACTTCTCAAAAGAAGACTTTGATGCAGGCAACAAACATATGAACAAATGCTCATCATCCCTCATTATTAGAGAAATATAAATCAAAACCAAAGTGAGATACCACCTCATACCAGTTAGAATGGCGATCAGTACAAATTCAGAAAACAGCAGATGCTGAAGAGGACGTAGAGAAATAGAATGCTTTCACAGTGTGGGTGGGAATGTTAATTATTTAACTGTTGTAGAAGACAGTGTGGCGATTTTTCAAGGAGCTAGGACTAGAAAAACCACTGGACCCAGCAGTGCCATTGCTGGGCATATAACCAAAGTACTATAAATCATTCTACTATAAAGGCACACACACACATATGTTTATCACAGCTCTATTCACAGAAGCAAGGACTTGGGACCAACCCAAATGTGCATCAGTGATAGACTGGATAAAGAAAATGTGGCACATATACACCATGGAATAGTATGCAGCCATAAAAATGGATGAGTTCATGTCTTTTGCAGGGACATGAATGAAGCTGGAAACCATCATTCTCAGCAAACTATCACAGACATAGAAAATCAAACACCACGTGTTCTCATTTTTAAGTGGGAGTTGAACAATGAGAACATATGGACACAGGGAGAAAAACATCACCTGGTGGCAGGTGGTGGGATAGTGTAGAGATAACATTAGGGGAAATTTAGGTGATGAGTTGATGGGTGCGGCAAACCACCATGCCTTGGTTGTTTGCATTTCTCTAGTGATCAGTGATGATGAGCATTTATTCATATGTCTGTGGGCTGCACAAATGACTTATTTTGAGAAGTGTGAACAGACACTTTTTGAAAGACACACAGGTGGCCAACAAACTTATTTTTAAAAACTCAATATTATTGATAATTAAGGAAATGCAAATCGAAAGAAAAATGAGATACCATCTCATACCTGTCGGAATGGCTATCATCATAAAGTAAAAGAATAACTGATGCACTTTTGTCTGCTTTCAATTGTGGGGACACAGACTCTTGGGTGTCTCAGGAATTTTATGTGTAATCTCTCAGTCTGTTCACCCAGTGCCCATCCTTATCTAATTTTCCAAGGCTTTGTCCAGCTAAGACTTTAAAGTCAGAGCTTGTGCTATCTAACTGTAGAAAAGTTAATAATGTGATGTTTCTAAAGATAAAAAGAAATTCATTATTTGTTAGATAATTGATGAGATCACTCTCAATTGATACATCAAGGAAATAATAGTTAATGAAATGAAAGCCTGTGTTTGCAATCATAAGGAAAGAAAAAATCTCAGTCCTGAAGACAAATGACACAATTAATTTTTGAAATTACAGAAGAATTTATTAGACAGACTATTACTTTGATATCTTCCCTAACTGTGTGTTATTAGTTCCAGGTTTTGTTAGGTTTAAATACTTACATGTTATGTAGTCCGTCAGTATATGGACTATCATTTTTTAAATGACATTAAAAACGACTATCTGTCAATTTTTTAAATGACAAAAAAATGCTAGCACACATCATGACAATTCATATAAATATTTGTAAATCTCCTTAGCGGTACAGTGTAAAGGAAATAAAGTAAGCTTAGATATTTAAGCAGATGATTTATTAATATTTAAATATTGAAATGCTGTGAAGGTATGTAATTATGTCACAGTTTTGGTATGGGACTTGGGGCATTTGTTTATCCATGTACCCCATTAACTTAATGACTTCCCTTATTACTTCCTGCTGGATGATAACTTTTGGGCCCATGGAGGCTGAAGGACAAACTGTTACCTTTATTGGAAACTCTAGTCCAGCAGGAAAGTTTTCATTTCAGAATATTATTTCCTGGCAGATAGTTTCTTTTCTCATCTAAGGAAACTTCAGGAGTATTGTTACCTTAGCTGCTCCTCAGGTGGAGATGGACAGGACTAATTTTACCACACAGAATCACATGGCTATGAGAAAAGCTAATCTATGAAACACTTGATGGAATAAAACTTATATATTTTACTGTTCATCTTTTTATGTGCTTGTTTTCCATAGGCATGTCTTTCTGCTGAAGTGTGTGTTCAACTATTTCTCAATTTTGTAATTGGATTGTTTGTCATTTGTGTTGTGTAAGTATGTGAGTTCTTCATATATTGTGGATAACAGTCTGTTGTCACATACATAACATACAAATCTTCCTTTCTGTAACATGTCTTTTCACTTTCTTGATAGTATCTTTTGATGCACAAAAATGTTAATTTTCAGAAAATTCTTTAGTTGCCTGTGCTTTTGGTATCAGATCTAAGAACCCACTGCTAAATCCAAGGTTATGAAGATTAATCCCTATGTTTTCTTCTACAGTTTATGTTTTTACCTCTAATATATAGGCTTTGAACTATTTTGAGTTAATTTTATTTGTATTGTGAGAAAATAGAACAATTTCTTTGTTTGCGGTAGTCAGTTGTATCACACAATTTGTTCTATTTACTGATTTTGGCTACATGTCAAAAATCAATTGACCATAGAGGTATTGTTGGATTTAAAATTCCGTTCCATTGATCTCTGTGTGTGTACTTATGCCACTATTATGCTGTTTTGATTACTGCTGCTTATTGGTAGTATTTGAAATTGAGAAATGTGAGCCTCCAAGTTGGTTTTTGTTTTCAAGAACAATTTGGCTATTCAGGATCCCTTGAAATTTATATGAATGTTACAATTGTCTTGCCCATTTCTACCAAAAGGATTTTGGTGTTTTCACAGGAATCCCAGTAAATTTATAGATTGCTTTGTGCAGTATTGTCACATAAAAAATCATCTTCTAATCCAGAAACATTGAGCATCTTTACATTTATTTAGGGTTTCTGGAATTTATTTCAGCAGTATTTTGTAATTTTTCATATCTAATTTTTCCACCTTGGTTAAATTTAGTCTTGAAAACAATATGATCATTGATTTTTTGTTGTTGCTTTCCTGTTGCCCAGGTGGCAAGGTGGTTGTGCAGTCATAGCTCACTGCAGCTTCAAACAGTTTGGCTTGAGCAATCACCCCACCTTGGCCTCCCAAAGTACTGGAATTACAGTTGTAAGCCACCACTCTCAGCCTGTTGTTTTTTTTTTTGTTGTTGTTGTTTTTCTTTATGTTTTGAAAGTTGAAAAAGATGATTTGCTTTATAATCAGTGAAAATATAGTACTTTGAGTTTCCCAGAAGGCCTAATGCACAAGAACTCTAAGTTGCATAGTTGACTTATTGACCATCTTGGTAAAGTTTAATTACTTCTTAAGAAAGTGTACCTGGTAATCTTCCAAAATCGTCTTTAAATAAACTTCTTAAATTGTAACAATAAAATAATGGCAGGACACATTTAAACAATACTGAAGTTTATCAAAGGGCTTAAGAAATTTCAACGCATATTTTTTCTTTCTTTCTTTCTTTCTTTCTTTCTTTCTTTCTTTCTTTCTTTCTTTCTTTCTTTCTTTCTCTCTTTCACTCTTTCTCTTTCTCTCTTTCTCTCTTTCTTCCTTTCTTTCTTTCTTGACAGTGTCTCATTTTTTTGTCAAAGATGGACTGCAATTGTTCCATCATGGCTCACTGCAGTCTGCAGCCTCTCAATCCTGGGCTCCTTTGATCTTTCTGCCTTAGCCTCAACCAGAATACCTGGCTAATTTTTTTTTTTTTTTTTGGAGACAATGTTTTGCCATGTTGCCTGGGTTCACCTCAAACCTCTGGGCTCAAGTCATGTGCCTGCCTTGACTTATAGGCATTAATAAAACATTTATTATGTTAGGGTCAGTAAGAGTAAGCCAATGTTTTGGCAAAGTTTTGAACATACATATAATGCAATTATTTGCATAACTCCAGTAATGCTATTGACAGCTACAACATCAAAATAGTTTCATTAACAAACAACTAAATACATAAAAACACTTAGCCCAATTGTTTAACTGTAGGACATGTTTATTTTTTCTAGTTTTCAGCATTTTCTAGATCATTGTTAATTTTAAAAGTCTTATCCATAGGTAAAGAAAACCACCTATGAACTACCATGTTTATTTCTCAGTTTGTGAAAATGTCCTTAATTTGTTGACATTGCAAACAAATTTCAACTCTGTTATGAAAAGTACAGAAGACAACCTTGTTAGCAATTAATTTTATAGTTACATTGCATACAGGGAATGTGCTATCTGCTAAAAAATACAAACTCAACTACAGGTCTTAAACACTTAAAAGAGTTACCAGTTGATTATAATTTATTTTATTATATCAGTCTATTGTATTTATAAACAATCAATTGTATTTACATACAATCAAGAAAGTTCAAAGCCATCAGAAGTTCTAGTGTAGTTTCAGGTGAAATGGGAATTTAAAAATCCCTGTGGAGCTGTGGATGTACTAATATGTGTAGGTAAAATATGTGCACTCTCCTTGCAGTACTTTTGAAGGGATGTCTCTCACATTGACCTCAATGATTTTCTTCTCAGCAAAATTACTTGGGCCACTCAACAAGGGTTTCATTATTGCTGATATTTGTGCATGTTCTTTTATAAAAAAATTATGACTCAAAAGATATTTATATGACATCATGGGGTTAGGGCTTTGAAAAGCACTGGAAGTTTTCTCTTCTTCATCTGTTACGTTTTAAAGTAATTCTACTTTGATTTCTCAGAAACTTGAACAGTTTCTTGTTAGACCCACAGCCACTGCAGCCAGGTCCCAATGTAGCAGCACAGCCTCAACTCCAAGGCTGTCCCTCCCCCAGCTGCCTGCATCTGTGGCTTCCAGGGCAGTGGGAAAGGTTTCACCTTTCTGTTTTTTTGAGAAATGAAATTGTTGTCTTAATTTCACTTTTATGTGGTTTAATGCTAGTGAATAGAAATAGATTTTGTGGCCAGGTGCAATGGCTTATGCCTGTAATCTCAGCACTTAAGGAAGCCAAGGTGGGCACATCACCTGAGGTCAGGAGTTGGAGACCAGCCTGACAGCATGGAGAAATCCAGTCTCTAGTAGAAACACAAAATTAGCCGGGCTTGGTAGGGCCTGTCTGAATCCCAGATACTCAGGAGGCTGATGTGAGAGAACCGCTAGAACCCAGGAGATGGAATTCGTGGTGAGCGAGATAGTGCTCTTGGACTCCAGCGTAGGTAATGAGAGCAAAACGCCATCAAAAAGAAAATATTTTTTGTGTTGATATTTTGTGCTGTTATTTTGCTTAATTTGTTTGCTAGATTTCATAATTTCTGGTTGGTTCCTCACGGTTTTCTGTGTATGAGATCTGTCAGTAGTTTTACTTTTCTCTTTTACATATGAATAGCTGTGTGTGTGTGTGTGTGTGTGTGTGTGTGTGTACATATATATACTTGTTCCACTGAAACTTCTAGTACAGGGTTTAATACGGTTGAGCATCAGTGATGTGTTCCTCATCTGAAAGCTTTGGTTCCCAAAAATTTAGATGATGATTGTTATGAGTTTTTCATAAAGACATTTTATCATGTGAAAAAAATGTGAACCACATTTTATTGGATTTTTAATTGTTAAATATGTTTTAATTGTTAAATATGTTAAATATGTTGACTGTCTTTAAGTACTTTTGGTAAAAGTTGAGACAAACGTGGTGTATTCCATCATTTGATTTACATAATATATTGAAAAGGGATGGCATTAGAATGGTAAAAAAACAATTGCTTTTCTGAGAAAAGATCTTAAACATTGTGGTGTATAATGTCTTCTCAATGTAACAAATTCCATGTACTGTTATTTGATTAAACATTATGATGTCTATAATTATCAGATTTAGTAACATTTAGTTTTTTCTCCTAGTGATATCGTAAGTTTAATTCAATACTGATTTAGGGTTAGAAAGGGGTATGATAACTTCTTGTACTCTTATGGGTATTAAGGGTTAGAGATTAGTGTCATAGAGGACGTATTTACAGTTTTTTAAGCATAATGGGGTAACCTTAAGGATAGGATAGAAATGGAGGATTATGATACGGTTTACAATTGCAGAAAAGTTCAGGATTAGATTAAGAGTTAGGGCTGGACCTGAGATAAGATTTAGTGCTACCGGAGGATTAGGGTTGGAGTTACAGTTACCATTAGGTTTATGGGTTAGGTTTACGGTTGAGTTTAGGGTTAGGGTTCATAATCAGGGTTAGAGTTTAGGTTTGGGGTTGTGTTATGCTTAGGTTTAGGGTAAAAAAAATAGGCTTACATTTAAAAGTTAGGAATTATGGTCTTGACCAGGGTTAGGGTTAGTTTTAAGGGTTAGCTTGAGGGTAAAGTTTAGAGCATTAGTGTTGGGTTTCCGTGTTTGGGTTAGTGTTTAGCATTAGGATACGGCTAGGGTTATGTTTAGGGTTAGGATTCAGGATTCAGGGTTAGGGTTTAGGGTTACTGTTAAGGTTAGTGTTCAACATTTATGGTTAGATGTTAGTGTTAGTGTTGGGCATACAGTTAGGGCTTTGTATTTAGGTTTAGCATGACTGTTAGGGCTGGGTTTGTATTGAGGTTGAGGTTGGTGGTCACGATTAAGGTTGTTAGTATTAGTATTAAGATTTTTCAAGAGTTAGGGGCAAAGATTAGGTTTAGGTTTAGGGTTTAGGTTTAATTAGAGTTACAAGGCTTTGTTTAGGGCTGGGGCTACTGTTAAGATTTAGGGTTTATGACTTAGGGTTAAGGTTATGATTAGGTTCAGTGTTTAGTGTAAGAGTTATTTTTAGGTTTAGTGCCAAGGTTAAGATTATATTAGAATTATGTTAGCTTTACTGTTAGGATAAGGGCATTAGGTGTAGTGTTTAGTGTGAGTGTTAGAGTTATGGAATGTAGTTAAAATTACCTTCAGTGTTTTTGGGATTTAGGGTTTTATAGTTAGAATTAGGTTTAGTTGTAGGTGGTAGTGTAAGGGTTTGCATTAGGGTTTGGTTTAAGGTAAGGTTTAGGATTCAGGATGAGGATGAAAACTAGGGTAAGTGTTATGTTCAGTGTTAGGGTTATGATTAAAAGGTTTGGTTTAGAGTTAAAATTTAGGGTTAGGGTTTAGTGTTCATTTATGGTTTAACACTGGGTACCTGCTTGTGGTTCAGTTAGGGTTAAGATGATGGTTAAATTGTTCATTTAAAGATTAGGATTAGGGTTAGTGTTAGGGTTAGAGTAGGGCTTGGGATTAGGTGTTAGTGTTAGAGTTAGGGTTTACGGTTTGGCTAATGTTTGGGATATTGTTTAGGGTTAGTGTTATAATTAGGGTTAGGATTTGGGCTTAGAATTATCTCCTTAGTGTAAGGTAAGGTTTATGTTTACGTTTGGTGTTGGTGTTCATGTAGGGGCAGAGTTAAGTTAAGGGTAAAATGGTTAGGATTAGTGGTAAGGGTTATGTTTAGTGTTAGGGTTAGGGTTAGGCTTACTGGTAGGGCATACATTTGGTTTTGGTGTTAGGGTTGAAGTTAGGGTTAGAATTTGGGGTAAGGATTAGGAATAGGGTTTCAGTTAGTGTTAGGATTTAGGATTAATGTTAGGGATTAGCATCAGTGTTAGTGTTACAGTTAGGGTCTAAGGTTTAGTTTAGCATTTAGGATTAGGCTCTTGGTTTATGGTTAGGTTTATGGGTTATGATTAGAGTTTATAGTTTAGGATTAGGATTATGTTTAGGTTTTAGGCTTTAGGTTTACAGTTATCATTTAGACTTATTTTTAGTGATAGGTTTAGTGTTAGGTTAGTTTTAGTGTTAAAGTTTGAGTTTTATGCTTTACAGTTAGGATTGGTGTTATTAGTAGGGTTATGTATTGAGCTTATGGTTAGGTTCACTTCTTCAGTGTTTCATTGTTAGCACTAGGATTACTTATAAAAATAAGAGATTGGCTTTGGGTTAAGGTTTCAAGGTTAGTTTTAGGGTTAAGTGTTAGAGTTAGTATTTAGGTTAAGGATTAAATTTAGATTATCAGAGTAAGTTTTAGGTTTAGGATTAGAGGGTATGGGTTAAAATTCAGGGTTAGGGTTAGCTTCAGGATATAGAATTAGCATTAAGGGTTAGTGTCAGTGTTAGTGTTAGAGTTCGAGTTTAGTGTTAGTGTTTGTGTTTTCACTGGGCATTTGGTTGTGGGTCTGTTGGTGTTATAGATAGGGCACAGTGTTTGAATTAGGATTAAGTTTAGAATTATTGTTTAATGTTATTGTTATGGTTAGGGTAGGTATAGTTTATGCTTTAGGTTATAGTTATGGTTAGTGTTTAAATTTATATTAAGCAGTTAAGGTTATGTTTAGTATTATGATTACAGTCAGCATCACAATTATTGGTTAGAATTAGTGTTAGGGTTGGCATTAGGGTACAGATTGGGGTTAAACAATAGGGCTACAGTTTATGTTAGTACTTAGGCTTAGGGTTAAGGGTTAGGGTTAGGTGTAGGGTTAGGTTTGGGCTAAAGATTAATGTTAGGATTAGGGTTTGGGTTTTATGTAACAGCTAGGTTTAGGTTTGGGGTAGATGTAGGCTTAGGGTTGTAATAAGAATTTTAGGTTTTAGGTTAGAAATTAGTATCAGACTTAATGTGAGTGTTATGTTCATGTTCAGAAGGCAGGTTTCAGAGGTAGAAGTCAGGATTATGTGATAGGGGTTGTGGTTAGTTGTTAGGGGCTTTTAAAGTTTGGAGATATGGTTTTTTGTTTATGGTAAGTGTTTTTGTCTTAGGGTTAGGGTTTTGGGATTAGGGTTTTAGACAGTGTTTAAGTTCAGGTTTATGTAATGGTTGGGGTACCTTTGTGTTAGGGTTATTATCAAGGTCAGGGTCAAATTCAGGTTTAGCAGTTAGAGTGGGATTTTGAGTTGGGATTTCACTTGGGGTTTTGGTTTTAGTGAGTAGTTAGGCATAGGGTTGATGTTGGCATCAAGTTTGTGGCTTAGGGCTGCTGTTAGTGTTAGGGATTCTGGGTTATGATTAGGGAGAGGGGTGGGTCAAAGTTAATGTGATGATTAATTACAGGGTTAGAAAAGGCACTGGGCAGCTGGGTACTGTATTATGTCATCACTGTGGTTTGCAGAAGGGAGGACTGAACATTGCACCCAGAACTTATTGGATCTGAGATCAGGGACATCTTAATTGCTCATTGTACAGCCTAGTGGACTTGGAGCAGGAAGGAAGCTGCCTTCTGAGGCCACAGCTTTTCTAAATGTCAATCAAGAGCCGACCAAATCCACAGTAGCTTGTTTTTGAGAGTGACAAATGTTTCAAAGTAGTCTCTGGAAGGCCCAAAGGAAGGGAACTTAGTGACAGCTTACACCACACAAACATTTTGGTAAACCTTAGAGGTAATAGTGGAAATAATTAAATGCTGGTGGCCAAGCACTCTGTGTACCAGCCACAAGTGGAGACTAACTTGGCACATTCTCCTGCACCAGCAGAAGAAAGCAACTTGCAGACTCTGACTCCAGTCTCTGGTGCAGGGGTTGTGTGAGATCTGGAATGACAGCAGAATTTAAAATCAGCTGAATTCCAACTTGTTTGGTCTATTAAATCTTGGAAGGGCTGTTGAGATTGATGGTTGTGGCAGTTCCTTTCTCAAAGAGGGAGACTGAGTCCCATGAGTGGTGATCCTGGTTCCTGTGGCCTGGGATGACTGCACTAAATGTTGTGTCCACTTCTGTACTTTACATTCTTTGTTGTAACACATATCAGCTGTGCTCCTCCCTCCAGGCCTCTGTCCATTAGGGGGCAGGCTCCCAGGCCATGAGGTTCTCCTGTGTCTGGGAGCTGAGACCAGGTTGTCTCCAGGGAGGTGCCCAGTGAGGACTGAATGATAGAGGACCTATGACAAGAGAGGGCTCAGTCCCCCAAATCACTAATCAGCTCTCCTTCCTGAAACACATAGACTGTGAGAAAATTTACACTACATAAATGGGCTCACTTTTCCTTTCACCACTGGAGCTGAGACCGGGCAAAGGCTGCAACAGCCAGTATGTCCCCTGGCACTGACCTATCCTCTCCACATGGCTGTCCTGACCCTTTTTCTTACTCCTCCAACTCTTATGCCTCCTGCCCATTTTAACTTCGGTGAAATGCAAGTCAAAACCACAGGAAGATACCACTTCACATCCATTATAATTGCAAAAAACAAACAAACAAAAAGGTAACAATTGAAATGGTTGAAATGGAAGGGAAAATATGAAAGTAAAATGCTACAGCTGCTGTGGAAAATAGTTTGGTAGTTCATCAAAGGCTAAATATGTAATTACCATAGAACCAACAAAATCCACTCCAAGCTATACACACAAAATGTAAAACAGATATTCAAACAAAAACGTGCATACATATGTTCATAGCAGCATGCACAGTAACTAAAATCTGGAAACAAACCAAATAAATGTCCACCAACAAAAAATTAGCGGTGAAATATCGTATGTCCATACAATGGCATAATACTCAGCTGTAAAAAGGATTACAATATTAATGCTACAATGTGAAGAAAATTCAAAATCATTTTGGTTTAAGAAGCTGAACACAAAACTCACATACTGCATGATTTTATTTATATAAATATTTAGAATAAATAAATCTATAGAGCTAAAAAGCAGATTACTGGTTGCTAGGTATCAGAAAGAGGAGAGATTGGATATTAGCTCCTTAATAGGTAGGGTAATTCTTTTTAGGATAATGAAAATAATTTGGAACTAAAAGGTGATAGTTGCACACAAATGTGCATGTACTAAGGATTACTAAAGAATTCATTAAGAAACAGTTAATTTTATATTATGTGAAGGAATTTCACCTCACTAAAAAGACAAAATTTCTTCCTCAGCATTCTCTCAGCAATCTGAGCTCTCTTTCCACAGAGTGCTCTTAGCATGGGGTTCTGGTCCCTCCACAGTCCAGAACTGTCTCGGCCAGTACAGCCACATACTAAGCACGTACTCCAGTCACACTGTCCACCAGCTCCTTGACTTGTTACTAGTAGAAGGTATCTTAGTTACTGGCATCAAATCTATCATGGTCTGCACTAACCTCAACTCTTGCCTCCTCACAAGAAAGAATTTGACTGAGGGGAATAAAGTAGCAAAAGAGGCTGAGAAAAGTTTCACAGCAAACATGGATGCTTACTTAAAATTTTTAGAGTTAGAAAAAATGGAAAGTGCACTTGGAAAAGATCCAAATGGGTGACTTGAATATATACTATATATATATGACTTGCAAATATTTTGTCCCATGCTGTTAGATTTCTTTCCACTATACTGTGTCCTTTGATGCACAAAAGTGTTTAGTGTTGATGAAGTTCAATTGATCTATTTTTTATTTTGTGTTCATTCTTCAATATAGCTATGAAATCATTTACAAATCCACAGCCAATAAGCACAAGAAAAGATGTTCAAAATCACTAGCCACTTAATACATGAATACCTAAACCACAATGAGATAACCACTTTATCTCCATTAGAATGTCTATTTTTTTTTAAGGAAAAGTTTGAGACTGTGGATAAATTGGAACCCTTATCCACTGCTGAAGAGATTGTGAAATGGTGGTGATGGTTGCACAATGTGAGCATAGTTAATGCCACTGAACTATACACTCAATAATGTTTGGAGTGGTAAATTTTTTATGTATGTTTTTCCACATACAACAAAAGCTTCCTCAGAAGTCCTCCTAATAGTTCCATGTGTGATGAAAGAAGACAATTCTCTGTTATCATGAGTAGAATCCTATTTATTTATTCATGCTGGTATACACACTCCTAGCTCTTCTACACGAACAGCATGATCTCATGAAGCATAATGAGTCCCTTCTCACCTGGCCCATTTGTGCTTTTTTCCATCATTCCATTCTGCTAATCAACTCACTATCTACCCGCTACAAACCACTGTAAATTACAGGTCTGTTTACTGTCTCTGTAGACATTTCTTCTCTGTTATGTAATAGAAATGAAATCATACAGTATGTCATCGCTTCAGACCAGCTTTTATCACTTAGCTTTATGTATGCCTGATACATCCATGGCTTTGCATGGCTTCATAAATCATTCCTTTCTTTTGATGAATAGTATTTCCTTTTATGAATTTACCTGGCCTGGTTAATATTGAAGGGCATCCTGATTCCTTAAAGTATTTGGCCATTGTCAAGAGAGCAGTTACACATAAATGCCTGTGGTTATTGTTTAGGGACGAGTTTCCAAATCAGTTGTCTAAATACCTAGTGTGCAATTGTTAGCCTATATGATGAGACCATGTTTACCGTTGGAAAAAAACTGCCAAACTGGCAGAAGAAAACAATCATATTTTAATGTTGCTATACAAATATGCATTCCATCAGTAATGAATGAGTTTTTCTGCTGCAGTTTTGATTATATTTAAAAAGAAATTCAGACATACTATAGCTGTTAGTGCTCTCACTCTTAGTTTAATTTGCCTTCCCTGGATGACAATTGTTGTTGAGTATTATTTTGTAATTGTTTGTTCATTAATCTATGATTGCTGCCAAAAAGCATCTATGTATTGTGCCACAGAAAACCAATTGTAAAAAACGTACTGTAAGCTCTACTTGGTAAAAACTAAGAAAATTATGCGAGTACTCAAGAGTCATTTATCCTGCTATTTTTTTCTAATCTTATAGTTACTAAATAAAATAGTGAACTGTAGCTAATAAGACATTGTGGTGTATTAGTTTGACGCTTTGCTGTTTAGAGATCACTTTCAATCAAGTGATTTTTTCATGGATGTCAACGGAGCAACAGGAATTTCTAGAGTACAAACTGTTTCTGTTGGAATTCACAAAAAGCTCCATTTCAATTTCAGTACATATTTTGCAATGCTGAATCATTGACAAAGGTTAGAACTATGAAGTTTCTGGTTCTTAAATCTGCTTCTGCAAAGTAAGCCAAAATTTGAAATCACATTTGTTTGGTCTGTTAGCTTTTCATCCTTCACAAAACAGTCCACTACATCAGAATCAATTGGAAGACTGAGATTCATTCAATAATAGTTTACTGTTATTCTTTTTTGCACCTAGAAATCACAAGTAAAATGTCTGATAATTTCAGCAGTACACATTTTAAATAATAAAAGACAGAAAGAATGACAGATGAAATTAATTCCATGAATTTATAATAACTTGCTATTTGGTTTTTCTTACTACTCTTACTGTGTTATCTGTCTTGAGAACATCAAAATAATAATGCATTGTAATAAGTATTCCAAAATAACTGCAAAAAAAAAAACAATTGAATCCTTTTTTTTTTTTTTTTTTTTTTTTTTTTTTTTTTGGTGGAGTCTCACTCTGTTCCCACTGCTTGGCTGGAGTGGTATGATCTCAGCTCTGGTAACCTCAGCTTCCCAGGTTCACACAATTATCCTGTCTCAGCCTCCTGAGTATCTGGGATTACAGGAGCCCACCACCACTCCTGTTTAATTTTTCATATTTTTATTAGAGAGCTTTTTTCACCATGTTGACCAGGTTGGTCTCAAACACCTGACCTAAGTACACCCACGTGGCTCAGCCTCCCAAAGTGCTGGGATTACAGGTGTGAGCCACCATGCCTGGCCAACTCAATTATTTTATCTCTTTAGGGAGACAAGTGTAGGTTGAAAACTGTCTTTTCTAATACTTATCAGTGCCTCAAAATTGTTACGTTAAAAATAAAACTTCCAACCAAAGTATACTTATTGGCATCCAGAATTTTAAGAAAAGCTGAGAAATAAAACATCCAGCTTCTGGCTGTTTCCTGGAGAGCATGCCCAATGTCTGGGGAACCCTTGGACCCTGGAGGAAAGGTAGGGCTGGGGTAAGTGGTCTTTGGAGGCACTGCCACTCTGGCAGCCACTTTGGCTCCTCAGGAAATGACTTGGAGCCTCAGGCTTCAGCAGAAATAACAGGGGCTCAGTGAGCAGTATTTTGGGTGTCTGTTTTCCATCTCCATGTCTTCTTTGGTGAGGTATGTATTCAGGTCTTTATCAATTAATTGGGTCATCTTACTTCTTTGTATATTTTGCATAAAAGTGACTTTTCAGATGTGTTTCCTAAATTTTTCTCTGCCTGCGGCTTGTATTTTTGTTTCCTTAGCCTGATCATATTTTTTGTTTCATTTTTTCTTTTTTTTTTTTTTTTCTTTTTTTGAGATGAAGTCTCAATGTCAACTAGGCTGTGGTGCAAAGGTGTGATTTTAACCCAGTGCAACCTATGTCTCCTGGGTTCAAGGGAGTCTTCTGCCTCAGCTTCCTGAATAGCTTGGATTACATGAGCCTACCAACAAGCCCACGTTTTTTTTTTTTTTTTTTTTTTTGTATTTTTAGTAGTGACAGTGTGATAATCAGTTACTATCGGATGAAACGAATGGGGGTGAATTCAGAAATGAAGACAAAGACCAAAAAGATCTGTTCTAAAACATGGGTTAGAGGGCTTATTGCTTCTAGTGAGCAAAGGCCCTGAGCTTCTACAGGACTTTGTATTTATTAGTCAGAATCAGCAGGGAGGAAAGGCAATTGTTGTTCAGCTGCTTGATTTATCACAGGCTGACATAATTGCTTTCTTTGTACTACGGCCTTCAAATGTTCCTACATGTAACAACAAGGAATATTGCACTTAAGGAATGACTGCCCTCAGCATTCCTTCTGGTACCAGACGTGGTGTGTCAGTTTGCCAATGTCTTGCTTTCATGAAAACAGTCTGCTTATAGCCCCTCCAGTCATTACTGAGTTGGTCATGACCCTCATTCTTTTGGCCTCCAACATCTTTTCCTTTTTGTTTTTGCATTAGTTGAGTAAAGGCAATTGCAGGCTATGCAGCTCTCAATTGCTGTTTGGTGGTCCAGCTGATTTTAAAGACAAACAACATAAAATAGAGACATAATAACATTACTCTGATAACCACAAAAAAGATATTGAGGTGTTGTTTCAAGGAGGTCCAAAGGTTAAGGCTCTGTAAACCTTGCTGAAATTCTGCCCAAATTTTTAAAGATGGCTGAAATGCTTCAGCATGCTTATTCAAGTTAAGGATTTTACTTTGTAAATCATTAAAATCAAAAGTAACATTGGATGTGAAAACCCCCTGTAAATGGGCCTTTACAAGTTTCCATGGATATTTCTTTTGGTTTTATTCCAAATTGGTTACACAAATATGATTTTGGTTAAAATTACACTGCAATTGCTGATGCAACTACAAGCTTTGTACTTGTTTTCGGAGCCACAGAACTGTGGTCTTTAACATTGGTACTTCCATTGTATCTCGGTGTTAAGTTTAATTTTAAACACCTATGCCCAGTCAGCTGTACACATCCAATTTTCTACATATTGAGCTGTTTGGATGGAGCTGTGCATTGCTACTAAGGACCCCACAACAAATGTTATTAATATACCTAAGGAGACTTTCACAGAAATTATCATGCCTAAGGCTCTACAAGCACAATGCATAAGCTGAGTAAGAAAAAGGTTTACAAAATGTAAACCAGAGGTGGCCACCCAAATCTCAGACAGATTTACAGGAATCCATAATCTTGGATTGTGACCTAGCATTATTAAGGGGGATATGCTGTATGTTTGTATTGTGCTATGATTAACGGAATGATACAGTTGACAGGAATCATAAGTCAATTGGGCATCATTTACCTGGACTTTTTTTTTTTTTTCTGCTAGAAAAACAAAAGTTTTAAAAACACAAATTGTAAATTGGTAATATTTTCTACCAAAGTAACATTAAAACTGTGTTGAGCACAATTCCTAAAATTAAATAGTGTTCTGACACAAATGCTGCCATTCATAAAGGGAGTGCTGCCTTCCCTATTGACTCCTGAATTGGACTTCTCTTTCCTTGATAATGCCATTGAGGCAAAGATGGGCTCAAGCCTCTTCCATGCCAAGCAAGCTATGCTGCAGATTGGGATTGAATTCCAGTGCAATGTAGTGAAGAGTTGCTAAAGTTTCTTCACCAGTGTCATCGAAGTTCTCACAACGAGGTCGGATTCTCATCTCTCCCATCTAAATGACCACAGGGTCCCCAGTCAATAATGTCTCCCACTAGCATGGACTGTTAGTCTAGCTAGGGTGCCAAGACACTGGGTCCAATGATGGGGGTAAGAATTATCAAAGGAAGCCCATTCTGTATAATTAATACAACTTGGGTGATGGGGCTGGGAGTGGTTATTAGCTATAACAGTAATGTTAATAGAGCTAAGGCCTAATAAGTACATAATTTTTCCATAGTAACTCAACCATGCTTGGGATTAAATTGCAAGACAACTGCAGTTGAGTGATGTACTCTGGGTGACACATAAAAGAAGTCCCTGCAATGGAGCAGTATAATTGATAATCATTGTTCTGAGAGTCTAATTGTTCTGTGTCAGGGGAGTTTGGTATCCTTGTTCCCACACTCCATGATCATGATAGATCACAGGGGGACTGTCAATCCAAATTACAGTCCATAATACTCAGGGATTGGAAACATACGTCCAATATGTTTTTGTCTCTGCACAGGGAAAACAAACTGCACAGGGTGTTACAGGCAGCATGGCCATAAACGTGAAGTCAGGGGTTTTTACCTGAACTTGGCACTCCAGCACTTTCAGCTGGCTCATGGCTTGTAATGGAGGAGCCGCATCCATAGTTGGGATAAATGGCTCTCTCCAGTCTCCCTTTCCATGGTCACAAACACCTTGAGGGCACCCACACATTTTATCCATCTCCTGCAAAAACACAAGCATTCCCTCCTCCTTACATTAGTAAATCTACTGAGCCTGTCCATCATCCTTCTTCTGGGTATTTCATACTACCTTTCAGTATACTCTCCTTTTTCCCTCTAACATTTACCAATGTCCTTCTGCTACAGTCTTACTATCTGTGACAAAAGTCAAAAAATTTAAAGCAAATAAATTTGAAAAAATTAAAGTAAATAAGTAAAAGTAAACATAATTTTGTTTGAGGTGGTATCTGGTCTCTTATTTTTGCTTTCTGTTTTTCCAGCACATGTTGTAATGTTTGATTTGCCCACTGTATAATTCCTTGTCCTTGAGGGTTGTAAGGAATTCCTGATTCATGAGTGATTGAACGTAGCTATAGTTTTTTTTTTTTTAAATGATAACTAACATAAGCGAGTCCATTATCAGTTTTTTATTTGTTTGGGGACCCCATATGAGCAAATGACAGACAATGCCATTGTACATGACCAGCTCTCTGATCTGTTTTGCATGTAGCATTCAGCAAATGAGAATAAGTGTCTACAATCACATGAACAAAGGAGAGCTTGCCAATGGCAGCCTCATGAGTAGCATCCATCTGTCAGATTTCGTTTGGAGCTAAGCCTCATGGGTTATAGCCTTCTATAGATGCGACTCCAGGTACATGCTGGAAGATAGGACAGGCTTACGCAGGCTGCAGCCTGGCTGTGAGGCAAATCAAACACACAAATAAAGGCCGAGGGGTTTTGAAGCAGTAATGTATGAGAAGCTTGAGCTTGTTGAAATGCAGAACAAATCAATCTATCTGCTCTATCATTACCTAGAAATAGTGTAGAGAGTTGTGTGGGAAAGCAAATATGAGAAATATAAAAAGGAGCAGCACAAGAGCAAAGGGCTTGTTGAAGTCTTAGAAACAAGTTAAACAGCTCTGGTTCTAGGATGCCTTAAATAGTGGCAATCTCAATGTGACTGGCTACATTACAACATAGGCTGAATCATAGACAGTGTTAATAGGAGATGAAGCAGTGAGTTGTAAAACCTGAATAACTGCCATTAGTTTTGAGCGTTGAGCTGAAACTCCAGGGATTTTTATTCTTTGAATAGGATTAGGCCCATAAGTAGCGGTGCGACCTTTGAAAGAGCCATCAGTAAAATAGGTCTGGCTGCCTGAAATGTGTTTTTGATGAGTAATCACAGGGAAGATGAAAGGTTGAACTTTTAAAATTGCTAATTTTTTTCTGATGGATAATATTTATCTATTATTCCTACAAAATCTGCAAGAGCAATTTGCCACACAGTCAACATGTCCCATGCTGCAGCCTGTTGTTGGGAATCCAATTTTTTTCCCTTCATACTTTTAGACTTGCTCTAAAAGGAGAACAATATTTTTTTTCTGGATCATATCTCTTAAACATTTTGCATGTATGCCTACCCATTGTTATAAGTTGAGTAATTAAAGAAAGATAAACTTGCAGATACTTTACAGTCTGATTGAATTTTTTTAAAAAAGCCATTCTATTACAATTACAGATTTTTCTATGAACTGGTCTAAAAGTTCTGCTGGAGAATTGGGGGTAGAAAGAATAAAGAGAACCAAAGGTTTTGTGGCTGTAGTGGAGAGGTGGGTGTTTGCTGAAGCATTTGCTCTACAAGCTGTAAGTTAGTAAGTTGCCAAGGAGAATATAATGAATAATCTCCATGGAGTGTCTGAGTGTTTGAGTTGATAAGTTTCAATTAACACCTCGCATTGGACACAGCCAATTTATATCCCCTAATAATTTTTGGAAATCATTCAAGGTTTGTAATCTCACCCTATGGAGGACTAATTTCTGAGGTCAAACATTTATTTCAGTAACAGTAGCACCTAAGTATTGGTATTGGGAGATTGTTTCTACCTTTTCTTGAGCTATTTTGAGATTCCATTTAGGCAAAGCCTGTTTTGTTTCTCTGAACAATTGGTGTTAATTGTTCCGTAGGAGCAATCAAAAGAATGTCATCCACATAATGAATGATGAAGGCAGTAGGAAATATATTCTGAGGCTCCTTTAATGACTGTGCTACAAAATGCTGACATAGCATGGGAATGGTGAGCATGCTTTCGGGTAAAACTTTCCACTGGTAATGAGAGACAGGCTCTTTTTGATTGCTAGAAGGCACAGAGAAAACAAATCAAGACTTATCCATCTCATGTAAGAATATAGTCAGGAAAGAATTTGTAAGATCTACCGCTACGAGAGGCCAGTCCCTTGGAATGGCTGCCAGGAATGGCAGACCTTGCTCTAATGCACCCATTTATTTAATCTGTGCATTAGTAACTCAAATCATGTAGTGATTTGCTGGGAAAACTATCTCTTCTCTATATACTAAACTTTTGCTGAAACTTTACACTTGTGTTCCCACTACTTAATCTTTTAAATTAAGTATTTATGTGTGTGTATTCCAACTAAGTTTTCAAAGAGCAATGTCTTTCTTCCTGTTGGGAATAAAGATTCTACTATCCGTTCACCTTACTTTTGTCTTTTGCCCTCCCTTTTTCTAGATTTTTTTCCCTTCATACTTTTAGACTGGCTGTAGTAAATACATTGTTCATCTTCAAATCGTTCTGTTGCCTGAAAAGCTGCCACATTTTCTGACATATATAGAATCGAGTTTAGGAGTAATGTAGCATCTTTCCACATAAAACGAAACACCTCTGTAAGATTTTGGAATGCCTTTATATATCTATCAGAGTAATCAGAGAACTTGACTAGATATAAATTTGTTTTTTTAAAATTCTGCAATAAAAATTAAACCTGAAGTTTAGTAGTACCACATTTATTTGACATTTTCTGCAGGGCCTACAGGGAATGTAGGGGTTTATTGGGTGGCACAGGGAGAGAAACTGATGATAAGGTGGTTGGAAAGCATGTGAAAGAAGGGCAGGTATGGCATTTAGAAGTTGTATTTAAGGGGTACGCAAAGGTTTGTCTCTCTAATTTTGGGAAATTATCTTCTGTAGCCTTGCTTGACATGACTACAAAAAGGCCAGAATCAATTTTACAATGCTTACAAAGGTCTGGGTTGTCTCCCAAGGTAAAGAAAGCTTGTACATCAGAAACTCATACTAACGGATCTTTCATCTGAAGAAAACATCTGATAATTAGATACTTTCAAATAAACTTTTATCTCAGAAGGCCAGGTGTTTTTGTCTTTGAGCTGGTGTAATTTCCATACTTTTGTGCAGTACAATATGAGCCTTATTTTTTCCCAGTTCGAGCAAAGCTTTTCCTTTAGGTACCTTTTGTTCTGGTTTGGTGAGAGGGATCCGTTCCTGATGAGGGCATCTCTGTCCAACTCTATTCATACACCAGGATGCTGGAGGACAGAGTCTTGGTTTCTGGCAGGCTGGCCTCTCCATTAAGACTAGTCTCTCACTTCTCTCCCCCTCACTTTCTCTCTCTCTCTCTCTCTCTCTCTCCCACCTCCCTTTCCCTATCTCCTCCTTCTCTCATTCAGGTCTCCTAGAGACCTCTGTTTAGAATGGGAATAAGAAAAAATATTATAAACTCTGTGTGAATGTGTGCATGATTGTGGAAATCAAGGGCTTGCACTTGAAATTCCAGTTTGTAGCTCCACAGTGAAAGCTATGGGTTTCAAGTGGGCCCTCACCTGCAGTTTCGTGGCTACCTCATAAGGCTTTAGGCAGCATCAGGCATAACTCAATCTGAGCGGGTGGTTTATATTGGCCTGCCAATGCTAAGAGGAGCCTACGTTCCCTTAGAGGGAGTGGCTAGGTTGGCCTCTGACAGATCCCATCATGGGACCCCTCCCCTTGTTTGTCTATAAAAGTTGCCATAATTGTTTATATACCCTGGGGTCAATTGCCTGTTTTTTTTTTGTCTATTGTCCTATTGGCATTTATTGTCCTATTTAGTGCTTGTCAAAGTTTCTTATGTCAAGTCATCAACACTGCCCAAGAAGTCTGTGCAAGGACTTCTTCAAGGTCCTCAGTGCTGATGTTTTATCACAGGAGGTCAAATTTCTCATCAGTCATTTCAGCTGGCCATCTCATTCCTGCCTTTTCAATCAGAAACCAATTAGGTGTTGTTACGGGAATGAGGGTGGGAAACATTTTCCTGTTTGGGATTTCTGGCACCATAAAGGTTGCTGGCTTTTAGATTTTCACACCCCACAAACAAGTGACTGGACCACCTTCAGATTAGACCAGTGGTGGATTCAAAATAGCTACCCTGCAGACCTCTTTGCTGACATCTTCTATCATCCCATAACTTTTCCTGTGCCCTTAAGAAGGGAACTAGGCAGAGAAACCTAGCCCCGTACTGCTTTACTCCATCTGGGATCTTATTCTATTCCCCTGTGGCTACTCTCCTACCTTAGGAAAGATCCAAGTGGCCCCTTTCCTCCTCATCCCCACTCTTTACCCCATACGTCTCATTTTCCTGTGTCGCAGCAAGTCCAGTGTCTCCAAGACTTGGCTCTGCTCTGCCTCCTCAAACCCTTAAAAGAAAAGGCCTAGTTTGAACTATTTGCCTTTGAGTCATGGAGACACCAAATATATTGAGGCTGTAAGTCAAAAGGGAGAGGGAAATCATGTGGGTTCTACCAGCCTCAGACCCACCTCTTGTCCTCTCCCTAAATCTCAAAACTTAAAAGGACAGAAATCATGTGGCAGGAAGTGCTGACAATAGCTGTTTTCCTGCTTCTGTTGGCCATACCATTTCCGTTCTTTTGGAGCTACAATCCCCCAGGTCATGAATTTCTCTGTCCGTGCTGGGTTTAATATCTCTGCTCAAACTTTGTTTAACTGCCTCCAGAATAGGAAACTCTTGTTCCCCACCTCATAGAGAATGGACAAGCTTACGGGTTTCCAGGCAGCTCCCTTGATACCCACAAGGAGATACCGGTGAAAATTGTTCAAAGCTCTCCTCCCACCTGAGGAGTTTGGGTCACAATTAGGTCAGGTAGAGGGAAAAAACTCCTCAAGGGGGTCTCTAGCTTCCTGTTCTGGCCTATTGGCTTATGTGAGGAAATGCTTTCTGGCCTCTCTCCAGATACATTCCTTCTCTTCAGAGGTGAAAAGGCTTAAAAGGAGCTGTTGACAGTCATCCCAGGTGGGTCATTGGGTCTGGAGCACAGACTCCATCAATGAGGTCAAGACCTGGGGCTTTTTTTTTAAAAAGAGGAAATTTTGAGCTTTCCAGTTATACAGGTCAGAAGTAGAAAAACCTGACCTGTAAACCAAGAATGGGGCTGAGCGCTCATCACCTGAAGGGACTGGTGCCTCTCTCAGTGGTAGGAGGGGGGCTACCTCCTCCTGCCATGGCCACAATTGAAAGACAATAGGTGTGAGAACATGCAGGAGATATAACAATGTATGTTACAAAATTTCTCTCTTGGCTCCTCAGAGGATTATGGGGTCTGCCTTAAAACAGGCAAACTCTGAACACTCTGCGAAGTAGAATGGCCAAGTTTTGGAGCCAGGTGGCCCCCGGAAGGGTCACTGAGCCTTGCAATTGTTCAGGCTGTGTGGCGTGTTGTGGGAACTCTTGGTCACCTCAATCAGTTTCCATACATTGATCAGTGGCTAAGTTTGGTCAGGAGCCCTCTTCCATGCCTCCATTCATGTGCCATTCATAATTCTACTTCCAAGGTCCTGTTGAGCCCAACCTCATTTTCTCCTCAACCCTCAGCTGGCTCCACTCCTCCTGTACTTCCTCCTTCTGAAGAAGAGGAAACTCTCCCTCACCCAGTTCCACCACCTTATAACCCTCCTGCTCCTGTAGAATCTTCCCTTTTCTCCTTGACTATGCCCCCTGAGTGTTTCCACCTATTGCCTCTCTTTTGTGGCCATGGCAGGAGGAGGTAGTCTGGACTGAAGTTGTCCAGGGGACTGATGAGTCAGCAGGAGTGTTTTTAGAAAGCCTCCAGGGGGTCTATCAGACTTATACCCCTTTTGACCTGACAGACAGGTCCTGAAAATAGCTGTGCTCTTAATTTGGGGTTTGTGGCTCAGGTAGTCCCTGATATTAAAAGAAATGTACAAAAACTGGAAGGATTTGCTGGGATGAATATCAGTCAACCTTTAGAAATAGTCCAAAAAGTTTTTGACAATCCAGAGTTTGAAAAGCAAAAACAGGCAACTCAGGCAGTTGAACAGGCCACTGATAGAGCATCCAAAAGACAAGCAAAAATCTTGTGGCAGCCATCCAGGAAGCAAAGAAGGGAAGGCCCCCATCACAGAAGAGTGACCAGGGAATCCCAGGTCCCCACTGGAAAGGCAAGAAAGGTGAACAGGTTCCCTGGAGAAAAAACAATATGCTTATTGTAAGCAAACTGGGCACTGGAAAACGGAATGCCCATTACTAACAGAGGGAAAATCAGAAAAGAAAAAAGTTCTCACCCTCCCTGCAGCAGAGGAGTCTGATGACTGACAGGACCAGGGCTCCATCTGTCTTGGCCCCTGGAAACCCATGGTGACTGCTACAGTGGGAGGCCAACCTGTATGCTTCCTAATAGATACCAGAGCACTGAGTACTGCAGACACCCTTGGGCAGTGTCTGTAATAAGAGTGGCTGTACAATGGGTTACTGGAGCTATTCAAGAATATCCTGTCACACACTCAGGAGAAGTGAGTTTGGGACAGAAAAGAGTAACTCACTCATTTCTTGTGGTCCCAGTGTGCCCTTTTCTCCTCCTTGGATGAGACCTACTTCATAAGTTACAGGCCTCTATCTCCTTCTCAGCCCAGCAGGCTTACCTTATGCTGGAAACACCAAGCCCCCGACTGCCCCACTCCAGCTAAGTATCCCTCTTTAAGAGGAATATCTTTTAATTTCACCATCACAACCACTGGAGAATAACACCAATCCTCTCCTGTTGGACTTACAGACACTCTTTCCCTGAGTCTGGGCTGAGTCAACCCCCCCAGGACTGGCTAAGCACCATCTGCCAGTGGTTGTAGAACTCCTGACCACCACCTCTCTGATCTAGAAAAAGCAATATCCTATGAGTCAGTGGCTAGACAGGGGATCAATCCCAATATTCAGTGACTGTTACCAGCTGGCACACTCACACCATGTCAGTCGGCCTGGAATACTCCATTTTTGCCAGTCCAGAAACCTGGAAAAAATGATTACTGGCCAGTACTTGACTTAAGGGAAGTTAAAAAATATTCAGTTACCATCCATCCAACGGTCCCTAATCCTTATAGTCTACTCAGCCTGCTGCTGCCAGAACATACAGGATACACTGTCCTTGACTTAAAGGATGACTTCTTTGCTATTCCTCTGGCCCCAAGAGCCTACCAATCTTTGTTTTTGAATGGACAGATCCTGGCTTGGGAGACACCCCCCAATTGACCTGGACTCAATTGCCTCAAGGTTTTAAAAATTCTCCCAATCTTTTTGAAGCTTTCCAGCAGGATCTTATACCATTCCAAGCCAGTCACCCAATCATACTCTTCTTCAGTACATAGATGATCTTTTATTAGCTACAGAACCTACTGACAGCTGCCTGCAACATACTAGGGACCTACTTTACCTCCTTCAGGAACTCAGATAATGGGTCTGCAGAGAAGGTCCAGCTTTGTCCTCCTAGATTGTCCTACCTGGGGTATGAGACAAACCAAGGGGAAAGGGCACTCACCAGTGCCCAGAAGGAAACTATCCTATGAATCCCCTCTCCCACCACCAAGAGACAGGTACATGAGTTCCTGGGGGCCATGGGATACTGTTGCCTATGGATTTTAGGGTTTATGAGGATTGCCAAGCACCTGTACAGTGCTACAGGAGGGAATGGCTCACTAATTTGGACTGACACAGAGGAACAGGCTTTCCAAAACCTGAAAAAGGCATTAACTGAGGCCCCTGCTCTAGCCTTTCCAAATATCTCAAAGCCATTTCACCTTTTTGTCCATGAAAACTAGGGAGTTGCTAAAGGGATACTCACTCAGATCTTGGGGCCAAGGTGATGCCAAGTTACCTATTTGTCTAAGAGAATAGACCCCATGGCCTCCAGGGGGTCCAGTTGCCTGGGAGACATAGCAGCCACAGCAAGCCTAGTTCAGGAGTCTGATAAACTGACTTTAAGTCAAAACTTAACCCTTACAGCTCCTCATGCCATAGAGACTTTGCTGTGAAGTGCTTCTGGCAAATGATTGTCAAATGCTCACATTTTACAATATCAGAGTTTACTATTAGATCAGCCTTGTTTAACTTTCTCTCCCACAGTGTTTAAATCCAGTAACTTTACTCCCATATCCAGACTTCAACACACATGTCCATGACTGCCAACAACTGTTAGAGACCAGAGAAATTGGCCGACATGATCTCCAAGATGTGCCCTTAAAGGAGGCAGACACCACTGTGGATACAGAGAGTAGCAGCCTCCTTGAGTGGGGAGTTCAAAAGACTGGTGCAGCCATCACCATGGAGATGGATATCCTGTGGGCCCAAGTTCTGCCGGCTGGCACCTCAGCTCAGAGAGCTGAGTTGGTTGCCCTGACACAGGCTCTCCGATTGGGTAAGGACAAATGTATTAACATTTACACTAACAGTAGGTATGAATTCGCTACTGTGCATGTGCATGGAGTCATCTATCAAGAGTGCAGGCTAGTCACCACAGCAGGAAAGATGATCAAAAACACAGAAGAAATTCTAGCCCTGCTTGGAGCCCTATGGCTCCCTCAGCAAGTGGCTGTAATTCATTGCAAAGGACATCAAAGAGAAGACACGGCCATTGCCCATGGTAATCAGAGAGTGGACTTTTTGGCCCTGGAGGCTGCATGGCTTCCAGTCATGCCTTTAACATTACTGCCTGCAGTGTTCTTTCCACAGCCTGACTTATGCAATCATACCGCATGCTCAGCAGAAGAAGTAAAACTGGCTTCAGATCTCCAGGCCACTAAAAATCAGGAAGGTTGGTGGCTTCTTCCTGACTCCAGAATCTTTGTACCCTGAGCTCTCAGGAAAGTTTAATCAGTCGTCTGCATTCTACCACTCATTTGAGAGATGCAAAACTGGCCCAGCTCCTAAGTAGCCATTTCAAGATCCCTTGCCTTCAGAACTTACAGATCAAGCAGCTCTCTGGTGTGCGGCTTGTGCTTAGGTAAACACCAGGCAAAGTCCTAAACCCAGCTCAGGCCACTGCCACTGGAGAAACTCATCAGGAGAAAAGTGGGAAATCGACTTTACAGAAATAAAACCACACCGGGCTGGGTAGAAATACCTTCTGATACTAGCAGACATTTTCTCCGGAGGGACTGAGGCATTTGCCACTGAAAACGAGACTGCCACCATGGTAGTTAGGTTTTTACTCAATGAAATCATCCCTTGACATGGGCTGCCTGCTGCCGTAGGGTCTGATAATAGACTGGCCTTCACCTCCTCCATTGATCATTCAGTAATGCATTAAACATTCACTGGAAACTCCACTGTGCCTATTGACCCCAGAGCTCTGGGCAGGTAGAACACATGAACCACATCCCAAAAAGTACTCTTATGAAATTGATCTTAGAGACTGGTGAGAATTGGGTAAGACTCCTTCCTTTAGCCCTTCTTAGAGTAAGATGCACTCCTTACTGGGCTGGTTTTTCACCTTTTGAAATCATGTATGGCTGGGCGCCGCCTGTCTTGCCTAAAGCTAAGGGATACCCATTTAGCAGAATTATCACAAGCTAATTTATTACTCCTGCAGTCTCTCCAATGGATACGAGATATCATCCAGCCACTTGTCCAGGGAGCTCATCCCAATCCAGTTCCTAACCAGATGGGGCCCTACCACTTGTTTCAGCCAGATGACCTGGTGTTAAAAAGTTCCAGAAAGAAGGACTCACTTCTGCTTGGAAAGGACCTCATACTGTCCTCACCATGCCAATGCTCTGAAGGTGGACAGCATTCCTGCTTGGATTCATCACTCCAGCTTCAAAAAGACCAACAAAGCCTGGCAGGAAACATGGGTCCCCAAGCCTGGGCCAGGCCCCTTAAAACTGTGTCTAAGTCGAGTGAAGCCATTAGATTAATTATTATTATTATTATTATTATTTTTACCTTTCTTGTTGGTTTCCACCTGTTATGCCCTCCGCACCTTCCTGTTCCTTACTCCTCACTTCTTTCATGACAGGACATGTATTTGCAAACACTACTTGGAAGGCAGGAACCTCCAAGGAAGTCTCTCTTGCATTCAATTTATGTGTTTTGTTCCCAGAACCTGCTCGTACCCACAAGGAAAGATGCAACCTGCCAGTCATGGGAGCAGGGAACGTCGACCTTGCTGCAGGATTTGGACACTCCAGGAGCCAGACCGGATGTGGGAGCTCCAAAGGTGCGCTTTTACTTCTCTCCTGGAAATCATCCTGACTCTAGTTGTAGAGATACTTATGAGTTTTTCTGCCCTAACTGGACATGTGTAACTTTAGCCACTTACTCTGGGGGATCAACCTGATCTTCAACTCTTTCCATAGCTCATGTTTCCCATCCTAGACTATGTACCAGAAAAAATAGTAATACTCAAACCATAACCACCCATAAACCTAATTCAGCTCAATGGTATTATGGCATGTCATGGGGATTAAGGCTTTATATCCTGGGATTTGATGTTGTAACTGTGTTCACCATCCAAAAGAAAATCCTGATCTCATGGAGCCCTCCTAAGACAATGGGGCCTTTAACTGATCTAGGTGACCCTATGTTCCAAAAACACCCAGACAAGGTCGATTTAACTGTTCTGCCACCATTCCTAGTTCCTAAACCCCAGCTGCAATGACAACATCTCCAACCCAGCCTGATGTCCATTCTAGGCAGGGTATATCACCTCCTAATCTCACCTGGCCTAAACTAGCTCAAGTTTGTTGGCTATGTCTAAATGCCAAACCCCTTTATTATGTGGGATTAGGAGTAGAAGCTATGCTTAAAAGTGGCCCTCTTTCTTGTCATGCACGACCCTATGCCCTCACACTAGGAGACGTGTCTGGGAACATTTCTTGCCTAATTAGTGCTGGATATAACTTATCTGCTTCTCCATTTCAGGCTGCTTGTAATCAGTCCCTGCTTACTTCCTTAAGTACCTCAGTCTCCTACCAGGCACCTAATAATACCTAGTTAGCCTGCACTTCAGGTCTCACTCACTGCATCAATGGGACTGAACCAGGACCTCTCCTGTGTGTGTTAGTTCATGTGGTTCCCCAGATATATGTGTACAGTGGGCCAGAAGAACAACTTCTCATCACTCCCCTTGAATTACATCCCAGGATTTGCCGAGGCCTTCCGCTCCTAGTACCCCTCCTGGCCAGCCTTAGCATAGCCGGATCAGCAGCCATCGCCACGGCTGCCCTGGTTAAGGGAGAAACTGGACAGGTGTCCCTGTCTCAACAGGTAGGTTTAAGCAACCTCCGGTCAGCCATAGATATACTGCACACCAGGTACAGTCTCTGGCTGAAGTAGCTCTTCAAAACTGGTGAGGCTTAGATCTGCCATTCCTCTCCCAAGAAGGTTTATTCACAGCTCTCAGAGAAAGTTGTTTCTTCTGAACCAATCAGTCTGGGGTCATAAAGGATACTCTCCAAAAGGTTCAAGAAAATCTAGATAGATGCCAACAAGAATGAGAAAATAACACTCCCTGGTATCAAAGCATGTGTAACTGGAATCCATGGCTAACTACTCTAGTCACTGGGTTAGCTGAACCACCCATTCTCCTCCTGCTGTTAGGCTTAATCTTTGGGCCATGTATATTAAACTGGTTTCATAACTTTGTAAAGCAATGCATACCTTCTGTCAAACTTATGTATCTTAAAACCCTATACGACCCCCTTGTTCTAAATGAGGAATCAATGATTTGACTCCCCAAAAACACAAATGGGGAATGTAATACCTAACATTGTTTTTAATATGAATAGACTCACCCTTAGCTGAGAAAAGCAGACTAATGCCATTTGGCTCCTTCATTTACAAGACATCAAGGGCTCCTTACCCACCCCTTTTCCTCAAGGACTTTAACTTGTGCAAGATTCTCAACATATCAAAGACTACAATTAACTGATAACATGCTGAGGCAAGTGATGTCCACAGTTCCCAGCAATTTGCTCTGAGATGGTACCATAATGCCCCCATGTTTTTCTGGTAGATAATGCCAAGGGCCCCCTCACCTGTCACCTTGTGATGAATTTAAAGCCCCTGCACCTGGAACTGTTTGTTTTCCTGTAACAATTTGTCTTTTTAACTTTCTTGTCTGTTTTGTCTTCTGTAAGATTGTTGCAACTAGAATTCCCCCTCCTCTCTCTAAACCAAAGTATAAAAGAAAATCTAGCCCCTTCTTTGAGGCCGAGAGAATTTTGTGCGTTATCTTTCTCTTGATCACTGGCTAATAAAGGACTCTTGAATCCACCTCAAAGTGTGGTGATTTCTCTCTAACTTGCTCAGTTACAACAGTTTGCAGGACAAAGAAACCTGGCACACATGGTACCTCAGACAATTTGCCTTCTCACTTGCAGAAAATATCTAGATGTTGGATAATATTGAGAGAGAAGTTATGTAGATAAGACGGATTCTTGCTAAAACTACTTTAAGCAAAGAAACAGACTGAAATACCAGGCTGCAGGCAGATTTTTAAAAAAACTTGCACAAACCTGCTGTCCACTCATATAAAGGAACAAAGCCTGTCAAAGAAATCCTTTTGTATTTTTTTGGCCTAAAACATTCCTACAGGTATTCTGATAAAAGACAAAGAAGATTCTGCATAAAATCATTTCTCTTCCACAAAAAAATCTCTATTTCTTCTACCCAGTGTGCTTCCGTGTGTTCTTATGAACACTTTTGCAGCCATGTGGATTCACCACTATATATATCAGTCTGCTCTTGTGAGGTATCATCAGAGTTTTTTCTCTGACTGCAAATAATAATAATAATAATAATAATAATAATGACTGTACATGCTAAGAGTGAAGTCTGATTGACAACTTAAGCAAAACTTATTCACAGCACAGATAGGAGACAGGATGGGTTTGTCACTATGAGGCAGGTTCTGATGTTTTTATGAATTAAGAAAAGAGTATGCTTACTAGTCTTGAAAAAGTACTAGTTGGCTTGGCTCAGAACCTGGACCCAAGACTGAAAGGTAGCTGAAATAAAAATTTATAGAGGCTCAGCTCACAGTGGAAAGCATATCCAGAAAAAAAAAAAGAAGAAGAAAATAAAAGTGTTCATCAGAGCACACTGAAGCCCCCTGGGTAAAAGGAATAGAGACTATTTTCTGGAAGTATGTGCTTTCTTTAAAGAAGAAAAATGTTTTTATGCAGACTCTTCTTCTTTTATCAGATTATTTTTGGTACATTTTAGGCAAAAAAAAAATACAAAAGGGTTACTTGTTAGGCTTTGTTCCTTTATATGAGTGGACTGCAGTTTTGTGCAGGGTTTTAAGACATCTGCCTGCAGCCTGGTATTTGAGTCTGTTTCTTTGTTTAAAGTAGTTTTAGCAAGAATTCATCCTATCTGCATAACCTTTTTCTCTCAATACTATCTAACACCTAGATATTTTCTTCAAGTGATAAGGCAAATTGTCTGAGGTGCTTTCTTTGTCCTGCAAACAATCCAGATATTTGTAAGCATTGTAATGTTGACCATGCCCTCTTAGCACATTGGACTTGTCTATAGTGAACATTTCTCAAAAGTCAGAGAAACAACTGCCCAGGAAAGCCTCAGAAGAAACTTCCAGATGTTCCAGCTTTTCTTCTATCCCCTATCCAGAGACTCCTCTAGTCACTTTATCATCCTCAGCTTCTTCAATTATCCCAATCAATCCTCCATTAAACTGCTACCCCTAAAGAAAATGCTCAATAAACATGGTGCTTCTAAATTCCTGGTTCTCTTTTAGTTACAAGACTTTAAACACATAGATTGGGACACAGAAAAGTATTTTGATAACCTGGATGAATACAGACAGGCTTTCCAAAATGCTGTCCAAGTTTTTGATTTTGCATGGCAAAATGTTGTCATTCCTAAGCCAAATCTGAAGTATTTCTGAGGAACAGGAAGACCTACAGGCAACAGAGAGTTTCAAGGACAAATGGAATATTTCATATAGCCACCCAAAGAAGAAAACCTGTCCAAAAAAGAAAAAAAAAGTGGAAAAGTATAAGCCCCATTTCCAATAAGAAGGGAGACATTGCCCTTAAAAACCCTAACTAAAGGCCTACTGATTTAATGGGAGAGTGGAAACAAAGACTTTCCAATGTGAATATTAAAAAGCTTTCAAGAAACTGGAATCAAATCTCTCAATTGACCTAAACTGGCCATAGTGAAATAAAAACCAAATCAAAATATTTCAGACTTTATGAAAAGGGTGAAAGGGTGAGAATGGATTCTGTGGATTTTGAGAAAAAATCCTATCTCCTGATTTAAATAAAATACAGATAATCTTAAAAGACCAGTTTATTACTCAATTTTTAAATCAGAAGGTAACTTCAAAAGCAGGCTATGCTATGGGATACCACTGTAGAAAAACTGTTGTGGGGTGGCATTCCTGGTCTTTTACAATAGGGACCATAAAGAGGCCCAGGAAGGGAGGAAAAAACAAGAGTCAGACAAAGCACAAGTGACTGAATTATAGGTCTACAAAATCCAGGAGTTTTGAGCTGGACCTTCGAACTTCTGCAAGTTTGGCCATCCAGGACTGTTCAGGAAGAACTGCAGAAAAAACAAAAGGATGCCACCTCAAACCTATCCAGCCAGTGGTGGCGACAACTGGAAGATGGAATGTGTGCAGGGACATAGGTTGCTTTCCAGGGCCAGATTTTAGAAGGTCCAGTAAGACTTATGCATCCCAGGTCTCAATTCAGGCTTCATTTTTTGTATTCTCACCATGAACCATGTGTACACGTGTAGAAAATTCTCATTGTGACATATCACAAAAAGTTATTTTTCTCATGGCCAAAAACTTGAGGAAGTCACACAAAAATTGAAAGTAGAAACAAAGTGTAAGAAGGAAATTAAAATAGCTCTCCACCGTGACAACCAAAATTAGTTGCCCACTGTAACACTGGTGTTTGGGGTCCTCATGTACTGGGAAATGGAAGAATATGATGACTGATCTTGGAAAAAGATCAGTTTGGCTTTGGAATTTGTTTGGGACCAAACAAGTTCTGACATGAAAAGTTGGCCCATGTCCTTGACCCATGACTAACAAGTGCTAATGTAAAAGCTTGGTCCACGACCTTGACCCATGACTAATCAGAGACTGACGTGATAATTTATACCAGTTCTTGTTGTATTCCAAAGGGTGTCCAGAAAAAAAAAGGCCCACTAAAACTTATTGTCCCCCACTGTGTACTTCCTCCAGCTGAAAAAATAGTGACTATATTTGATAGTCCATTGCTTATACAAAAGAAAAGGGTGTTTCAATGTTGTTGTTTTTCAGTTAGTTTCTTTGTGAGCATATCTTTGTGCACAAAGAACAAAGATATGTCTATGTCGGCCTGCGTTTCTTCATATCAGTGGGCTGAAGGTTTGTGTAAGTTTACTAATATGTGTCTGTAGGATCTTTTTTGCAAGCTGGATCTTTGTTTCTAGAAGTTATACCAAGGTCCCCTTCTAACTACCTAACTATTCTCTACTGTTAGGGAGAGGCCCACCCTGAATACCTAACTAACTGCTGTTAGGGAGAATTGATCTTTCCAGCTACTTACTCTTAGGGAGGGGGTTTGTACAACAAAATACAACAGCTGGAACTCCACCTGAGGTCAGGATAATATTTCCAGAAACACAGTGTTTTCATAAGTGGTTTCATTTGCAGTACCATTTGGAGTTTGATTTCCTCTACATGAGATGAAAAAATTTGGTTTCTCAAAATATCTGTGTTAAAATGAGATTAGCTGAGGTAATAAACAGCTTAAAAATTCTGAGGCTGTGGACATGCCCTGATAACTGAGGGCTATAGGTACGCCAGAGAAGTTGTGAGTTCATGGGGCTTTGCTTTGCTTAACTTCCTTAGTCTTAACCCCACAAACATAAACACCCCTTGATTATGAGTCCACAATATAGTCTCTTTACCTGGCAAAATTTGTAGAATAATTGCCTACAACAGGGTATTATTACATACATCACAATATTAATCTTTTTATGTTTTCTACTTAGCTGTAGCAGGAGATTTCTGAGCGGATCACAGGAATTAACAGGGATATTATAAAATATAGGCAAATTCTAAAGACAACTAATGAGAGTAGAAGATAATGGCCAATGTAATATTTGAAATAAATTTTTCTCTTTTCCTTGTTCATTTCTATAAAAAACAAATATAATAGGCCTGAGTTGATAGCAAAATACTCCATAAAGTAATAGTTAAATTAATTATTGGTATAAAATGCAGGCCAAATAATTATTCTCAAATAGCCTTTGTACATTGGCTTTGATGAAACTCTTTTTTAATGAGGAACTTCTGATAAGACCTCTTAAAGCCAAGCACAACCATGGGTTTTACTTCCAAATACCTACGAGTTGGGTAAACTTTTCACCTATTGAGGTCCAAAAAAAAAAAAAATGGGATTTCTGAGCATGTTAAAAAGTGACCTTCTTTGATATTTGGAGTTTTCTAAAGACTGTTGCAGGGTCTAAAAATGCCTTTCATTTATAGCTTATTTATAATGACTTCTAGCCCTTTTCCACCTTCTGGCTTTGGGAAATACTGCCTCTGGCTAGAAAAAATAGTGAAATCCTTAAGGTAAATATGGATGCATACAGTGCTTGTAGCCCAGCAACATTTTTCTCGACATCCCATGCTTGTTATTTAATATTGGTTTCCCCTTAGGGGAGAGCAAGAATTTATCATGCAGCCATTCAGATGGATGCTTCTTTATGGGCTAAAATATCTCTACCTAGTAATAAAGTGGAAATTTCAGGAATTATTAAATTGATATGACTAAATAGAAGGCTGTTTCAACCATAACTAATGGGCTGAGAAAATATTGTATAAAGGACTTTGCTGACACATCCATCATTGTCACATTGTGGGACGAGAGAAAGCCTTGATTGGAAAGCAGAACAAACAGACCTGCTCCAGTTTCCAGAAGGAAGTCTACTTTCCTCCCTTCCACCTCCAGAATCACCCAAGGATTTTGAAGAGTATGGAACCTGAAGAGTATGGCAGCTGTTAGGGCTGGGGAATTGATCTCCAGGGAACTGTCAGTCCTGCTGGACCCTTTGTGAGACTGGTCCTGGGCTTAGTGATGTATGCCTCTTAAATTAGCACACACTTCAGTGCTCACCACCGTAAGTTGGACAATGTTGAGGTGGCTTCCTATTGTTGTCTCCACATTTCTTGCTAAAGTGTCCTGTTTTACCACATTGATAGCAGATAGCAGGTGCCACCCTGGGGCCTGCATTTTTAGAAAACTCTATTGTGTTAGCTAGACTCTCTGTTCTTTTCTTGTTTTTACTCTCCTTTTTTATGCCTCCTCATGTTTCCTATTGTAAAATCTGAAGTAGACACATCCGGGACATTCTTTAAGGTGTTATTGAGATGATAAAGCTAGCTTGACTTAAGGAGACAGCAAGGAAAGGGTCCCTGGAAAACCACCAGTCTACATGTTTGTGTCTCATTTATACATAACACATAAGCAGTCCGAAAAAAAATCAGGCTGCAGATACCAATAAGACAACTAATAAAGGTGGCTGCATCTTGAGATTCATATCTTCACAGACAGAAGAACCTTAAGTCAATTCAGATAAAAGTCTTGCACAAAACTCGGCCTCACTGTGATAAGAAAATGAGCCCTGGCACAAAAATATCCTTGCCTTTTGTATAATCATTTGGATTCCAGGAAGCTCCTTATAGGTCATGGGATGAGCTCAGCAGCTTCTATAAATTATGACTACACCTCCTGATTATTTCTAGGGAAATTTCTTGGGTTAAGCTTTCTAATTATTCTCAGGCCGAGACCCCAGGCCCAGCTGAATCACATGGTCTTCAAAAGAGTGCATTGACTTAAAGCATTTCTTTCTCATGCTAGTTCATAATAACCCTGAACCTCAACCTCATAGTGGGAAACACATTTGCACCCTTCTTTTCACTGGCAGAGAGCTTTCTTCTTGCACTTTTTTCTTTTTTTTTTCTTTAATCTCAACTTTGTTTCTGAGCTTCTTAATTTTTTTTTTTTGAACTAAGACCAAGATCTTTGCATATAATCACAGACAAAGGGATACCTTTACATCTTGTTGCATTGGTGAGACTACAACATATATTGATGCATGGACTGAAAAGAAAATAACTCAGAGGGTTAAAAATAGAATTTAAACTTTCGTATTCATTTCAAAAATGTCTTCTTTGTTTCAAGAATATTTTTTTCTCATAAAGAGCCTGGCAATTACATGAGATTTAAAGGAGATCCTAAGGAAACTGAAGTTTCAGCTTGAGGCTACATCACAGTGTTACCTGATTGCCTTGAGACTAATTCTGGTCTGTGACGGCTCATCAGGCCTTTGGCTCAAGGATTTCCCATTTTTATCTATTGAATTTATAATTTTGATTTTCACAGCTATAATGCCTTTCATATTGTATGCAATGCTGTAGGTACTTTTGCAGACTAGGTGTATACAGACTTGCTTAATACACTCACTTGGTGTGTTAGTAATTATGAATGTAATTTAAAAAGGTTTATTTTTGTGATTTCCCTGAAACAAGTGGAACTCAAGATTTCAGTATAAATTTTTACCTATAAAAGCCTTTTTGTCCCTCAATAATAGACATTCATGGCACTGTATGGGAAGGATTTGACCCCAAGTAATTACCTTTTCCTTTATTAGGAATTTTTACAAATATATTATTTTCCTCCACATAAAAGTTCCATCATGAGACAAGTTCATTTATGCCTGTTGAGAGACATGCGGTGGAAACAATATATCAAAACCCAAATCTGTCTTTCTAACTTATGAATAAAAATAATTTTGAGTCAGAATTCTTAAGCTAGCATTTCTAACCTTACATCACCACCTAGTGAAATGAGATTTCTTTTCTACCTGGAGCCTTGGCAATTCATTGTCCAAAACTTAGATTTTTCAAATTATTTTCCCATTTACATTCCACTCTCATTGGTTAGGCCCCATGTCCTATCTGTAAACAGGCAGACTCCGCTATTAAAGGAGAAAGACAATGTTACAGGACATATTTTAGCTTCTTTGCTTTCCCCATGAAGGACCATTCAGCCATTCCATTTCTACAGCTTTGAGCCACCTTTTCTATGCTGCACTAATTTTGGATTTAAAATGCTTGAAAGTCAGTCTGTCTCATTCTCTGAGATTCTGATGTTTCACTGAGAACATAGTTAGAAAAACCAAAGTTAGTAGGAAGACACTTCCTCTATTAAAATGGTTTGAACAAATTTTACTACTATGTAACATCTCCAAGGCCTCTGGGGTGAATTGCAAGCCTTTGGGGCTCAGTGGGTCTCGGGCAAAAGCAGGGCAGAAAAGTAGGGATTTGCACAGGTGAGTGTCACTAGTGCTGCTGACTAGCTCCTCCAGATTTATGAGTAAAGGCTATACTTCCATTTATGGGCAGCACCTATGACCATTTGGGGACACCAATGAGACAGAGGAAAAAGATGAAAAAGTATACCTTAACTCTTTCTATTTATTCTGGGTAACAACAAAAGGAGGAAGGCATCTGAGTGATGCCTTATTTCCTCTCTGTTCCTAGATGGCAACAAAGCAACTGTAGACTGCACTCCCCTTGAATGCACTTGGAAGCACTGTGACTCCATTGACCCTGAGTCTCTAAATTTAAAAACAATAATAATAATATTCAATTGACAACAAGATGGCCATATTCCTGATAGAAGACCTGGCCTTCCCAAAGAAGCATAATTTCAGTAATATCTAACAACTAGGTCTTTTTGCTCTCCAAAAAACCAAGATTTTGTAAACATTGTAAAATTTCACCTGCCACTTTGGGAACCATGCAAGGTGAGTCTACCAAAGTTAAAGAGTCAAATCTCTAGAGAACGGCCAAATGCATTTTCTGAGTGCCCAATCTGCCTCCTTTATCTGAGACTCAGAATAGCCATATAATAACCCCTATGGTTGTGCATTCCCAGGAAACCTTCAACTTTACTGTTGCCAATATAACAAACGCACAATGAACATGGTGCTACTAAGGTTTAAATTTCCTTCTCACTGCAGTAAATGTACACATAAAGCCAGACTTAGGGCAGTTCCCTGATAGACCTACACAGGCTTTCCAAAATTTAAACCACATTTTTCATCTTATCTGCAGAAATGCAGTGCAACTATTAAGCCACATTTTAACTACTGCTGAAAAACAGGCAGCACTACAGGCAGCATTATAGGCAACAAAGGAATTTGAAGATGAACAACTGACATCCCATAGTCAATCAAAAATAGACACATTTGGAAGATGAAAATGAGTGAAAAAAGACAGAATTACTATTTCCAACAGAAATAAAAATACTGCTGTTTTACAATCCTAATTGAAGCCTTAGTAAACACATAGCTGAATGGAAAAAAGAACACTTTCTACTGTGCATATTAACAGACTTCCAAAGAACCAGAATAAAACCTGTTAATTACTCTAAACTGCCCTTGTTGAACCACAAACCAGAAAAATATCTCTCAGCTTCTTTGGAAAGGCTGAGAGAAGCTTTAGCAAAACATATCTCTCTATGTCCTAATTCAATCAGGAGTTAGACAATGTTAAAATACTAGTTTATTTCTCAGCCATCTTCTAATATCAGAAAAAAAAAACTACAGAAGTAAGCTTTGGGATCAGATAGCACTTTGGAAAACTTCCTGGAGTGGCTTCCTGATCTTTTAAAACAAGAACTGGAAAGAGGAGACCTAGTAAGTAGAGAGGAGACACAAGAGATTGAAAAAGGCATTACTCACCATTTCACAGGCCTACAAGATCTAGAATCCCCAACATACACCTGCTGATTTCTACTAGTGTGACAAGCCAGGACACTTTAAAAGGAATTGCCCAGGCGGTAAAAGAATATACCCTAATGTTCAGCCTGTGAGGGAGATGAGTGAAAGAAGAAATGTCCCCAGAGACATAGGTCACCATGTCCAGCATGTGTATCCCACATTGTTCAGCAGGAATAATTGATACCAAGCTCTACCTGTCACTGTGATCTAGAGGATTCAAGTAATTCTTGAGGCAAAATGGAAATTAAACAACAACAACAACAAAAAGAACAACATTTTTCTAAATTCTAGAGCCTGTTTCTCTCTTCTTCTCTCCAATCCAGGGATCTCCTCCAATAGTGAAGTGTGTTAGCTAGCTTGCCTTATACAGACAGAAAGACAAGTATCTCCAGAAACTTCTGAGCCCACTGGTCACTGCCTCATTTCCACATAAGATAAAAAGCAGCCTAGAAAAAAACATTCCAGCTGAAGGCACCAATACATGAACTAGAACAGAGAGTTGTGTCTGAAGACATGCCCACAGCTGCACAGATAGAAGAACCTCCAGCTCACTCAGAAACTTCTGGAAACTTCAAGCTTACTCAAATGGGAAGACAAGGCCTGCAATAGAAATAGCTTTGTCCATTTTATAATCAGTGGGCTTCCAGAAATGTTTCTTTTCATTTTGTGAACATAAAGAGAGTGGGAGAGTGGGAGTAAGTGCCTTCCAGGGAACACTTTTAGTTTCTTCTTGGATTGTGAGCCCCACATCTCTGAATCATTACTTCAGCCTCAGATTAGTTCTGGACAAAATCCTGGGCCACGGTTTCACTTCAGCTTCTGAAGAGTTGTTCGCTAAGCTGAGTAGCCTTTATGAATATTGACTTTTGCAACTAATAGGTACTGAGCCAAGGTCTCAGGCTAAGCTTTCTGATTGGGCTAGGATCTAAGGACCCAGGCAGAACTAAGCCACACATTTTTTAAGACAGCCTACAGACTAAGTCCATTTCTTACCACTCACAACACAAAAATGCTGAACCCAAGTTTCATATTGCTTAACCCATTTTGACCACATCACTGCCGTCATTGAGCTGTTTTCTTTTGCTTCTTAAACTTTCTCTTCAACCTTAGTGCTCTTTAGTCTTCTAAAATGTGTCTGTGATTCTTATTCTTCTAAAACATAGAAAAGAAACATCCAGTATTAACTTAGATAAGTAGAGACTGTTAGTGTTTGTGCACTGGTGAAATACAATAGCAAGATTGTGATGGGCTTCCTGGGAACGCACTAATGCTCTGCTAAACTATCTGGCAAAAATTAAAAAACAAAGCAAAACAAAACAAAACTATTGATTATCAAAATCTAATGCTCAACTCTTTCAGACTTCAGTATGGTACCTGAGTCTAGTCTTATTAGAAGAGACCAACACACAAGGTCAGGAATCAATCCCATTTTTTTTGACAGTTAAGAAGATTCTTGGGCATTACCTGATTTTTCAGATGGCAGGTACTTCGGTACAGAGAAGTAGCTAATCTTTTATACCATGTCATAGTAGAAACTAAAGCAGATAAAACTCACTGCTTAACTTAAGAACCTGGTACTCACAAAAATTTAACCAGCTAAACAAACCTTACTTAAAGCACAAGCCCTAGGTTTTTCCATAGTAAAGGCATTAATCTCTGTGTATCAGGAAGAGAGAAAATAGACCTTGAAACCTGAGATGAGGCTCGAGGTCCAGCTCCACAACTAGTGGTTTACTTAAGGAAGAAATTTAGCTTGGTTTCTAATAAAATGGACAGCCTACTTCTCAGCAGTTGCATCGGTGACATTGTTGGTGTCAGAAGTCATTAGTTTCACTATGAAAATAACATGCCTGATGGCACACCACACAGCATAGCAGGACTGCTGTTTCCTTAAAAAAGTCTCTTGTGAACTGACAATCGCCTCCTCAAATGTCAGGCTTTGATGCTAAAGAGAGCTGCAGCCCATTTGAAAGCCTGTCCTTGCCTGAACCCAGCGACTTTCTACCAGGGGAAACTTGAGAAGATGAACATGATTGTGAACAGGTAGCGGTGTAAACTGGTCAAATAAATTATACACATCCCTGTTTATATTCTCTGTAAGGTAAAATTAATAAAAAATGTTAAAAAGCTATCAGCTTAATTAAAAGTGGAGATTTATGCTATAGGTATATTCAAAAGACATTTATGTTTTTCTCCTCATAAATCTTGTTTTCTTGAAAAAGTTTTTTCTCTCTGTCAGCTAAATTACCTTTATCCACTCTACCACAAATTGTCTTTTGTGAGAAATCTGTATTTCTTATGTAGGCCTTGGAATTAGAAGTGAATAATACCTCTCAAAATCTCTCTCTTATCTATCTCTTTTGCAAGCTATGCTTTTTCTTTTCTTTTCTTTTCTTTGTGTGTGTGTGTGTTTTTTTTTTTTTTTTTTTTTTTGGGAGTCTCACTCTGTCACCAGGCTGGAGTGCAGTTGTACACCCTTGTATCATTGCAACCCCTGCCTCCTGGGATCAAGGGATTCTCCTGTTTCCAAGTGATTCTCCTCTCTCAGCCTCCCGAGTAGCTGAGACTAAAAATTGTACACAATCATGCCCAGCTAATTTCTGTGTTTTTAGTAGAGACGGGGTTTAACCACGTTGGCCAGGTTTGTCTCAATCTCTTGACCTTCTGCTCTCCCAACCTGGGCTTCGTAAAGTGCTGGGATTACAGGTGTGAGCCATCGTGCCCAGCCTCAGTGAGGCTTTTTTATTAGGCCCTGGAAACTATTCATAGCGCACTTCTTAAAGGGCCTCAGAGGTCAATAATCCAATTGGAAAACTGGTAAAATAAAATTTTATAGCTCCTGGAACTTCTGTTTCTCTGTATTGTTATGTATGTGTTATGTGTATTTTTTTTAAAAAATATGACTCATTAACTCAGTGAAGAATAAGTACTTGAAGTAAATATTTTGCTGAACAAGAAAATAAAGGCTTTTGTACTTTTCAGTTCACGTGATTTTAACTTATGGAAAACAAAAACAACCTAAGGCCCGAAGACATATAAAAATAAACACTCCCTTAATAATGTTGTCACAAATCAGATTTATCTGCACCCAGCCCATCATTTTATAAACTCATAAGGTCTTACATTCAAGTTAATTGTTAAAAGGTATTATTATAATGCGTAATTGAGAATATGGAATGTAAATTTAATCACCAGGTGTGGTAGAAGAGTAAAATGTGTTTGTAGTAAAAATAAATTATAGAAAGGCATGGAAATGTGCATTTTGCTAGAGTTAAAGGATTTTCTTTAATTAACTAAAGTAAATCTAAATGTTTACACAAGCTGTGAAAAATAACTGTCAAAAATTCGATATTGCCAAAAAAACCTCTGTAACCTAGTAACTAGATTCATAAGTGTATTATGTTTATTTCTTCAGTTAAGCATTGAAATGAAAGCACAACAAAAATTTCTTGAAACACTAATCTTTCTTTAGCAAATTTGTAAAAGGTTATTAAAATGTTGTAGTAACCTTGTGAAAATCTCACTTCATGGTCAAACTTTCTAAGGTTAAACATAATTTTACATAAGGTTTCATTAAATTTAGGGTTAATATTAGGAGGAGATTAATTCAAGGGTAAAATTTGTCTTTCTGAAAGAGATTATTACATAATAGTGAAGGCTGATAAAACATTTCTGCCCTTTCAAACATTTCTACCTTTTGTATTTTGGCAAAACAAATGACTTATGGAAATCTGGAATTGTATTTCATAATCTTAAGTGTCTTAATCCTCTAAAATGTTTGGCAGGCTTCCAGGCATAAAATTTTAATTTCAAGGATGAATCTTCCGAAACCTATATTTTGGGTGCTTCAGAGGGCCCCTGGGCATAAAAGAAAAAGTTAAACATATTTATAAAACATACTTAAATACATGTAATTTTGATGGTAATATTTTATTTTTTTCAGAATATATTTCAGTGAGTCATATTAACACAAGTATCAAAACCATATAGTGTTCTTAATGTTCTTAATCTCTGAATATGTGCTATCAATTTTAATTAAAATTATTATGTTAAGCTCTTGTAAACCACAGACATAACCAAGTGTCTTTGTCTATTCTGTTTCTAACCACCCTAGATATGTTGTCATTTATAAACATTTAATCTCCCTCAAGAATAAGGGTTTATAATTAGCTCTAGAAGTTTTCCAGGTCGTCTCAACTGCAGGTTTTTTACAACAGAAAAATGCACAGAATTTAGGAATAGCTAAAATGTTTATAAATGTCAAGCAGGACAAATGTTAAAATAGACTAAAGCGGCAGAATAATGAAGCAATCACTTTACCTTTTGTTTGGAATATTTCTGACTCTTGTTTTTTGTTTTAAAGTCAGGAACACTTTCTTTTAAACTAGCTACAGTTTTTAACACTGTCATTGATAGACTGTTGTTAATAAAACTTGGAAAATACTTTTTTTCCCTCTGTGCCTGGTTCCTCTAAAATTTGGAAACTATGTGTGATTATTCTTAACTTACAACAATATAATTGTTTGAATCGGTGCAACAAAAAATGTATTTTCATTTGCAGCATAACCCAATAGAAAAAGCTGGTTGATTTTCTCAGGGTTTGACTGGAAGAGTGTGTCTTCTTAAATGAATTAAATTTGACCTCTAGAAACAATAAAAGCCCCTTGGGAAAACTGGCCATATACTTTGTTTACACAATCCCAATACAGGTTTTCTAACCACTTTGTAAGTAAAAACAAACAAACAAACAAACAAAACTGCCACTTTGTTTCAGGCCCAGGAACTTCATGCACTTGGAGCCTCACAAAATAGAGGAGCTTACCCAGGTGATATGTATCTAAGGGTACAAACCTACGGCCGGGCTCAGTTTTATAATGTCTCATTTAAGATTCCCTGTAAGATAGAGTTTCATAAAAAGCCAATGAGGAAAGCACATGTAAAATTATTTCTTGCAGCACTATACAAAAATAGTCTGGCTAAGTGTAGACAAGTCTGTTTTGCAAACAACTTTCTTTTATCGTGATTTATTTTTAACAAAAATCAGGACTATAAGAAATATATATGTTTCACAGTCTACTACACCTCTGTCACTAACTTCTCATCTCATCTTTCAATTTTAATGAATCTTTTTGTTTCTTTGAGCCAACTGGTGATGTCCAGCTACAGTTCTTGGAAAACAGAAAAAATATGAGTAATAGATAAATCTATAACAATATTCTAATTTTGTGCAAGCATGAAAGCATTCCACAAATATTTTCAGGTAATTAAAAAATAGGGTACCTGTAACACAGTATTTTCATTTTGGAAAATAAAGTCAAGAAAGGTAAGTAAACCCAAGTCTCATGTAATCAAATCTTAACACGGATAAATAAAGCAGCCTGTTATCTGAGCACGTCAGCAGCCTTGAGGTATTTAAGGTATTCTCACTCTCCTTGTCTAGTTGTGATGTGTTTTCTAATAATCCAAACTATCTTTTTATTGCCTAAAGTCTATCATGCTTTAATATGTAATGCAAATAAAACCATGCATTAGCATGCCTTTCTTCTACAAATACCTAAACCAACTCTCAGTGGAATCCTACCTATTGTTTTCTACATGACACTCTTCTCCAGTAACAAGTAGCCGGAAAGACCAATGCCCAATTTCCTAAGAGCAGTTAAAGTTTTCATTTCTGTGGGAGTACAAAGACAACTTAGCTAGCTTTCCCTGTGTAAAGAGCAAGGAAAAGGTCCCTGGAAGACCCAAGTCCATAGGTAAGGGCCTGATTCCAATATAACATTATAATCAGACCAAAAAAAAAAAAAAGGTGTGGGCACCAGTAAGAGATCTAACACAGAAGGTTATGCCTGATAACATGGCTGCAGTGACACAGATAATAGAACCTGCCATCCATTCAGATAAAAGCTTTTACAAAACTCTGACTCACTCAGATGGGGAAACAATGCCTGGCATAGAAATGCTGTTCTCTGTATACTCAGAGAGCTTCCAAAAAATAAAGTTTCTTTTTTTTTCCTGTGGACATAAATCCAGTGGGATCTAGTGGGTACCAGCTGGATTCTTTCTTTTTGTTTTTGACTGTTTACTCAACCCATGTGAATCATCACTTCTGTCCCTGATTGGTCCTGAGCCAGCATCCCAGGACAAGTTCTTACTTTAGCTCATGATAGGTCCTGGGCCAAGCTAAGCAGTGATTACAAATTATTCCTTCAGACAGCTCCCAGGCAGAGTTCCTGGGCTAAGCTAACAAGTCCTGGGCCTGGGCAAAGCTAAGTCACACATTCTCCAAGACAACTTGCAAACTAAGCATATATCTTTATTTTTTAGGCCATAAAAACCTTACACTCCAGTGGATGACTTATTCAAGCTTATAGCTCTGCTGACAGCTTATTTTGCCACTTATTTAAACTTTTGCTCCCAACATTTTCCCGTGTTTACAGTCATTAATTTTAAATGTAAAATAAAAGACTCATGGTGTTATCTCAAATGAAAGAAAGGCTGTTATATCTTGATGCATTGCTAAAACCACAATATTATCTGAACCTATGACATGATTTGCAGCTTTCTTTTGATGTCAGGGTCTGCTTGAGTAATAAAGTTTTCTCTAAAGATTAACTCTCTCTTAACTCAATAGGGAGATAGAAAAATGTGTTTCACTAAAGCATCTCTCGGGATGTTAAAAAAGACTAAGTAATTTTTATGTAGTTTCAACATATTATGAGTAGTTTAGAGTAATTAAGAAGTTTTGTTCTGTTTCTTCATAAGCCTTCATGTATGTTCTCTCTCTCTCTCTCTCTCTCTCTCTCTCTCTATATATATATATATATATATATACACACACACACACAGGAATATATATATACATATATACAGGAATATATATATATATATATACAGGAGTATATATATATATACAGGAGTATATATATATACAGAAGAGTATATATATATACAGGAGTATATATATATACAGGAGTACATATATATACAGGAGTATATATATACATACAGGGTACATATATATACAGGAGTATATATATATACAGGAGTATATATATACAGGAATATACATATATATACACAGGAGTATACATATATATATACAGGAGTGTATATATATATGTATATACAGGAGTGTATATATATGTATATACAGGAGTGTATATATATGTATATACAGGAGTATATATATATACAAGAGTATACATATATATGTACAGGAATATATATATATACAAGAGTGTATATATATATATATATATACAGGAGTGTATATATATATATATATATATATATATATATATATATATATATATATACAGGAGTGTATATATATATAAACAATAAACAATAGAGGAGTTTTATAAGTATTCTGTTACCGGTTCAACATTTTTTTTTCCTTTACACCCTCCATTTTTCAAGATTTTATAAAAGACATGTGGTTCATCCATGGATAATTCTACTCTCTGTAAAAACGTCTGCTTTAGGGCAATGGTTATGGTTTAGTTTAGGAATAATGTGTCATCTCTTCAGTTATGATTAAACACTTGAGTTAGATTTTGAAATGCCTCTGTATATCAATCAGGTTCATCAGAGATACTTGCTTAGGTTTTCCATTATTTTTCTAAGTCCCTGAAATGAGTAGAAAACTTGTACTCTACTAGTATCACTTCTATGGAGTATTTCCTGCAGGGGCAACAGTGAAGTTGGGGGTTTCTTTAGTGGCAAAAATAAGACAAGCTGATAAAATTGCTATTGGAGGTTCTAAATAAGGGTTGCAGTTAGGGTATTTGGAAGTTACATTTGAGTGTTCCTCATGGGTTGGTCTCTGACTTTAATGAATTATCTCCTTGAAACTTGCCTGATATGACTGCCAAGAGGGCAGAGTCAGTTTTACAATGCTCTTAAAGATGTGGATTCTCCCAAGTAGAAGTAAGCATGTACAAAAAAAATAAAAAATCAAACTCTTTTCTTTGCCATCTGAAGAAAAGATGTAACTGTTGAATAGTACTAAAATGAACACTTCCTTCAGAAAGCTAGGCCTGTCTGTCCTGGAGCTGGTAAGATTGTCGTGCCCTTCAGCAATAAATAAACAAAGAAATACATAAGCCACTTTCTTTTTCAGAGTCTCATAGTCAATTAAATGTCTGTATTTCAAAATGTAATCTAGAGAGTTGCACATTGCAGATTGTTTGTGAACTTTCTAAAGAAATATATAGAGAAAGCATCCCATACTCCTTTTCCCCCTTTTGAAGTAGCTCTCACTGAATAAAAAGATAGATAGGATGTTCCTTGTTTTTGTGTTCGTCTTGTCTTTCCTGAGTCTGGTGACTGACATAGGTGTCCCCCATGGAGGCAAGCCAAACCTTCACCCACAGTTCCAGAGAAGCTAGACAGCAGGACAAGTAATGTTTACCTGCGGGGCTTTAGCTCTCCACTGGTGACTCTTTGTTGGTTTCCTAAGCCTATTCAACCCAGAAGATTCTCAAAGTAACTTGGGAACCTAAAAAAAGATTATATAGTTATTGGATTCGAGCAAGACCATTATATAGAGTAAGACTTTTAGTACTATTTCTGGCTTCTTTTGATATGGCCCTAGAAAAACATTGAAATTCCAGGAAATAAGATCAACTGACTTTGAAACATAAAATTCTCTTTTAGTTTAAACGTCAGTGCTGCTGGAAGAAGAATGTGTGACTCAAAACATGTAAAGCTAGCATGGCTGGCTTTCATAAGACAGCACTTAGCTAGAATATGTCTCTAAAAGGCACCTTCTTTCCGATTAGTGAAAGTGGAAATTTTCTGTTTTCAGATAGGGCAGAGAGTCTTATTACTGTTAGAAAGACACAGGAAAGGGAGGAGTTAAAAAACCAAAAGTTTTGTGCAAAGTACTGACAAGGCTTCCCACAGAGAAAAATCTCATCTCAGTAGGTGGCATTTTAAGATCTAAAACGTCACATGAAAGTGATGAATCCTAGGTTTATATAGTCAAAAGTTAGAAAAAGAAAGTTAACACTCTATCACCTGTCCCACAGTATGTCTGTGCAGAAAAAATCATGTGTCTCAAAAAGAAACTGTTTAGATATATATGGCAGTGCTGAGCTTTTTAAAGACAAATAAGCATCCAAAAAGAGAAATTTTATTTAAATGTTTGCCATTCCATACAGTGCATGAATATCTATCGTCAGGGAACAAAAAGACTCTTACCAAATAAAAATTTTTAAACTACAATTTTGGATTCTTCTTGTTTTGCAAGTGTTTGAATTACATTTCTAATTACTATGACATCCACTTACTTTTCCCAGTAAGATTATATCTCCAGGTCACAATATTGCGTACAAAGAAGAAATAGGAGACACACTAGCCACACAATGACAAAAAAAAAATGCAACAGAAAAGTCTGGAGTTTTAATGGCACCACTTTGATGGGTTGTCAGAAACTGGAGTTACTTTTGGGACTTCACATAACACCATAGTGCAGTCTTAACCAGAAATCTTCAGCTACCTTAGATATCCTCTCAGTCCCATGTGACACTTAAATCCTCTGTGAAAGAAAACAGTTAGAAAAGAGGCAATATTTTCAACAGCGGAGGGTGAAAGGAGACTGCCAATGTGTCTCCCGGCATCGCTTTCTCCTAAGCTTTGTAAGAATGGCAGGCAGTATATCAGATTTTACCTGACACTGGCCCAGAATTTTCTTGCTCTTCAAAAATTAAAAATAAAAAAAAATGAGGACAAGCTGCAGATATGAATGTAAATAGTTTGGAAGTGCACTCCTACTGACTTTAATTTAATTTTATTTTTTTTTGACAGAGTCTCACTCTGTCACTTAGGCTGGTGTGCAGTGGTGTGATCTTGGCTAACTGCAAGCTCTGCCTCCTGGGTTTATGCCATTCTCTTGCCTTAGCCTACAGAGTATCTTGGACTGCAGTTGCCCACCACCACACCTGGCTAATTTTTTGTATTATTAGTAGACAGGGGTTTTCACCATGTTAGAAAGGATGATCTGGATCTTGACCTAATCTTAATTTGCCCACCTTGATCTCCCAAAGTTCTGGGATTACAGGCATGAGTCCACATGCCCATCCCCTACTGACTTTTTTAATTAAGCCCTTTCCAGGTCCATGAACCAAAAACAAACCTTGCAGTCCCCTAATGCACCACAATGTATCATTCTCTCATTTTGAGGTGTCACACAGAATTTTTTTAACCCCAAGAAAATTAAAAATTATGAATGCAAAAGGTGAGATTATAGGAAATGTTTAATACATTAACTTCTGGAGGAGTAGATTTAGTTGCCCACTTTGATGGAGAGTCTGATATCTTTATGGAAGAAAGAAAATGCACTAACTAGTCTTGAAGAAAGCACTACTCTTCTTTTCTGGGACCTTGAGCCTGGAACTATTAATAGCTGAAGTAATGAATCAGCGTGGGTCAGGAACTTGGCCCTGAGCCACACAAGAGGTAAAGTGAAAGCATGGCTGGGACATTGGCGTAGGACCGGAGGTTCAATTGATAATTTAAAGAAACTTGGCTCAGAGTCTAAAGCATGTTTACTAATGTAAGGTACCCTTTGTAACACACTAGAGGCCAATGTGTACATGTCCAGAAAAAGAGAGAGAGAGAGAGTAATTCCTGGAAGCCCTCTGGTTATACAAAAAACAGCATTTTAATGTAGGATCATGTTTTTTTTTTTGTTTGTTTTTTTAATCTGAGTAACTGTGTGCATGTCTTAAGCCCCCACACACACAAAGTTGGATATTTTATTTATTTGCATGGGCCACAGGATTGTGCAGGATTCTTCAATTTGTGTCTGCAGCCTGATTTTTCAGGCTGTTTCTCTGCTTGTCAAAATTTTACCAGTAATCGATAATTATGTAGCTTTTCATTCTCAATATTATTGAAGACCTAGATAGTTTCTGAGGGTGGGAAGGCAAATTGTTTGAAGTTGCCTATGTGCAAAGCATTTTTGCCCTGTGAAGCAACCCAAATCTTTGTAACTATTGTAAAATTGTTCATGCCTTCTTAGCAGTTATATCAGAAAAGCCCACAGTAAGCAGCTACCAAACATCGGAGAAACATTCACCCTGGAAACTCTCAAAAGCAAATTTTGTTGCCCCACTTTTTCTCATATTCTTGATCTAGAGAACCTTTTAGTCACATCATCATCAGATCTTCCAATTTTAACATCCAACCCTCCAAGTCCATTACTACCCCTATAGGAAATGCCCAATGAATGAGTTGTCTGTAAAGTGCAAGTTTCTTTTTCATTACAGTACCTTAAACAAATAAATTAAGATGTGGGGAAGTTTTCTGATACCTCAGTTTATATAGAGAGACTTTCTAATATCTAGCTTTTTTATCTCATCCTCCATAGGAAGATGTTATGTTATTCCTAAGCCAAAATCTTACTGCTTCTGTGAAATAGACAGCCCTGCAGGCAACAGAAAGATGCTGTGGCAAACAGCATTTGTTCTATAGCATGTCATAATAAATGCAAAGCAGTGAAAGAGAGACTGAGTGAAGAAAAGATAAGATCCTAATTTCCAGTAGCAAGACAGAGAGCCCTTTGAAAGCCTTAATTTGAGCCCTAGTGATTCCATAGATAAGTTAAAAAAAATAAAGAAAGAAAGAAAAAAGAAAGCAGGGCTTTGGCCCTTAAAAGGGCCCAGATCCAAACCTTTCCCAAGCCAGGGCTGTGACAACACCTTTGGATCTCTGCAGTTTCTGTCATTTCTATGTATCTGGATTCCACTGCCTTCTTCAGTGCCTGCAGAAAAGAAAGCTTGTGGTATGGCTGATTCACCTAAAAATTTGCAGGGAGCTGTCACCTGTACCAGCACCTGACCTGCTTGTCTGATACCAGATAATATGCCTAGCTGTGTGAAGTGGATGGGCTCAACCATCACTTACTCATACATCTGCCTCCATTCTGTGCCTGGCGCATCCATAGTGAAATGAAACCTAAGCCCATAGTTTGAGCTGAGTGCAGCCTGCAAGATGGGTTTGCACAATTAGAAAGCAGGCTCAAGAGAAACTTGCGCAAAGGTGCCATCATCCACAGAGATTCTTGGCTGTCGAAGTGACACCCTAGAGTTCCTGAGCCAAAGGTGAAATTCCTCACCAGTGGCCACTGGATTGTTCAATTATGCCTATGCAATGGAGCCTCCATAAAAACGTACAGAACAGGATTCAGAGAGCTTCTGGGTAGCTGAACACATACAATGTTCTAGAAAATTGTGTGCACATAACAACAGACAATGATAATTTCAAATTTCATACAGAGTGTAGGGGGCTTTTATTTGTTTTGAAGGAAGTTTCTGCCTTTAGTAATGTGTCCATAATTTTAACTTATTAACTAGAACATACTCCAAGTTAACCTAAAACTAAATCTGTACATTATAAAGTTTAGAACTTGGATATTTCCACAAAAATGATTCCATAATTCACTAATAGGGTGCAACAAGTTTTACTTTAGACAGATAAATATTCTTTTGTCAACTGGGTAACAATTAGACATTTATAATAGAAAAGAAAATCAAGTGATATCTCAACAAAAATTTGAATCATATGTTCAGTTTAGGAGAATGATCAGTGAATTTTGTGTCAGAAATATTTATTCTAAAAGATAAGATTTTTAATTTATAATTTTGTGTCTCTGAAGTATTTGTGCCACTATAAAGTCAAAGGCACCATCTCTGATAGTTCTGTGCCTTTCTTTGTGGTAGGGAAGCTGAGGCTGCCTCATACCCCAGTAGACTCTGTATTCTAGGATATAAAAATGAGAAAAATAAACACTATTACAGAATTATCTGTCATCCACATCTAATAAAACACAATTCTGGTTATATATATAGTAGTAGCCATAGACACAAATTAGGGCAGTCTAGTACCCATCAGTCTGCTTTTGTATTTGGTCTTATATGTGCATAAAATAATCACATTTGGGCAAATAAGCTGTTTTATTACTCATTTAATGTTGCAGTGCTTAAAAATGCCTTGATAATTTAAATACATAGCTTGGATCTTTCCAATTCTCTTTCCAAGCCTTAGCTGTGATTGAAATTGTTTTGGGCAATGAAGACAGCAAATCCTTATGCATTTGTTTCAGCTTAGTTCTTGTGTCCTGAGCAGACAGACTGACAACTAAATCTCATCAGTTTTATTCTACACATACTTAAACAAGGATTCCTTTTTTTTTTTTTTTTTTAGTGCAGTGGTGCGATTTTGGCTCACTGCAAGCTCTGCCTCCTGCGTTCATGCCATTCTCCTGCCTCAGCCTCCCAAGTAGCAGGGAGTACAGGCTCCCATTACCACACCTGGCTAATTTTTTTGCATATTTTTTGTAGAGACCGGGTTTCACCATGTTAGCCAGGATGGTCTCGATCTCCTGACCTCATGATCCACCCACCTTGGCCTCCCAAAGTGCAGGGATTACAGGCGTGAGTCACCGTGACCGGCCACTTCAACATGGATTCTATCCCTTGTGCTGACCCCATATCTTCCTCAGCACCTCCAACTCCATCTTAATATTACAGTGAACAAGAGCCATACATTCTTCCAGTGCATCTTGATTACATGAGGCAAGCTCCTTAATTTGAATCACAACCCCTTGGGTGAAAGTTGCAGTCAAAAACGCTTGAGAGACCAGGCGTTTGGCACATGCCTCCCATGCTGTCAGCTTTTGCCCAGCATTAATATTTCATTGGCAGATGCTTCACCCATCATTTTTGAAAATGTAACAGTAGAACAGCCATCTGGACTGTGTCCAAAAGCTGCATAAGAGGTTTGGAACCAAGACTTTTCATTAGCCCACACGAGATCACGAAGAGGCAGTATGGATTCACCTAGTCCAGTGACAGGGCCATTGACTGATACAACAATAGGCTTTTTAAATTGAATAAAAGTATTCACAAAGTTCTTGATGGTGTCCACAATCTCAAGGCTTGCTCTCTGTCATTCCTTAAGTGCTTCACAAAGTACCCAAAATCAAGACCATAGCAAAAGACATTTCCAGCTGCACAGAACAGCACAAGCTTGCTGTCATCCACAACATCCCTATTCAGAGCATTAACCATTTCTTTAAGTACTTCTGTATTCACTGCATATTTTTCTGTCGATTGAGTTGATAGCGATATTTGGGTGAATCCATCCTCTTTCTTCACGAGAATGTGTCTGTATGTGCTGGAATTTTCTGTTAGCCTTATAGTGAAGTACATCTTCTTGATAAAAGGCTGGTCTCTGCCATCATCAGTGACATTTATTTGCCCTCATTTCCCTCTTGGAACTGATGTATGCATGTCTGTTGTTCTATTGGCTGCTAATGGGTCTGTTAATGTCACTATACCTTTTTTTGGTAGCTGAGCCTGTGGCCAAGGAAGCAGTAAGTGAGCCAGACATCTGAGACATTAGCAGGTGTATCTGGGTCCTGTTCTCTATTCCAACCTGTTCTGCACCAGAACCTGATAAAGTCCTGATGGGCTTCCCTTCTATCCCCTTGAAGACCACTGTGTCCTGCAGATCTACCATAAAGGGGTCCAGTTTCTCAAGCTCCTGAAAGCCACTCACAGTTTTCTTGTTAAAGGGACTGTGAGGTGCAAATGTCTTCATAGTTGAGTTTACTGGCTCCATATTCTTGTGTCAAAGAGAAGTGAAGCTGCCTTTCTCCTAACATTCTTGCTGGCAGCAAATAACTGGCTGTTTTTGGATTTGTGGTGTTTGCCAGTCACTAGCATGTTAGGAGAGTTCTTAGAAAACTTGGGGTTGGTAGATCTGGAAGTTCCTCTAGTATGGTTTGAAAAAGTTCTACTTGCTCTGGTCCATGTATTTTTTTTTCTGTTTTTCAGTCTGTCGTCTGTTAAAATCATACATTTTTCACAGTTCATGAGGTGCTGCTTTGGTTCCCAAGTGTCATACTGCTTGTCATAAGCTTTCCACTTAACCAAATACTCTATATTCACATTTTTTCCTTGTCTTTTGTCAACAATAGTTTCAACCTCAAACTCCTGGGAATCCATGAAGAAAGACACAGGATTGGAGCAGTTGCTGTGAGCTTTATTTCAGTTGCATCTCTACACAGCCACTTCTTTCTGCCTCCAGTCCTTCACCAGGTTCTGAGTATGGATGAGCCTCTTCTACTTCATTGCCACTGGTGCAGTGAAAATTGTGTGAAATAGCAGCTATGCTATGTGCCTTAGGCTCTTCACACTTTCTCCCTGGTAGGACAGCTTGGGCTTTATCTCATGGAGCATGATACCTGGCTCAGTAGCCTCAGATAAGAGTAGCTAAATCCACAGCCCCTATTCTCTGGTATACAGAAAGCCTTCTTTCTGCCTGTTACTCTTTTGTGTTTGTTTGTTTGTTTTGACTAGTTGTGGTTGCTATGATGATTAAATTGAACATTCGAATGTTATAACATTTTGAAAGTTACACTAGCTTACCTTTAGTAACATACAAAACCTTTACTCCTGTATAACTTAACTCCATTATTTCAGTTATTGAGTTCTCAAAATTGTACCTTGATGCATTGTATGTCAAAAACACAAATTAGTGGTAGTGTTGCAGGAAATCAGGGACCCTGAGCGGCGGGACCTGCTGAAGCCATGGCAGAGGAACATAAATTGTGAAGATTTCATGGACATTTGTTAGTTCCCCAAATGAATACTTTTATAATTTCTTACACCTGTCTTTACTGCAACCTGCAAACATGAATTGTGAAGATCTCATGGACATTTATCACTTCCCTTATCAATACTCTTGTGATTTCCTATGCCTGTCTTTACTTTAATCTCTTAATCTCATCATCTTTTTTAAGCTGAGGATCTATATTGCCTCAAAACCCTGTGAAGATTGAGTTAACTGCACAAATTGTTTGTAAAGCATTTGTGTTTAAACAATATGAAATCTAGGCACCTTGAAAAAAGAACAGGATAACAACAATGTTTAGGGAATGGGGAGATAACCATCAGGTCTGACTGCCTGAGAGACAGGCAGAACAGAGTCACGTTTCTCTTCTTACAAAAGTGAATAGGAGAAATATCACTTTTTGTTTGTTTGGTTGGTTTTTTGTTTTGTTTTGTTTTGTTTTGTTTTGTTTTTTTTCTCAGCAAGGAACAGCCCTGAGAAACACAATGTGTTCTTAAAAGAAGGACTCTGAAATGGCTGCTCTGGGAATGTCTGTCTTTTACGGTTGCAGATAAGGGAAGAAATAAGCCTCAGTCTCCCATAGTGCTCGAAGGCCTATTAGGATGAGGAAATCCTGCCTAGCAAGTTTTAGTCATAACGGTTGTCTGCTCTCAAACCCTGTCTCCTGATAAGATGTTTTCAATGACAATATGTGCCCAAAACTTCATTAGCAATTTTAATTTTGCCCTAGTGCTCTGCCCCCATTTGCCTTGTGATATGTTATTGCCTTATGAAGCATGTGATCTCTGTGACCCACACCCTATTTTTACACTCCCTCCCATTTGAAAATCGCTAATAAAAACTTGTTGGTTTTGCTGATTGAGGAGCATTACAGAACCTGCCGACATGTGAAGTCTCCCCTGGACACCCTGCTTTAAAATTTCTCTCTTTTGTACTCTTTCCCTTTATTTCTCATACTGGCTGACATTTAGGGAAAATAGAAAATAAATTACATTGAATTATCAGTGGTGGTTCCCCCAATAATGGTAGTTTTTTTTTTATTAAATATATGAGTGTTTTCTTGAAGTGTAGCTTACTGGTTAAGGGTGCCAGCTTTTATCTGGGAGTGTTATAATTTGTCCCACACATTTGATGGACAATTTATTGGACCATAAGTTTTAGGTTTGACAGTTTTTTCTGATATCACTTGGAATATATTAGTCTACTGCTTTCTGTCATCTTAGTTGTCAGATAAGAAATCCACCAGTTATTCAGTGGTTATTCAGATAAGAAATTCACTGGTTATTTTTGAGGGTCCCTTTTACATGACTAGCCACTTCCCTTGCTTCCCTTGAAAATCCTCAAGATTCTCTTTGTATTTGTTTTAGACAGTTCAATTATCAGGTAAGTTTGAGTTTGTTTGTTGAGTTTCTATTACTTGGAGTTTGTTGAGATTCTTGGGTGCTTATTTATTGTCTTAAATTGTTACCTTCTTTATGCCTATTTTGTTAAGTAGTGTCCTTGATTCTTTCTCTCTTCTTTCGAATTTCCAAATTGCATAAGTATGGCTGATTGATGGTGTCCCTCAGGTTTCTAGGCTGCATGAAGCTACCTTGACCCTTTCCAACCTGTACTGGTGACCAGTACATGGTTGACTGCCCCCAAGTCTGTGTATTACAGTGTTTCAAGGCTAATGCATCCCAGAGCTCAATTCCAATACTTCAATCATTTCAGTCTCACTCATACACCACAATATAAAAGTCTCTAATTGTGAGGTATCACACAGAGCTATTTGTCCCATGGCCAAGAAAATTAAGGAGAATGGATGCAAACAATTTGAAGCAAAATTTTGATAAGTGAAAGTAAAAAAGCTCTTCACAGTGGAGGTGGAATGCAAATGGTTTACCTACTATGAGATTGGGATTTATGGTTTCTAAAGGCAGGGAAGTAAAATAATGTGCTTAGTGGTCTTAGAGTAAGTGTTATTTGGCTTGGCCCTGAACATTTTTCTTGGATTCATCTGGAACTGAAGTTATGATTTATAGAAGCTACTAAGCTCAGCCTTGGAACTTGGCCCTGGACAAAAAAGGAAGTGACAACTCAGCCTGAGACCTTGGCTTGGGACCAATCACAGGCTGAAGTAATGTCTCGTGGCCACAATAATTAAGGAGTCTGCATGATGCAAAGTTCAATTAGGAACAAAAGGTTAACAAGCAAAAGAAGAAAACTCCTGACAGTGAAGAAGGGATTTGAGAGAGTTTCCAACTGTAAAGCTTGGTCAGGGCTTTCTATGAACTGTAAAGAACAAAATTTTCTGAGGTGTCTCTGAGCTGTCTTGAAGAAAGCACTACTTAGCTAGTTTCAGTACCTGGTCTGGGAAAAATGAGAGGCTAAAGTAAAAGCTTTGTCTGGAACATTGGGCTGAGGAAAAGCAGAAGCTGAAGAGATAATTCATAAATGCTTGGCTCATATGTCCAAAATAGAGAAAAAATTACATCAGAACCCACTGGAGCCTACCGTGTGTCATGCCCACAAATGGAGGAGTGTGTATTTTCTTGAAGTCTGCTGATTATATGAATGGCAAAGGCATTTATTCTTTTGGCCTCATTCCTTTATCTTTACAGCCATGAATATGTTTTAGGCAAAAATGACAAAGTCATTTCTATATTCTGCCTTGTTGCCTTATTAGTGCAGTTGTGGATATATCTTAAGGCTATCATCATCTTAAATTTTTTTTTTATCAGTGTCTGCATCCTATGTTTTCAGGCTGTTCCCCTGTGTAAAAGAGTTTTTCCAAAAACTGCTTCTAGCTTCCTCACTTCTTTTTTCTCTCACACTTTCATGAAGGTAATTTTGTATATTTTGTAGATTAAACAACATTTGTGTTAAGGGCTTTTCTGTGCAGTTTTTTACTTTTGTCATGGAATCTATCAAAGTTCACATTAGAGTACATTTGAAATTTTTGTGTTAGCCATGTTCAATTTGTACTTTCTTCTTTTAAAATAAATGTTTTTAATAAAGGAGTACATTGTTTTAATGCTTAGAATTCAAAATTTGAAACTCTAGTCCTGGGGTTTTCTTTTTAGTAGCTGTAAGTTTGTAAAGCATGTTTGATGTTTGTCTGCTTTCTGCTATAAAACTCCTAAAACCTTTGGAATCTCCAAAGTGCTGTCTGTTAATATGATAATATTGATGTAGATCTGCACACTGGGGCTTTTCAATGAAAATCCAAGGCATGATTTAATGGTAGGAACTCTCAGATGAACTCTGCATCATTCTGAAATGGGAGAGATGCTGCAGGTAATGGCAGCAGCAGCCCATTTAGAGAGGCTGCTGCAAAGATTTCAGGTGCAATGAGGGAGGTGAAGCCAGAGCTGTACACTCTGTGAAACTGGTGGAAACAGAGAAAAGGCAGAAACCACACTCACATCCAAGTGGAATTATAAGGAGCCCCACCTACTCAGGAACAGTGGCAGCTGCCCCACCACAGCTGCAGACTCAAGCACCCATCTACTTTCCAAGGTGTGGGAAGCCATCCTTCCAACAAATTCCCTGTAGTTCCTATTCCCATTGCCTGGCCTCTCCAAGCTCCCAGTGCCCACTCTGACATTGTGCAAATGTGCCATCATCCACAGTTTCTTTGCTGGTGAAGCCATACCCTAGAGATCCTGTGACAAATGTCATTCATCAACAATGGCCAGTGGATTATTCAATTATGCCTATATAATGGAACTTCCATAGAAACCAACAGGAAAGGATTCAGAAAGCTTCTGGTAGCTGAACAGGTAGAGTATTCTATAAAATTGTGTGCACGTAAAAACAGACACCAATAATTTTAAATGTCATGCTGAGTGTAGGAGTCTTTTCCTTACTTTGAAAGAAGTTTCTGTTTTTAATAATGTGTCCAGAATTTTAACTTGTTAACTAGAACATACTCTAAGTTAATCTATGTCTGCACAGGATGAACATTAAAACATGGATATTTCCACAAAAATGATTCCATAATTCACTAATAGAGTGCAATATGTTTTACACTTAGAAAGATAAAGGTTTCTTTATGTTAACTGAGTAAGAACTAGACATTTATAAAATAAAAGAAAAGTTATATCTCAACATAAATTCTAACCATATGTTGAGTTTGGCAGAATGATCATCAGTGAATTTTGTGTCAGAAATATTTATCCTAAAAGACAAGTCTTTTAATTTAGAATGTTGTTTCTCTGAGTTATGTGTGACACTGTAAAGTCAAAGACACAATTACTGATAATTCTGTGTCTTGTTTTTGTGGGAGGGAGTAGAGGTTGCCTCATACCCCAGTAGCATCTGCATTCTAAGGTAAAAATAAATAATAAAAACAAACATTATTACACAAATTTTTGCCATTCAAATCTAATAAAACACAATTCTGGTCTTATATATCATAGTAGACATAGATAAAATTTAGATCTTGCAAGAACAGTTTAGTGCTCACCAGTCTGCTTTTATATTTGGGCTTGTGTATGCATGAAATAATCACATTTAGGCAATGAAGCTGTTTTATTACTTATTTTAAAGTTACAGTGCTTAAAAATGTTTTGATAATTTAAATACATAGCTTGGACATTTCCAGTTCTCTGTATTCCCATTTTTGTCTTGTTTTGTGTCAACAAGAGGTTCAACCTCAAACACCTGGGAAGCCATGAAGAAAGACACAGGATTGGAGCAGTTGCTGTGCCAACTTTCTTTCAGTTGTCTCCACATAGCCACTTGTTTCTGCCTCCAGTGCTTCACCAGTTTCTGTGTATGGATGAGCCCCTTCCACTTTGTCGCCACTGGTTTAGTGAAAGTTGTGTAAAATAGGAGCTGTGCTCTCTGCCTGAAAGTCTCCACACTCACTCCCTGATGTGACAGCTTGGGCTCTGTGTCATGGTGCCATGATAGGTGGCTCAGTAGCCTCAGGTGAGAGGAGCTAAATCCACAGCTCCTACTCTCTGATGTAGTACAGAACGCTTTCTACCTGCCTTTTACCCTTTTACTTTTTTAATTGTCATTGATAATATGACTACATTCAATATTTTAAAGTTATTCCACTTTTAAAGTTATGCTGGCTTACCTTCAATAACATACAAATCTCTTACCTCTGTATAGCTTCACCCCAATTATTTCACTTATTGAGTTCTCAAAATCATACCTTTATGTATTGTATGTCAAAAACACAACTGGATGATAGTATTTTTCTTAAATATATTAGTGTTTTAAATTATATGGGAAACAAACTGTGGAGGTGCACATTGCTAATTTTTTATGTTTTGTAATTGTTAAGGTATTTATCTTTGCTTTATATATACTCATTTTTGCTACTGTTGAATGTCTGTTCATTTTACCATGAAGGACCCCATAAGGCATTTTTTAAAAAGTAGTCTACTGGTAAAAGTCCCAGCTTTTATCTGGAAATGTCATAATTTCTCCTTCACTTATGAATGACAATTTTTTGAACATAAGATTTCCGTTCAAAAGTTTTTTCTTACATCATTTGGTATTTGTTAGTCTATTGCTTTCTGTCTTCTGAGTTTTCAGATAAGAAATCTGCTGATTATTGTTGAGGTTTCTTTGAACATGATTAGTCACTTCTTTTGCTGCTTTCAAGATTTTCTCTCTCTTTCTTTTACAGAGTTTAGTTATCATAGAATTTGAGTTTGTTGCTTTGAGTTTCTCTAACTTGGAGTTTTTTGATCTTGGTATTCTTTGCCACTGTTGTTTCTAAATAGTCTCCCTGATTCTTTGTCTCACCCTTTCCACTTCCATTATGTGTAAATATGGCTGCTTGATAGTGTCCCACAGCATTCTAGGCTGTGTTCTCATTTCCTTATTTTTTTCTTTCCTTTCATAATGTAATAAATAATGTCAACTACCCTTTCTTTACTATGCTGATATTTTGTTCTTCCCCTGCTCATATCTGCTTTTAAATATCTGTAGCAAATTTTTCTTACTTTTATCTCTAGACTTTTTAGGTTATAAAATAACTTTACTCTTTTTATTAATAAGTTTTGTTCATATTTTTTGAGCTTCTTTTGTTTATTATATTATCTTAACATGAAGCTTAATTGTTAACTAAAATGTTTTAGTAAGACTGCCATTTGGGCTGTCTAAAAAAACCTCCTTCGTAATTTTTTTATGTTCTTAAAATAAGCCATACTTGTCTATTTCATTCTGTAATTTGTGATTTTGCTTGCGCTGAAAAAGAGCATTTAAATTTTAAAGTGCTGTAACACTGAAAATACCATTTTCTTCTTCTATGGTTTGGTAAGGTTTTGTTTATTATATAGGCTTTTTCTCTCCTGTAAGTCAGCCTTACTGAGCTTCTTCTTGGGTCTTTTTTGAGCCTCATTGTTTTGGGGCACATATCATTAAAGCCACAATTCATTATATATATATGTGTGTGTGTATATATATATATATATATATATATATATATATATATATATACACACACAGACATACATATATATGTGTGTGTGTTTGTGTGAGTGTGTGTGTTTAGTTTTGAATGTTTTTGTCCACAAATGTCTAACCTCTTAAGAGAAAAAGAAGAACAATTAGGAAAACATGTTCTGACTTCTTAATCTTCTGAAAGTTTGTTGTGCAGAGGGACAAAGAGACTGAATAATGTTTGGGGTATAAAACAATGGCTGTTCACCTCTGTTGGGACATCCATAAGCAGAAACAGCAATTGGTGAATGAGTCCTCCTGCAATTTGGAGGACAGTGTCCTTTTTGTTTACCATGGCTCTTGTAAGCTGCTCCAGAAATATTTGCAAGGCAGCATCCCTTCATTAATAAAAATAAGTAGCTGCTGCTGATCTGTGCTATAAAATTGATAAAATTTAATTTTTTTACTATACAAAATTTTTTGGAAGCTGTAAGCTTCAGGTAGACTCTCAAATTCTACAGTAACTGCATCATATTAATCCTGCCACTGCACCTATTGTATAGTTGAAGAGATGGAAGTAGAGTGCTCTGTAGTACATTGCAACACTTTCCCAGAATCTACTATCATTTTACTTTGGCCTATTTGTCTTTGCACCTAAAGTATGCCTTGCATAGCAGTCACCGAGTGACTCCTTTGTTTAAGGGTACACTGGCACCAGTGTGTGACTTTTTAAGCAAGAGCTCACATTTAAAGTTGTTACAAGTAAAATATTACATACTCTGACATTGACTTTCTTGTTTTCCATGTGTTCTTTCTCTTATTTGATCCTTATTTTTTTGGCTAATTTAAAAAAATTTGGTTAATTTTTTAAAAACTTTGTTGTATTTTTTATATTACAATTAGGTATATATGGGACTTCAATTATTATTGAAAACTTAAAATAACCTACTATGAACAATACTAACTTGTGTGAATAATCTAATGTTTAAGGTCAACAATATAAAAATATGCTGCTCTTGTAGTTTTCCATCCTTCTCAATTTATATTATTGTCTCTGATTATATCTGTGCACACTGAGTGTTCATTAATAGTTATGTTTGCCAGGGTTTTAATAGTAATATCATTTTCTTTTAGAGAAGCATTAGTCACAATTTCCTTTAGCTTTTCTTTATCTAGATATTTTTGCTTGAATGTCATTTTACCAGCTATATATTTCATGCTTGATAGCATTTTTTTTTTCTGCTAAAATTTGTATATCCCACCACCTTCTGACTTCTGAGGTTTCTGTTGAACTGTCATCTGTTAATTTTAATCAAGACCTTCTTGCACATAGTAAGATGCTGTTCCCCTTCTGTTTTTACTCTTTTCTGTGCATTGGCTCTTGATGGCCTGTAATGTTTTCTGATGTGGCTATCATTAACTATATTGTGGTTAAAGATTTTTGTTCTCTTTCAAATTTTAGACACAGATTTTCAAGTTCAGGAAATGTACAGCCATTTTTGCCTTAAACTTTTTGGCCTCTGTTTTTCTTCATTTATCAGATGCTCATATTGCATGCACCAGTATACCTCGCAGTGTTCTGTTTACTCTTTAGTTTTTTTTCACATAATTTTGTTTATTTTACTTCTCAAAGTGGGTTATTTCAGTTTTTATTCCTTCAGACTGACTGAATATTTACCTGCTCAAATCTGCTTTTAAATACCTTTATGGTCGACTTTATTTCAGTCATTATCTCCCCTTTTTGTGGTTTCTTTTATAATTTGTCTCAGTGATGCGCTCATGTTGTTCTTTCATCATTTGTCAGTCATTTCTATTTAGCCTTACTTAAAATTGTTTTAAGTTATTTGTCTGTAAAATTTGGGACACATTTAATTCCTTCATTTAGTTTACATTGGTCATAATTTTCTCTTGGTTTTTGTGTTTTTGCTTTTCAGAAAACTATATTTCAAATGTTATACTGTGCTAACACCGAATGCTAACTCTGTATTAGAAATGTCATAACATGCTAACTCTGAATGCTTTTCTTTATTTCTGAAATGAAAAGTGTTTTATTCGTTACTAAAATGAATAAGAGCAATATAAAACCTATCACTTTTAAATACTGGGTATGTATTAACACTCTCTTGTAACCCTCATGGGGGTTTTTGCTAATTCTGTCTTAACCTTCAGTTTCTTCTCACTTTGAGCTGTAGATAAACTTGGGGGTTAATGCAAATTGTTTTACGTTAATTTTTAGGATGTTTCCATAGTGAGCATATGCATGATTTTCTAAGTGCTTCAGTGTATTAAACTTCTTCTGAATATTCAGATATTTGCAAATACAAATCTCTCCAATGTTTCTTCCTGTTTATAGTTTACCTATTGTATAAAATAACTATATTTTTTATTCTCCAAAACTTAAATATTTGTGACCTATTCCTGTCATTTCCAACAGAGAGTGACTTTTGAGTTAGGCAAAAGAGAAATACAGAATTATTTTATGAAATTTCATTTATCCTCTAGAAATCCTGGAAAAAAACAACACAATAATTTAGCACATAAGAGTTTCTTTGCTTTTTCCAGAAGCAGGAATCAGGTCCTCACTTTGACAATGTGGTTATCAATTCTGAAGGCTTCATCCATGACTTGAAGGTGATATGGCAATCCACAAAGAGAAAAAAAAACTAAAATCTTTACCCTTTTATAATTGTTTTTCTTGATTAAATGTTTACTTGGTTGATATAAACTATGGATTTTCAGGTCCAGGCTGTTTTTGATTTTTTTTTTTTTGAAATAGTTTGAAACTACCAACCCTGCAGTTTTGCTTTTATTTTTATCTATGAAGCACTGAGTGTTTTCTAATTTCTGAGATTATTTTTATTTAAGAGTTTTATGTTTTCTCTCTTGTTTAAAATACTTAAATTGAATGTTACACTTCCAATTTAGAATCCAAGATGTTAGGCTTTTGTTTTAGTTTTTATGTTATGCAGTTTTTGGTTTTTTAAATTAATTGAAATGATTAATTTCATATAAAATATATGAGGCAAGGTTCTCTGTTATAAACTTCATTTTGGTTTTATGTAAAACAAATATGAATTAAGTGGCTTAAAAAGTAACTTTCAAGTAAATATCTAAATAAAATAATAAAAAAAATTATGTAAGCATGCAGCAAAGTCAGCAAGTACGATGATCCCTGGTGGAAGCCTGTTTAAATTGTTTTTAAAAAGCCAGCTAACTGTGGCTGCCACAGACAGTATAAGGGAAACAATTACAGTGGATGAGTTCATAGAAGTAACCAACAGTCCATGTGATTGGCTAGGGTTTTTATACGTTTGTAGATTTTACTTTAAATTTCATCCTAAGCCTGGTTCATGATTGGAAGTTGAAGTTTTGAGGCTGGTACATTACTAGTATCTATTGCTGAGAGGTTAGAAATGCTGCTAAATATCCTAAAATCTTGAGTCTCAGGTGCTTTTGAGAAAGTAACAGTGTTGAACCATTTCTGGAGAAAATTATTTTTAAAAATACACATTTAGAATTCTTTGGTATTGTATTTTGAAGATTTCTTAACTCCTACTTTGTTTTCCATAAAGCAGAAGGATTTGAAAAAGCCTATGTAAAGTTCAATTGATTCAACTTAGGGTAAGCATTAGTAAAGTAAGGTCAGTTCAGTTAATCAATGATTAGAAACTAAGCCATATATTTTCTATTTTTCTGCTTTTCCTTCCTATTAGTTTTTCAATCTTTTGTAAAACATTAATATCAAAAAAATAAAGCCCTAGTCAGCCTCAACTTTGGAGGTACCAAGGGAGAAAACTCAATCCCTGGCATTTGGGATAGAGCTAATCTTGGCTGCAGTTGAAAAGTCATAAATAATACATATGCACACATGTGCATTGTTTATGGATACACATTGTGCTTTCAGTATGTGTTATGACATGAAAGTTCCTAGGATATTACAATAAGCAAGCTAAATGAAAACCAAGTTTTCAAGGACTATAGCTGGGTTTAGAGGATTTTCACTTTTGCTAAAGTTGTTGAGTAAAACTAATGCTCAAATATATTCACCTCTTAAAAAATTATTTGATAGAACTTTTCATAGTGGGCATCTTTGATCAGAATTATTTGTGCTCTGCCTTATTCCAACGTAATAAAAATGCATTCACAAAAATACATATTAGACAATAAGAGAAAATAAAGATCAATGAATGAAGAAATTGATGTAATAGGGAACAATATTTGAAAATGTTAAGATAAATCCAAAAGCAGTTGAATTTCGACGACGTAAAATCCTTTTAGTTTGAATAAAAAATTTGTTTCAGGACTTTAGCAAGTAACAACATGTTAGTTATCCACACTTACAGAGCATACTTTGTTCCCACTTAGCGCCTAACCTGTAAGCTCTGTTATCGATGCTAGAGCCTAGTCTACAAGGCAGAACTCCTACCCATATAGGGCTTGCATTTTTTCCAAGATTAATACAATGCCATTCAATACCTAAAATGAAAAGGCAAGTTTTTTTTGTTGTTGTTTTGTTTTTTTACTTAATATGCTGAGAGAGAGCTCTGCTGTTTAGACACATTCTTGGAACAATGCAGAGTTCAAGTCAAGGCATTGGCAGACATTAAGTGGTGTACAGAAGCTGGCATTATTTGTAGAAACCAAGTTGTTCAGGCCAATCTTGTAGTGAAAGAGGAATATTTATGGAAGTCTGTGATTGACCTTCTGATTTTTCAAAGTGCTGGCACTGCTTCATATTATTACTATTATCATTACTTGTGAAAGCTTTTTCACTGAGGTAGTTAGGCTTTATAGATTATTTAAATTTAAACCTGATTTTAATGGCTACATTTTACAATATAGAGCCAGTATTTACTAAATCCTTGTGAAAGTTTAAATTGTCATTTTCTAAGGAGACATAATACACTTTTATTTTCAAAGAAATAGAGTATTTACTAAATTGTAACCATTTATTAAGTAACTAACCTGATGTAGGTTTTATAGCCTTGGCAGTAAGTAAATAGAAAAATAAATACTTTAAAACTGTTTGTTTTACAGAGATCTGTATGGGCCACAGAAACACACACTCACACATATATATATATATGTCAAGATTTTTTGTATGGTATTAGTTTATGATATCACCATCAAATAAGCTGACTTAATAAAAGAAGGTTTACAGTTACAGTATTTATTCAAATAATGCTTTTTGAGAATACTTACAAACTATTTAATTTGGCATCCCTTTATATATTTATATATATACACATATATATGTATGTGTGTGTGTATGTGTGTGTACATATGTATATAAAAATATGTAATTACGTACATGATCACAATAGGCTGCCTGCAAGCTGTGGAACAAGGAGAGTAAGTTGGAGTCCCAAAACTGAAGAACTTGGAGTCCGGTGTCCAAGAGCAAGAAGTATCCAGCATGAGAGACAGATACAAGCTTTGGAAGCTATGCCCATCTTACTTTTGGATGTGTTTCTGTCTGCTTGATATTTGCTAGAAGCTTATTAGATTGTGCCCAACAGATTAATATAGATCTTCCCATTGACTCAAATGTTAATCTTTTTTTGGGAAACACCCAAGAAACACCCCCAGGATTAATACTCTATATCACTCAATCCAATGAATTAGATACTCAGTATTAACCATCAAAGTCCACCCCTTGTCAACTTGAATCAATACACATCTCCTGCTATAATACATAATCTTCAAATGCAGACAAAAATGAGGTCATAATCATACCTAACATAATACAATTATCCTCTTACAACCAGGAATGCAGCAATCCCCAAATCAAACCATATTTCATAAAGTTTACAATACGCCAATGTTGATAAGAACTCAGTAAATCTTATGTAATATGATAAAGGAAAATAAAAAAGGAAGATAATTTCTTAGTACATGCGTTTATCTGCACAAACTTTTTTTAACAAAAGAAGGAGGAAATACTTAAGATAAATACTTAAAATACATATGGCCCAAGTGGTAGAGGGGTTTGCACTGCAGCCTACAGTAGCTGCAAAGTCTTTTCCTATTCTGGATGCCCCTGAAAGCTGGCAGCCCTTCAGGTCACTCAATAATGGGCCTGGGTGACATATTCAAATGAAAAATATGTTGTCTCAAAAATCCAAATAGGTTTAGCTGGTATTGTGCCTCTTTCTTGGATATAAGAGGGTCATACAAAAACTTGTTCTTTACCCTACAAAAGATATTTTGACAGGCTTCACAATACTGGACCCCTATGAATATTATGGAAGTAGAAGTTCTCTGAATTTTGGTGAGATTAATTTTCTATCCTCTGGTACATAAATGTCTCACCAATAATTCAAGTGTGCTTGCTACTTCTTGCTCACCCATTAAATCAGCCTAATATCATCAATGTGATGGACCAATATTCCATCTTACATAAGTGAAAAGAAATCAAGATCTCTGAATAAGATTATGACAGGAAGCCAGAGAATTAGTATATTCCTGAGGGAGGATAATGAATGTGAATTGGTGGACTTGCCAGTTGAAGGCAAATTGCCTCTGGTGGTCCATATAGACAGGAATAAAGAAAAGGGCATTTGCTAAGTGAATGGCTGCATACCACATACCAGGAGATGTATTAATTTGCTCAAACAATAAACCACATCTAGTACATCAGCTGCAAGTTGACTGACAACTCGGTTAAGTTATGATACTCCAATGTAATTCTCCAAGATCCACCTGTCTTCTGCACAGGCCAAATAAGAAAGTTGAATGAGGATGTGCTGGTAATTATCACCCCAGCAACTTTGAAATATCTTATGATGGCACCCATCTTCGCAATCTTCTCAGGGTTTTGGTATTTTTTCTTATTTACCATTTTTCTAAGTAGGGACAGCCCTGGTGGCTTCCATTTGACCTTTCGTATTGGAGTAGCCCTCACCCTACACGTCAGAGAGATGTGGGATTTTGCCAGGTGCCAAGTATGTCTATGCCAGTTGTACATTTTGGCACTGGGAAAATGACCACGGAATGACTCTGGGGACTTACTGAACACTGTGTAAATCTGACCTAATAAGCTAAAGCTCTATTAACTACCTGACCTCCCTGAGCTCCTACTTCAACTGTAAGACCATAATAATGTTTTGGGTCCTTGGAACCCACATCAGCACAGAGCTAGTGTCCAGTAGTTTCTGAAAAGTCTGATTATTTCCCTTTCCCTAATGCACAGTCACCTTGATAAAAGCCTGAAAATCTCCTTGGGGAAAGATGGTGTAAAAATTCACTGCATAAATACTTATGTAGTGGGTTTCTTGGTCCAGGGAACCCAGCTTCCCCTTCATTCAATGGGTTCTAGGTCTTTAAACTGGCTCTCATCTGGAAATTCATGGAGAGACTGTACTTCTCTGTTTTCATCATTCAAAATAGTCTTTTGTCCTTTTGGCCAAAAGATTTTTGTAGGTGTAACCTAAGTATGAACGCAGTAGTTTTCCATCAATATCAGTTCCATGAACACCATGATTAATTAACCAATGATAGAGCTCTACAGGATTCACATTATTCTGACTGCCACTATCCCTTAGCTGTGCCCACATTGCCTTTGATGGTTGAGTGCTGCTGCTTGGCCCCTGTCACATCAGGATCCAATTTTTCTCATTGTATTTAAATTTTGTAGTTGAGTGATTGTGGTTTCCACCATTAGATCTGACAAAAGAGAAGAGCAATTACAGGGCTATTCAAAAATGCAGGTGCTGACCACCCAATCTATTTCACAAGGCATTGGTCAAGGATATGTGTTCTGGACCCTACCAGTCTGGATGAGTAAGTCGAAAGGATGAGTCTACTTCACCATCCCAATCTTCCAAAGCTTTTGGATCTTCTCCTCTCCATTAAACCAGTGTAGGCCAGGCATTTCCAGCTAACTCACAGCAGGTCATCTTTTAATCCACATTTCAGCTAACTAAGTGTGTAAACTATTGGAAGTTTTTTTTTCTTTTTAACTCGCCAAGCTGCCATATTAAACACAAAGTCACTACCTTGATGGTCCTAATCAGTAAATTCAGCCTGATACAACTCTATGTTCCTTACACCATAATCTCATACAATTAATATCCATCCCCATGCCTGTTCTCCAGATTGATGTTCATATAAATGAGATAACTTGAACAGTTTATTTGTGTATGTGTGTTTGTGTGTGTGTGTGTGTGTGTGTGTGTGGCACACTACCTGATGTGTCACACTCTCTACCTCACCTCTAGGAGCCCACCACAGCATTCTAGCCCGGTTTAGAAAAAAACAGAGGTGTTCGGGATGGCTTCTGAGAAGAATCAACATTATCTTTCCTGGCAACTGTCCTAGGGAAGGCCATAACTGTTGCATCAACCAGTGCAGGGTTTGTTTACCTCAGACTGAGTTGGAAAGACTGATATCAGCACGGATCAGAAAGATGACATTGCCCCTTCTGGAAATGAGAAAGCTTTTCTTTTGGCAAAAAGCTTCATCAGAGTTTACACACTCAGTATCCCCTGCTTCATCAGGGTCCTCTGACTCATCCTTTCAGAGTTGCAGGGTCCCATTCTACTCAATCAATGCCTCACTCTAACAGTAGACACCTTTTGAGAATGTGCATGCAACTTTCATTGAAGGTCAGTCACTTACATGATAAAAGCCTGTAATTTTGGCTCTTTCTCTACAGGTGATAAGACTCTCACTCAGGACAAAATTAACAGATTTGGGGCTTCTGAAGCTGGGAGACAGAATTTCTGAGTGCATCATTACCTCTGATCATTGTGTCCACTGAACTTAAGAGCTACCAACCTGCTTCATTGTGATCCTTGGTTCTCCATATATGTCAAAATTATTATGCAGAGAGTAAACAAAACTCATTGCCTCTCACAATTGGTGAATCAGAAGTGTCAAATGCATTTACTTTGCATAACTCTATGAACGGTTTCCACCAAGGATTATCAGTGTTCTCCATATAATTAGAAGTAGAATCCTTAGCATTTTCACATCAAATTATATATAGCAGGCAACACCAGAAACTCCAAAACCAATGAAAGAACTTCCTTTTCAATATTCTGTTTTCCTAGAACCACTTCTGGTACCAAAATCTGTATTACTCAGGATTCTCTAAGGGACAGTACTTTAGAAGAGTTTATTAAATACTAACTTACACCATTGCAGTGTCACATAATAGCCTGTCGCCAAGCTGAGGAGCAACAGGAGCCAGTCTGAGTCCCAAAACTGAACAACTTGGAGTCCAACATGTGAGAGGAGAGAGCATGCAGCACAGGGCAAAGATGTAGGCTGCGAGGCTAAGCCCGTCTCATCTATTCACGTTCTTCTGCCTGTTTTATATTCATTGGAAGTTAATGAATTGTGCCCACCAGATTAAGGGCTGTTCTGCCTTCTCCAGCCCACTGACCCAAGTGTTAATCTCTTTTAGGCAACACTCACACAGACTCATGCCAAACTAATACTCTGTATATCTCAATCCAGTTAAGTTGACATTCAGTATTAGCCATCACAGGTTCATGGCAATAAACTTGCTGGCTCCCAAAGAGGTCCCACTGAATCTCCACCTTCAAGCCAGTGATGGCCTGAAGTCTGGATCTCAGGCTGATGGACAAGAATGGGAACCAATGGTGCTTTTTGAAATGCACGCATTTTTGCCAAATAATCCAATCAGCAAGCACTTTGTTTCCTTTGAAGCACATAATATTCCTGGACTCAACAAGATTTGAGGACTTTTCAGACTACCTACTGTGGAGAGGCGCTACCCACTCAAGGGCCATCTCTTTGCTGTGAGCTGAGGAGACTTCAGGACTGTCAGTGGTGGGCTAGAGCTACCTGCCACAGTCTCTGCTGGGGAGATAATGGGATGATCAGCTAGAGAAGGGAGATACCCACTTGAAGGTCTTCTCTTGACTGAAGGCTTAGCCAATGTTAGGACCACAAGGTGTGAAGAGGACCTACCCACTCCAAGATCTTCTCTCTGTGGAGAACTTAACACCTCATAAGATGATCAGCTGGATGGAGAAGCTACCAAGTCCAGGGTTTCTTTCCTGCTGAGAGCTGGATACTAATCCTTGACACCTTGCCTGTGGAAAGAGCTGCCCGCTCTAAAGCCATCTCTTTGCTGAGAGCTGGACACTCATCAGAACATCCAGCCTGTGGAGAGGAGTTACCCAATGGGGATCTGTTTTGAGTTCTGTTCCTGAGTAAATCTTATCTATACATTTCTCACTCTCTACGTGTCCGTCTACCTCATTCTTCCTGGTTGCAGAACAACTATTTGAGAATCACTGAATGGTGGAGCTGAAAGAACTGTAACAAAAATTGGGATAAAAAGATGTCTCTTGATCATCACATTCTGAAAGACAAAAATAAGAGGACAGCTGTGGCCCTTCAGGGTGCACAGACCTAGGGTCTCTCGAAGACAGGGCTATGACACCCTCTTTAGGGCTTTGCTGTTTTTGGCATCCCGAAACTTCTGGGCACCACTACATTCCCCAGTATCAGCTGTGGAAGCTGCTTGCAGTATGCCTGGTCCAGCTGCTGTGTCTCAGTGAGATGGCACTTCTGTTGGCACCTAAAATTTCCTGCTTTGCCACTGCCGGCAGGCCTGGCTGTGTATAGCGGCTAGACCCCACACTTGCTCATACACCACTTGCCACTCTACCTCATGTTTGCCCTTGGCAGGTATGAAATCCTGACCCATAATGCAAGCTGAGTGCCGCCTGTCAGGCAGAGTGGGTAGAGCAAGCTTAGCAGGCCTGAGCAGAACTCAGGCAAAAGCACCACTGGCCACAGAGGTTTTCAACTGTCAAGGTGACTCTCCCAAAATCCCATGAAAAAAGGAGCATAGCTAGTTGTGTTTAAATGTGTTACTTCTATTGGATCTTGAAATACTTAAAATTCAGTCTCCCACATTTGGAATTTTTAAACCTTATTTGAAAATTATTTTGTTTCAAAATCTTTTAGAACTTAAAGTTGAAAAGTTGGTATTTACATTGTACCACCCTATCCCACTTGCTTACACAGACATATATTCTGTGAGAATGTACTTCTCTAATTCATGGCATTGGGCTTAAGGTTAATATTTTCCCAATAGATTACGAAGCTTACTAATGGAGCAGAATTTCTGATCCCTGGATTTTGACATTTTGTACTCATATAATTTCTTTTTGTGAGGAGCTTTCCTTGTGCATTGTATGTTGATGAGCAGAATTTCTGGCCTCTTACATTAAGTGCAATTGTAAACTCCTTTTTCCATGGAAGCAATACCCAAATATGTTTCTGTCTTGTGGAAATGAATTTGATGACTATCTTTATCATATAAGTTAAACACATAATACTTTTCCTTTTGCAGGATAGTGTTTAAAAAATAGGTGAAATGGGTGTTGAAGAGCTGATATAAAAAGGCCAAACTGGGGTAAGAAAAGAGTTACTGGTCTTCTGTCTTCATGTCAAAAAGCTCAACATCACTAATGGTGAAGGAAAAAGAAATCTAAATGGCAAGGAGATACCGTCTTAGGCCAGTGGAAATGGTGATTACTAAAAACCCATGAAATAACAAATGGTAGTGAAGTAGTGCAGTAATAAAATTGTTTTTACATTGTTGTTCAAAATATAAATCAGTATAGACAATGTGGAAAAATGTGTGGCGTTTCATCAAGTATCTAGAGTGAGAAATACCTTTGGACCCAGCAATTTCATAACTGTGTATATAGCACCCCCCAAAAAAATAAGTCATTCTATCACAAGGTCACGTGCATGTGTATGTGTATTACAACTTCTTCTTTTTAAAGGCTGCATAGTATTCCATGGTGTATATGTGCCATATTTTCTTATCCACTCTATCATTGATGGGAATTTGGGTTTGTTCCATGTCTTTTTTGTATGTGAATAGTGCTGTAATAAATGTACATGTGATGTTTCCTTATAGTAGAATGATTTATAATCCTCTGGGTATATACCACATAATGTGATTCCTGGTAAATGGTGTTTCTGGTTATAGATCCTTGGGGAATCACCATACTTTCTTCCACAATGATTGAACTAATTTACACTCCCACCGGCAGTATAGAGCATTCCTATTTCTCCACATCATTGCCAGCATCTGTTGTTTCCTGACTTTTTAACGGTCACCATTCTGACACGCAGATACCATGTGAGACGATATCTCATTGTGGTTTTGATGTGCATTTCTCTAATGACCAGTGATGCTGATCTTTTTTTACATATGTTTTTTGGCTGATCTAATGTCTCCTTTTGAGAAGTGTCTGTTCATATCCTTTGCCCACTTTTTGATGGGGTATTTCATTTTCTTGTAAATGTTTTTATGTTACTTGCAGATTTTGGATATTAGACCTTTGTCAGATAGATAGGTTGAAAAAATTTTCTCACATTCTGTATGTCACCTGTTCACCCTGATGATATTTTCTTTTGCTGTGGAGAAGTTCTTTAGATTAATTAGGTCCCAAATGTCAATTTTGGATTTTGTTCCAATTGTTTCTGGTGTTTTTGTCATTATGTCTTTCCCATGTCTATATCCTGAATGGTATTGTCTAGGTTTTCTTCTAGGGTTTTTATGATTTTAGGTTTTATGTTTAAGTCTTTTAATTCATCTTGAGTTAATTTTTGTATGTGTTGTAAGAAAGGGATTCAGTTTCAGATTTCTGCATATGGGTAGCCAGTTTTCTCAGTACCAAGGAATCTTTCCCCAATTGCTTGTTTCTGTCAGGCTTGTTGAAGATCAGATCATTGTAGATTTGTGAATTACTTTAAGCAGTATGGTCATTTTCATGCTATTGACACTTCTTATCCATGAACATGAATTTTTTCCACATTTTTGTGTCCTCTTTTATTTCCTTCAGCAGTGATTTGTAGTTCTCCATAAAGAAGTTCTTCACATGCCTTGTAAGTTTTATTCTTAGTTATTTTACTTTCTTTGGAACAATTGTGAATTTGAATTCACTCATGATTTGGCTATCTGTTCATCTATTATTTGTCTATAGAAATGCTTGTAATTTTTGCACAATGATTTTGTAGCCTGAGACTGCTGGAGTTGCTTATAAGCTTAAGCAAACTTACAAAAAAGAGAAGTTGCTTCTCTATTTTTAAGGAGTTTTAGAGCTGAGACAATGGGGTATTCAAAATATACAACTATGTCATCTGCAAACAGGGAAAATTTGATTTCCTTTATTTTTATTTGAATACCTTTTATTTCTTTCTCTTGCCTTATTGTCCTGGGCAGAACTTTCAATACTATGTTGAATAGGAGTGGTGAGAGAGGCCTTCCTTGACTTGTGCCTTGTGTTTTGTGTTTTCAAAGGGAATGTTTCCAGCTTTTGCCCATTCAGTATAATATTGCCTATGGGTTTGTCACAAATAGTTCTCATTAGTTTCTGATACATCTCATCAATACCTAGTTTATTGAGGGTTTTTAGTAGGAAGGGATGTTAAATTTTATCAAAGTCCTTTTCTGCATCGATAGAGATAATTATGTGTTTTTTGCCATTGGTTCTCTTTATGTGATGGATTACATTTATTGATTTGCATATGTTGAAACCAGCCTTGGAACCCAAGGATGGAGCTGACTTGATTTTGATGGATAAGCTTTTTGATGGGTTGCTACATTCAGTTTGCCAGTACTTTGTTGTGGACATTCACATCGATATTAATCAGGGATATTGGCCTAATTTTTTTGGGTGGTGGTCTCTGACAGGCTTTGGTATTAACATGATGCTGGCCTCATAAAAGAAGTTCAGTAGGAGTCCTTCTTTTTGTATTGTTTGGAACAGTTTCAGAAGGAAATGGAACCAGGTTTTCTCTGTACATCTGGTAGAATTCAGCTGTGAATCCGTCTGGTCTGGGCATTCTTGTTTGGTAGGCTACCAATTACTGCCTCAATTTTAGAATTTGTTGGTCTCTTCAGGGATTCTACTTTTTCTTGGTTTAGTCTTGGTAAGGTGTATGTGTCCAGGAAGTTATTTATTTCTTCTAGATTTTTAAAATTTATTTGCGTAGAGTGTTTACAGTATTCTCTGATGGTAGTTTTTATTTCTGTGGGATCAGTTGTTACATCCCCACTATCTTTCTTTACCATGTCTAATTGATTCTTCTCTCTTTTTTTCTTTATTGTTCTGGCTACAACTCTATTTTGTTAAACTTTACAAAAATAAAAATAAAAAAGCTCCTGGATTCATGGATTTTTGAAGGATTTTCCTGACTCTATCACCTTCAATTATCTGATCTGTTATTTCTTTTTTGTGTCACTGTTTGAATTTGTTTGTTCTTGCCTCTCTAGTTCCTTTTCTTTCTGTCTTCTTTTTTTTTTTTTTTTTCTGAGAAGGTGCCTTGCTTTGTCACCCATACTGGAAGGGAGTTGTGCAACCTCAGTTCACTGTGACCTTTATCTTTTGGGTTCAAGGAATTTTCCCATTTCAGCCTCCCAAGTATCTGGGATTACAGGTGTGTGCCACCAGGCCAGGTTTTTTTTTTGTTTTGTTTGTATTTTCTGTAGAGAGAGAGTTTCACCATGTTGGTTGGCCAGGTTGCTCTTGAACTCTTGAACTCAGGTGACATTCCTGGCCCACCTTCTGAAAGTGCTGAAATATGAGGTATGAGCCACCATGTCCATCCCTCTGGTTCTTTTCATTGTGATTTTAGGGTGTGGATTTTTGATCCTTCCTACTTTTTGATATGAATATTTCATGCTATCAATTTCTCTCTTAATACTTCTTTAGCTGTGTCCTAGAGATTCTGGTAGGTTGTGTCTTTGTTCTCATTGATTTTAAACAACTTATTTCTTTCTTTATTTATTTTATTATTTACCCAGTGGACATTCAGGAGCAGGTTTTAGAGTTTTCTTTTAGTTGTGCAGTTTTGAATGAGATTCTGAATCCTGAGTTCTAATCTTATTCCACTTTGGCATAAGGGACTGTTTTGATTTCCGTTCTTTTGCACTTGCTGAGGAGTGTTTTACCTCCAATTATGTGGTCAATTTTAGAATAAGTGCTATGTGGTGCTGAGAAGAATGTATATTCTGTTGATTTGGGGTGGATAGTTCTGTAGATGTCTATTAGCTCTGCTTGGTCAATAGCTGGGTTCAAGTCCTAAGTATTCTTGTTAATATGCTGTCTCATTTATCTGCATAATATATCTGACTGTTAAAATCTCCTTTTATGATTGGGTAGTAGTCTAAGTCTGTGTAGGTCTCTAAGAACTTGCTTTATAAATCTGTGTGCTCCTGTATTAAGTTCATATATTTTTAGGATCATTAGTTCTTCTCGTTGCACTGATCCCTTTACCGTTATGTAATTCCCTTCTTTGTCTTTTTTGATCTATATTGGTTTAAAGTTTGTCTTAGGATAGACTAGTATTGCAACCCCTGTTTTTTCTTTTTTTTTTTTTTTGACTTTCTCCTTATTTTGAGTGTATGCCTGTCTTCACCCATGAGATGAGTCTCCTGAATATAGCACACCAGAGGGTCTTGTCCCTTTATCCAATTTGCTAGTCTGTGTACTTTAATTGGCAAATGTAGTTCATTTACATTTAAGGTTAATATTGTTATGTGTAAATTTGATCCTGCATTGGCATTGCTAGCTGGTTATTTTGTATATCAGTTGATGCCCTTTCTTCTTGGTGTTGTTGGTCTTTATATTTTGCTATTTTTTTCAGTGGTGAGTACAGTTTTTTCTTTCCATATTTAGTGCTTACTTCAGGAGCTCTTCTAAAGCAGGCATGGTGGTTACATAAATCATCTACACTTGGTTGTGTGTAACAATTTTATTTTTCTTTGGCTTAGGAAGATTTGTTTGGCTGAATACAAAATTCTAGGTTGATTTTTTTTTTCTTAAGGATGTTGAATGTTGGCCCCATTCTCTTCTGGCTTGTAGAGTTTCTGCAGAGAGATCCACTGTTAGTACTATGGGCTTCTCTTTCTAGGTAACCTCACGTTTCTCTCTGGCTGTCTTTAACATTTTTTTCTTTTGGTTCAACTTTGGAGAATCTGACAGTTATATGTCTTGATGTTGCTCTTCTCAAAGAGTATCTTAGTGGTGTTATCTGTATCTCCTGAATTTGAGTGATGGCCTGTCTTTTTAGGTTGGGGAAATTCTCCTGGATAATGCCTTGAAGCGTAATTTCAAACTTGGTTCCATTTTCCCCCTCACTTCAGGTACACTAATCAGTAGTAGGTTTTGTCTTTTGACATAGTCCCATATTTCTTGGAGGCTTTGTTTTTTCCTTTTCAATCATTTTTCTCTAATCTTGTCTTCATGCTTTATTTCTGAAGGGGTGGACTGCCCCTCCACACCTGTGGGTGTTTCTTATCAGGTGGAATGAGAGACTGAGAAAAGGAATAAGACACGGAGACAAAGTATAGAGAAAGAAAAGTGGGCCCAGGGGACCAGCACTCAGCATATGGAGGACCCGTGCCAGCACTGGTCTCTGAGTTCCCTCAGTATTATTAATCATTATCTCTACCATCTCGCGAGGGTGATGGTAGGGATGAGCAGGAGATAGATGCCTTCCTCTTATCACAACTGCAAAGAAGCCTTCCTCTTTTACTAATCCTCCTCAGAACAGACCACTTAAGGGTGTCAGGCTGGAGGATGGTCAGGTCTTTCCCTTCCCATGGGGCCATATCTCAGGCTATCACATGGGGAGAAACATTGGATGATACCTGGTTTTCCTAGGCCGAGGTCCTTGTGGAATTCCACAGTGTATTGTGTCCCTAGGTACTTGAGATTAGAGAATGGTGATGACTTTTAACAACCATACTGCCTTCGAGAGCTTGTTTAACAAAGCACCTCCTTCATAGCCCTAAATCCATTAAACCTTGAGTCAACACAGCACATGTCTCTGTGAGCACAGTGTCAGGGCTAGGGTTACAGATTAACAGCATCTCAAGGCAGAAAAATTTCTCTTAGTACAGAACAAAATAGAGTATCTTATGTCTAATTCTTTCTACATAGATAGAGTTACAGTCTGATCTTTCTTTCTTTTCCCCACAATTTCATTAAGTTGATCTATAATCTGTGATATCTTTTCTTCCTTTTCATTGACTCGACCAATGATACTTGTTTTTGCTTCACAATGTTTCTTGCACTGTGTTTGTGAGCTCCATTAGGTAATACATGTTCTTCTCTAAACTGGTTGTTTTAGTTAGCAGTTCCTGTAACATTTTATCAAGGTTCTCAGCTTCCTAACATTGGGTTAGAACATACTCCTTTACCACAGATAATTTTGTTATTACACACCATCTGAAGCCTACTTCTGCCAATTCATCAAACTCCTTCTCCATTCACTTTTGCGCCCTTGCTGGGGAGGAGTTGCAATCATTTTGAGGAGAAGAAGCGTTCTAATTTTCTGAATTTTCAGCTCTTTTGTGCTGGTTATTCCTATTTCTCATGGATTTATCTACCTGGGATATTTTATGCCGATGGTCTTTGGATTGGGTTTTTGTATGAGCGCCCTTTTTGTTGATGTTGATCAGTCAGGCATCTCTTCTGCAGGTCTGCTGGAGTTTGCAAGAGGTCTACTTCAGATGCTGCTTTACTGGGTATGACCATCTGAAGTTGCAGAACAGCAATAAGTGGAAGATTTTGCCCTGAGTGGGTCCTGACTGGTGCCAGCCAGAGCTCTTCTGTATGAAGTGTCTGTTGAAACCTGCTGGGATGTGTTCCCTAGTCAGGAGACACAGGGGTAAGGGGCATAGTTGAAAAGGCAATCTGTCCCTGAGCAGGGCTTGAACACTGTTCTCAGAGATACACAGCTCTCTTCACAACAGGCAGGCAGGAATGTTTAAGTCTGCTGCAGTTTCACTCGCAGCCATCCCTTTTCCCAGGTGGTCTGTCCCAGGGAGATGGGAGTTTTAAGTATAATCCCCTGACTGGGGCTGCTGCCATTCTTTCAGAAATGACATAATCAGTGAGGTGGAATCTAGAGAGCCAATCTGGCCACAGCTGCTTTGCATGCTTTTGCAAACTTCCTGGCAGCTTTCTTAATACTGTTAGGGAAACCCTTATATGTAAGCCTCAGTAATGGTGGTCGACCCTCTCCCCACCAAGCTTGATCATTCAAGGTTGACTTCAGGCTTTTATGCACGTAGTGAGAATTTGAAGCCAGTAGATCTCAGCTTGTTGTGTTTGATGTGAATGGGACCTGATGAATGAGACCACTTTTTTCCCTAGCTTCAGCCCCCTTTCCAGGGGTGTGAATTGTTCTGTCCCAGTAGGGTTCCAGGTGCCACTGGGGTACAAAAAAAATCTTTTGCATCTAGCTCAGTATGTGTCAAAGCAGCCACCCAGTTTCATGCTTGAAATCCAGGGTTGTGGTTCTGTAGGCACACTAGGGAATCTCCTGGTCTGTGGGTTGCAAAAACCCTGTGAAAAGTGCAGGATACGGGCTTGATGACACAGCCCCAGATGGCTTTCCTTGGCTGTGGGAGGAAGTTTCTAGCCCCTTGCGCTTCCTGGGTGAGGCAACAATCACCCTGCTTCTGCTTGCCTTCTGTGGGCCTCACTCAATGTCTAACCAGTCCCAATGAGATGAACTGGGTACCTCAGGTGGAAACACAGAAATCACTTGTCTTTTGTGTTGATCTCACTGGAAGCTGCAGACCAGAGCTGCTCTTTTTCAACCATCTTGCTAGATGCCAACTGTCTTTTATTCTTATTTAAAATGTGCACTGTTGAAGTTTCCAGCAATTTCACATGTAATGTGTAAAAGCAACAATGAAAAGGACAGTGAAAAATATTTTAATAAATTAGTCTCTGTCTTCAAATATCAATCAAAGGAAGTGCCATGTTTTGAAAGGTGAAGAAAAACTAACAGACCAAATACATGTGATTTTACACTTTGTCTCATTTTTGAAAAAGCAGATTCAAGAAGGTAAACCTCCAGAGTTCTAATCTGTATCATGTATTAAGCAATGAATATATGTACTGAAATTGAAATCAATGGCTTTTTCAATTCCCAGAGAAACTAGTTTGTACTCCAGAAATTCTTATTGCAGCTTTGACATCTGTGTGGGTTCAGTCAGGATGGTGGGGAAAATTATCAGATGCAAACCTTCTTGGAAGGCTTTGGGGATTGGCATAAGCTCCAGTAATAAACTTGGCTAAAGGCAGCCTTTTCCATTTAGTTAAATAAGTTAGAGTAGAAACAAAGGAATATGGGGTGTTTATCTTAATAGCTTGTTTGTTCATGTGGTCCTAAGACTAATCTTTGACTTACCACAGTGATTAATTGCTTTCTAATTGGGAAGTCCACACTGTCATTTACCCTTTAGTGGTGTTGACTTAAAGCCTTGGTCAATTAATCTTTACTTAATAAATGCGAGTCTCACTAGCTGGTACGGGTCACAGTCAAAACTGTTTACAACACTCTGCCTGGGGTCTGTAATCAGCCCAATGCTCAGCTGGACTGGCAAGGCAGAATATTTGTGTGTCAGTGTACTTTATTCATCCATTTATTCATTGTAGAAATCATGAATTAAAAAAATAAGGGTATAAATGTGACAATATGTACTAGCATTTTTTTTTTTTAGTTTTTACTAAGTAGAGCTTAGTGTGTGATCAGTTTTCTGTGGCACAAGACATGCATGCTTATTTTGGCAGCAATTATGGAATAACGAGAAAACATTAGTAACAAAAAGTGCCAGTCTGAAGAGATCACATATTGTATGATAGCATTCCTATGACATTATAGAAAAGTCTACAGAGAAGGTAAGCAAACCTGTGATGTACAGTGGCTTGTAGCGGGGCAGGGAGTAAGTTGAATAGGGGAATAGGATGTTGGAAAGAGGTGCAAACAGACCAGTTAGAATTGGACTGCTTGTGATTTGTGAGGTCATGCTTTGTGTGTGGAAGAGCCAGGAGTGTGTGGTACCAGCATGGATAAAAAGGTTCCTACTCAGCCAGGTGTGGTGGCTCAAGCCTGTATTCCCAGCACTTTGGGAGGCCAAGAAGGGTGGATGATGAGGTCTAGAGATCGAGACCATCATGGCTAACATGGTGACATCCCGTCTCTTCTAAAAAGTACAAAAAGTTAGCCAGGCATGATGGTGGGCACCTTTAGTCCCAGCTACTCGGGAGGCTGATGCAGGAGAATGGTGTGAAGATGGGAGGTAGTGCTTGCAGTGAGCAGAGGTCGCACCACTTTCCTCCAGCCTGAGCCACAGAGCAAGACTCAATTTCAAAGTAAATAAATAAATAAAAGCTTCTACTCCCTCTAGGAGAGACGGGTCTTCTTTCATTCACATGGAACTATTTCAGGACCAGTTCTCAGGAAGACTTTGTTGTATTTAGTAAAAGAAATGTAACATAAAATTTACCAATCTAAGCATTTGTAGGTGTATACGTAAGTGGCATTAAGTATGTTTGTGTTATTGTGCAACCATCACCACCATTTCACTTTCTCACCAGCAATGCACAAGGGTTCCATTGTCTCCACATACTCTCCAGTTGTCCCTTCTTCAAAAAAATAAAAATCACATTCTAGTGGGTAAAAAGTGGTAATATCATTGTGGTTTAGATATTCCTTTACCTAATGGCTAGTGATGTCAAACATATTTTTATGGACTTATTGACATTGAATTCATCAAGTTTCCTGGGTATGACAGAGAATGCACAGAAAACAAAAGAAAAAATAGATAAATTGACCCTCTTTAAAACAAAATTTAGGAAGATAAGAGGAAAATCCAGAGATTAGGAAAGATAGCTTCAAATTCTCTTAAAATGTGTAGCTTTCAAAAAAAAATGGAAGAGAGAATCTGAAATATATTTCAAAAGCACATACAATTAAAAAAATAAATCATAAGAAAATTGTCTAGCTCTCTGGGAGATTTGTTCCAAAGCTGCAGTAGCGAAATAGAATTTCACACGTAAAAACCCAGAGAGGCAATTATAAAAGCTCTGGGAATGACAGACCCACCCCAGGCCTAGAGAGATGTTGGTTGGATGGGAAAGGGGAAAAGGAAGGCGTCCAGCAGTGACTTTTCAGATGGCAGGTTAGAAATGCAGGAAAACATTAAGGATGTAATAAAAGTAGACAGTTTAATTTAAAATGGAAAGAAGAAAAGGCAATTAGAAATGACAAGAAAACAGAAAGCTAAAGACAAAATATGTATTACCCATAGAATACTAAGAAACGTAGGTGAATTCACAATGCCAATATACTCCTTACAAGAGGACAGTCTCAAGATTGTCCTGTATTGGACTGATGAAATAGATATCTAAATATATATATTCTACAATTGCTTACAACTTCAATGATCACTAAGAAGGAAACTAAACTCATGATATGCCTACCATTGGCTGAGGGTGGATGAAAGGTTAGGAGTCTAAGAAGCTCAGCCTTCCTCTGTTGTACCTGGTGTTAACAGGTAACTCAGGGCACTAGGTTTAGGTGCACATGGTGGCAGCTCCTTCTGTGTAACTCTTGCCTCACTTCTGTATTTTTCAGTCATGTGGATACATTTTTATTTTCAAAATGAAATATATGAGAAATAATCTGTGGTGTCAGAGACTCTAGGAAGAGTCTTTGTTCCAGCTCTACTGGTTTGAAGCCTAATTAAGTACCACAGATTCCAGCAGGAAATCCTGGCTCTACCCCACTTCCTCTCCCTTAAAACAAAACAAGAACTGAGTAGTCACAATATCCAGCTCAAAAACTCAATCAAGATCTGTCAAAGGAGATCCACATGTAGGCATCACCAAAGGTATCAATAGACACAGCCACAGAGGTGTCTGCAGTGTGCATCATGAAGTCCAGCCCCTAACTGTAGACCAACTGCCGAGCCTGGAAGGAAACTTCCTTGGAGGATGCCAGTGGTAGAGGCCTCAGCCATGATTCAGTTGCAGCCATAGAGGACTCTAGCATGTTACTGCAAGCAACCAGTGGGCAGAGGAAAGGACCAGGAAAGATGAAGGGGAGGGTGGGAGCATCATGGTCGTGCCCATACTGGTACATCTCGCCACCCTGCAGTGACCTGCGGGACACAGAGGACACCATATTTTTGTGGGCAGAGGCTCTCTCAGACCAGAGCAGTACTGTGTCCAGAATTCGGGGGTTCTTGGCCTCACTGACTTCAAGAATGAAGCCGCGGGCCCTCATGGTGTGTTTTATAGTTCTTAAACATGGTGTGTCCGGAATTTGTTCCTTCTGATGTTCGGATGTGTCGAGTTTCTTCCTTCTGGTGGGTTCGTGGTATCGCAGACTTCAGGAGTGAAGCTGCAGACCTTCATGGTGAGTGTTACAGCTCATAAAGGCAGTGCTGCCCCAAAGAGTGAGGAGCAGCAAGATTTATCTTGAAGAGCAAGAGAAAAATCTTCCACAGCATGGAAGGGGAATGAAGCGGGTTGCCACTGCTGGCTTAGGTGGCCAGGTTTTACTCCCTTATTTGGCCTCATCCATGTCCTGCTGATTGTTCCATTTTACAGAGCGTTGATTGTTCCATTATACAGAGCTCAGTTTGGTCCATTTTACAGAGTGCTGATTAGTCCATTTTACTGAGAGCTGATTGGTCCCTTTTGACCGAGTGCTGACTGGTGCATTTACAAACCTTCAGTTAGACACAGAGTGCTGATTGGGGTGTTTACAGTCCTTTAGCTAGACACAAAAGTTATCCAAGTCCCCACCCAATTAGCTAGACACAGAGCCCTGAATGGTACAATTACAAACCTTTAGCCTGACACAGAGTGCTGATTGGTGTGTTTACAATCCTTTAGCTAGACAGAAAAGTTCTCCAAGTCCCCACCCACCCAGAAGCCTGGCTTCACCTCTCAGTAAGACCTGGAAAGAAACTGAAGCCAAGCTAAGAATGTGGGTTCCTGTTTCAATTTGGCTACTAGTGGCTGTGGGCTCCAGGATATCACAAATTGCAATGCCTTTACCATTTTCCCTGTGGTTGCAAAGACTTTGGCCAGGCTCTGATTGACCTGGCCAACTTGAAACACTTAATAAAGCCTATTACTGGAAAACGATAATATTTTAGCACTTTATTTACAATGACTTTCAATGAAGTATTGTTCTCCAGTTTTGAAACTAGGAAAACAATTAACAAGAGCTTACTAGTTATGTGAATAAACGACAGTTTATCCTAAAGATCTATTAGGCAACAGTTGATAAAAAAAGAATTGGTATTTTGTGAATGCTCACTGTGTCTCAATGGTACTCAGGCTTTTGATAACCACCGCCCCTTAACATTTGCAACAATCCCATGGCAGGTCCTGGCAGCATCCCTATTGTACAGGTGAGATGTCACATGAATCTGCCTAGGGTCACACACCTAGGCAGTGCAGGATCTAAATATAAGCAGGCACATGAGGTGTCAAGAAAGATGCTATAGTCATAATGTTATGTGAAATGAAGGAGCAAATGTGCACATGGTGTGAAGGCCAGCCAAGATGTAGGCCTACCCCACATGTAGACCAGATCCACAGCTGGCCAACCTATATACTTTTCTTATCCTTAAAGGATCCTCTTCATCAAAGGAAGATCACAGAGTGCAAGGAGGGTGCTCAAAAAGCACTGATATGTATCAGAAACATGAGAAGAGTAAAAAAAAGAAAATAATAAAAATAAACACCCCACAATGACAGCTGGGTTTGTCTTTAGGTGGCAGGCCTGTGTGTCTTGTTCTAAGTTTGTTGTCTCCATTCTCCAAATATATATGTGAATTCAAGTGATGAGTCAGGCTGCAGGAGCAAGTGTAAGGTTAGAGAAAGCTGCTCCCCAAACCTGGCCCCTGACATGGGCTCCTTGCTGGTGGTTTTCTCCTCCCTGGGGTCTGACTTGATCACAGTGACAGGGCCCTGTCATCCCTAGGCCCACTCCATGCTCTACTCACTACTAGATGGTAGAGGGGAACTGAATAGGTGAGATGGTCCCATGGCCCATAGGATGACAGTACCTGGCAGTCAGTGGATTTCAAATGTTCTTGTCTCCTGGAAAGTCCAAGGCCAAGCCCAGTGGTTCTGATGGTCCTTGAGTGGTCCATTTTATTCATGTCCCTCTACAAGAGATCAGATAGCAGGGGAGGTTTTGTGGGACTCTGAGGCCCAGCCAGAAAATGCTGTCACCACAGGGCCACTCCAATACGCTTTGTTTATCTCTTTTACTGCTTTTGGTCTAAACCAACAATCTGTAATTGGAAAAGAGAGTTTCTCAGGTTCCAGGTGAGTTGGTCTACCCTCTGTGAGACATCCATGGGGAGCCATGGGCTGCTTCTGTGGAGAAAAGTCTCCTTATTGCCTTCAAGTCTATATGCCCTGAGAGCGTAACTGCTCAGCAGCATTTCACAGGTTGCTCAGGGAGATAACACTCCCTTGAAGCAGTAGAGTATAATCAAATATCTTGGCTCTTCCTGAAACCCACTCTGAACTGTTTCAGCCCCAATAATTTAAAGATCTTAAGTAGTTTAGACATACGCCTTTGCTCTAGGAAATTCACAGAAACTGCCCCCACTATACACCTTATTGAATGACTCGTGAGTTCTCCTTCACTGGCTAATCCTTTTCCTCATCGCTTCCTCATCCTCGCAGCTACCATGAGAACAAAGAGCTTGTAAACCAATAAATTGGGTGGAGCCCTAGAGATCTGGGCTGTAAGCAAGCCTCCTATGCTCCAGACCCCTGGTCCCAACCTTTAAGCAGTTATTCTGTCTCTTTGCAACTCATTTGTCTCTGCCAGTATTGGGGTACCCATCAGGTGATGTGGGGCTGGTTTCCCCAACACTAACCTGGGACATTCCAAATATTAGTGCTTGTGTTGTTTCTCAAATCAACTGACCAAGACCTCCTCTGGTGACACAATGCACTTTTCTCCAGCCAAAGACCTGACCCTGCCACACAGTGACCTTGAAATGCAGAGGGGCACCCACAACACCCCTTGGGCCAGTCCTGAGCCTCAGGTCCCTGGTTTAAGTGATCTCACAGCCAGCTGATTGAAAGGGACAGGGAAGTGGGTGAAGAAAACAAGAAAACCCTGCAATTCACGTTTATCTGTAACACAGGTTTAAAGTATATGTTCAACAAAACTGGATGTATGAGCACTTAAATAGAGAATTTACCTTGGGCCAAGCACAGTAGCTCATGCCTGTAATCCTAGCACTTTGAGAGGCTGAGGGGGGCAGATCACAATGTGATGAGATCAAGATCATCCTGGCAAACATGGTGAAACCCCATCTCTACTAAAAATACAAACAATTAGCCAGGCGTGGTGGCAGGTGCCTGTAGTCCCAGACACTTGGGAGCCCGAGGCAGGAGAATGGCATGAACCCATGAGGCGGAGCTTGCAGTAAGCCTGAATCATGCCACTGCACGCAGCCTGGGTGACAGAACAAGACTCCATCTAAAAAAAAATTACCTTTAAAAATGCATCCTATTTATTTTTCTGAGGGTGTTCCAAGATGGTCAAATAGGAACAGCTCCAGTCTGCAGCTCCCAGCATGATCGACACAGAAGATGAGTGACTTCTGCACTTCCAACTCAGGTACCTGGTTCTTCTCATTGGGACTGGTTGGACAGTGGGTGCAGCCCATTGAGGGAGAGCTAAAGCAGGTTGGGGAGTCACCCCACCTGGGATGCAAAAGGGATCAGGAGATTTCCCTTTCCTAGAAAAGGGAAGTTGTGACAAACTACTTGGAAAAACAGGACACTCCCACCCAAATGCTGCACTTTTCCCAAGGTCTTTGCAACTGGCAGACAAAAAGATTCTCTCCCATGCCTTGCTTGGTGGGTCCCACACTCACAGAGCCTTGGTAACTGCTAACACAGCATTCTGAGATCAAGCTCCGAGGTGGCAGCCTAGCTGGTAGAGGGACAGCCATCATTGTTAAGGCTTGAGTCGGTAAACACAGCACCCAGGAAGCTCAAACTAGGTGGAGACCACCACAGCTCAACAAGGCCTACTGCCTCAAGACTCCACCTCTGTAGGCAGGGGATAGCTGAAAAAAAGGCAGCAGACAGCTTCTGCAGACTTAAACATCTCCGTCTGACAGCTCTGAAGAGGGCAGTGGTTCTCCTAGAATGCTGTTTGAGTGCAGAGAATGGACAGACTGCCTCCTGAAGTGGGTCCTTGATTGCCATGTAGCCCAACTGGGAGACACCTCCAAGTAAAGGTCAACAGACACCTCATATAGGTGGCAGCTCCTTTGGGATGAAGCTTCCACAGAAATTATCATGCATCAATATTTGCTGTTCTGCAATATTTGCTGTTCTGAAGCCTCTGCTGGTGATGCCCAGGCAAACAGAATCTGTATTGAAACTCCACAAAACTCCAATAGACCTGAAGCTGAAGGACCTGACTGTTTGAAGGAAAACTAAGAAACAGAAAGGAATAGCAGCAACATCAACAAAAAGGTCATCTATGCAGAACCCCATCTGTAGATCACCAACTTCAAAAATCCAGGTAGATAAAACCACAAAGATGGGGAGAAATTAGAGCAGAAAAGCTGAAAATTCTAAAACTGAGAGCACCTCTTCTCCTCCAAAGGATTACAGCTCCTCACAAACAACAGAACAAAACCTGATGGAGAATCACTTTGACAAGTTGACAGAAGTAGGCTCCAGAAGGTCAGTAATAACAAACTTCTCCAAACTAAAGTAGCATGTTCAAAACCATCACAAGAAAGTTAAAACCTTGAAAAACGATTAGATGAAAGGCTAACTCGAATAAACAATGTAGAGAAGACCTTACATGACTTAATGGAGTTGAAAACCATGGCACAAGGACTTTGTGACATATACCACAAGCTTCAGTAGCTGATTCAATCAAGTGGAAGAAAGGATATCAGTGACTAAAGATTACATTAATAAAATAAAACAAGAAGACAAGGTTAGAGAAAACACAGCAAAAAGAAATAAACAAAGCCTCAAAAAATATAGGACTAAGTGAAAAGACCAAATCTACATTTGATTGGTGTACCTGAAAGTGATGGAAAGAATGGAACCAAGCTGGAAAACAATCTTCAGGATATCATCCAGGAAAACTTCCCCAACCTAGCAAGATAGGCCAACATTCAAATTCAGGAAATACAGAAAAAACCACAGAGACACTCCTCGAGAAGAGCAACATGAAGACACATAATTGTCAGGTTCACCAAGGTTGAAATGAAGGAAATAATATTAAGGGCAGCCAGAGAGAAAGGTTGAGTTACCCACAAAGGTAAGCTCATAAGACTAACAGCGAATCTCTTGGCAGAAACTCTAGAAGCCAGAAGAGAGTGGGGACCAACATTCAACATCTTTAAAGAAAAGAATTTTCAACCCAGAATTTCATATCCAGCCAAACTAAACTTTGTAAGTGAAGGAGAAATAACATCCTTTACAGAGAAGCAAATTCTGAGAGATTTTGTCACCACCAGGCCTGCCTTACAAGAGATCATGAAGGAAGCACTAAACTTGGAAAGAAACAATTGGTACCAGCCAGTGCAAAAACATGCCAAATTGTAAACAACATCAATGCTATGAAGAGACTCCATTAATTAATGGGCAAACTACCCAGCAAACGTCATAATGACAGGATCAAATTCACAGATAACAATATTAACCTTAAATGTAAATGGGCTAAATGCCCCAATTAAAAGACACAGACTGGCAAATTGCATAGAGTCAAGATGAATCAGTGTGCTGTATTCTGGAGACCCATCTCATATGCAATGATGCACATAGGCTCAAAATAAAGGGATGGAAGAAGATCTACCAAGTCTATGGAAAGAAAAAAAAAAAACAGAGAAAAACAAAGCAGGGGTTGCAATCATAGTCTGATAAAACAGACATTTAACCAGCAAAGATCAAAAGAGACAAAGAAGACCATTACATAATGATAAAGGGATCAATTAATGAAGAAGAGCTAAGTATCCTAAATATGTATGCATCCAATACAAGAGCACCCAGATTCATAAAGCAAGTCCTTAGAGACTTACAAAGAGATTTAGACTCCCATGCAATCATAATGGGAGATTTTAACACCTCACAGTCAGTATTAGACAGATCAATAAGACAGAAGATCAACAAGGATATTCAGGACCTGAACTCAGATCTGCAATAAGCAGACCTAATAGATATCTACAGAACACATCACACTTATTCTAAAATTGACTACATAACTGGAAGTAAAGCACTCCTCAGCCAATGTAAAAGAACAGAAATCATAGCAAACTGTCTCTCAGACCACAGTGCAATCAAATTAGAACTGAGGATTAAGAAATTCACTGAAAACTTCACAACTATGTGAAAACCGAACAACTTGCTCCTTAATGACTGCTGGGTAAGAAATGAAATGAAACCAGAAACAAAGATGTTCTTTGAAACCAATGAGAAAAATGACACAATGTACCAGAATCTCTGGGACACATTTAAAGTAGTGTGTAGAGGGAAATGTGTGGCACTAAACACACAAGAAAAACCAGGAAAACTGACACCCTAACATCACAATTAAAAGAACTAGCAAAGCAAGATCAAACAAAATCAAAAGCTTGGAGAAGGCAAGAAATAACTAAGATGAGAGCAACACTGAAAGAGATAGAGAGAAAAAAAATCCTTCAAAAAATCAATGAAATCAATAACTGGTTTTTTGAAAAGGTCAACCAAATTGATAGACCACTAGCAAGACTAATAAAGAAGAAAAGAGAGAAGAATCAAATAGATGCAATAAAAATGATAAATGGGATATCACCACCGACCCTACAGAAATACAAACTACCATCAGAGAAAACTGTAAACACCTCTGCACAAATAAACTAGAAAATCTAGAAGAAATGGATAAATTCCTGGACAAACAAACCCTCACAAAGCAAAAGCAGGAAGAATTGGATCTCTGAATAGACCAATAACAGGCTATGAAATTGAGGAAATAATTAATAGCCTACCAACCAAAAACAAAAGTCCAGGACCAGTTTGATTCACAGCTGAATTCTACCAGATGTACAAAGAGGAGCTGGTACCACTCCTTCTGAAACTATTCCAATCAATAAAAAAGAAGAAATCATCCCTAACTTATTTTATGAGGCCAACATAATTCTGATACCAATAAAAAAAGAGAATTTTAGACCAATATCCCTGAAGAACGTCAATGCAAAAATCCTCAATAAAATACTGGCAAACAGAATCCACCACCACATCAAAAATCTTCTCTACCATGATCATGTAAGCTTCATCCCTTGGATACAAGTCTGGTTCAACATACACAAATCAATAAATATAATCCATCACATAAACAGTACCAATGACAAAAACCACATGATTATCTCAACAGATGCAGAAAAGCCTTCAACAAAATCCAATAGCCCTTCATGCTAAAAACTCTCAATAAAGTAGGTATTGACAGAAATGTATCTCGAAATAATAAAAGCTCCTTGTGACAAGCCCACAGCCAATATCATACTGAGTGGGCAAATACTGGAAGCATTTCCTATGAAAACCGGCACAAGACAAGGATGCCTTCTCTTGACAAGGATGCTCACTTCTATTCAACATAGTGTTGGAAGTTCTGGCCAGGGCAATCAGACAAGAGAAAGAAATAAAGAGTATTCAATTAGGAAATGAGTGAGTCAAATCATCCCTGTTTTCTGATGACATGATTGTATATTTAGAAAACCCTGTCATCTCATCCCAAAATCTCCTTAAGCTGATAAGCAACTTCAATAAAGTCTCAGGATACAAAAATAAATGTGCAAAAATGACAAGCATTCCTATACACCATTAACAGACAAACAGAGAGCCAAATCATGAGTGGATTCCCATTCATAATTGCTACAAAGAGAATAAAATATGTAGGAATGAAACATACAAGGGATGTGAAGGACCCGTTCAAGGAGAACAACAAACCGCTGTTCAACGAAATAAAAAAGGACACAAACAAATGGAAGAATATTCTATGATCATGGATAAGAAGAACCAATATCTTGAAAATGGCCATTGTACCCAAAGTAATTTGTACATTCAAGGTCATCCCCATCAAGCTAACAAAGACTTTCTTCACAGAATTGGAAAAACTACTTTAAAATTCATATGGAACACAAAAAAGCCCACATTGCCAAGACAATCCTAAGCAAAAAGAACAAAGCTGTAGGCATCACGCTACCTGACTTCAAACTATACTACAAGGCTACAGTAACCAAAACTGCATAGTAGTGTTACCAAAACAGATACATTGACCAATGGATCAAAAGAGAGGCCTCAGAAATAAAAACACACATCTACAATCATCTTATCTTTGACAAACCTGACAAAAAGAAGAAATGGGGAAAGGAGTCCCTGTTTAATAAATGGTGCTGGGAAAACTGGCTGGCCATTTGTAGAAAGTTGAAGCTGCATCCCTTAATTACACCTAACACAAAAATTAATTGAAAATGGATTATAGACTTAAATATTAGACCTAAAACCATAAAAACCCTAGAGGAAAACCTAGCCAATACCATTCATGACATAGGCAATGGGCAAGGACTTCATGACTAAAACACCAAAAGCAATGGCAACCAAAGCTAAAATAGACAAATGAAATCTAATTCAACTAAAGAGCTTCTGCACGGCCAAAGAAACTACATTTGAGTGAACAGGAAAGCTACAGAATGGGAGAAAATTTTTGCAATCTACCCATCTGACAAAAGACTGACATTCAGAATCTACAAAGAAACCAAATTTACATGAAAAAAATTTCACCAAAAAGTGGACAAAGGATATGAACACATACTTCTCAAAAAAACACATCTGAGTGGCCAATAGACACATGAAACAATGTTCATCATCACTGGTTATCAGATAAATGCAAATCAAAACCAAAATCACACAACATCTGACACCAATTACAATGGCAATCATTAAAAAGTCAGGAAACAACAGATGCTGGAGTGGATGTGGAGAAACAGGCATGCTTTTACACTGTTGGTGGGAGTGTAAATTAGTTCAACCATTTTGGAAGACAGTGTGGAAATTCCTCAAAGATCTAGAACTAGAATTACCATTTGATCCAGCAATCTTTTTACTGGATATATACCCAAAAAATTATAAATCATGTTACTATAAAGACACATGCACACATATGTTTATTGTGGCACTATTCACAATACCAAAGACTTGGAACCAATCCAAATGTCCATCAATGATAGACTGGATTAAGAAAATGTGACACATATACACCTTGTAATACTATGCAGCCATAAAAATGGATGAGTTTATGTCCTTTGCAGGGACATGGATTAAGCTGGAAGCCATCATTCTCAGCCAACTATCACAACGCCAGAAAACCAAACACTGCGTGTTCTCATTCATAGGTGGAAATTTTGAACAATGAGATCACTTGGACACAGGGCAGGGAACATCACACACTGGGTCCTGTCTGGCGGTGGGGAGTGGGGGACTTGGGGAGGGATAGCATTAAGAGAAATATCTAATGTAAATGATGAATTGATGGGGGCAGCAAAGCAACATGGCACATGAATACATATGTATCAAACCTGCATGTTGTGCACATGTACCCTAGAACTTAAAGTATAATAAATAAATAAACAAATAAATAAATGCATCCTATTATGTGCATTTCATGTGTACTACATGATGCTATGGGATGTATTTTGATATTTCAAAGGCTACTATACTGAAGCAAATTAACATGTTTGTAATCTCACATAGTTACTGCTATAGTTTGGATATTTGCCTTTACAAACTACATGTTGAAATTTGATCCCCAGTGTTGGAGGTGAGGTTGAGTGGGAGATGCTCGGTTCATGAGGGTGGATCCCTTATGAAGAGTTCGGTATCATTCTTGTGACAAGGAGGGAGATCTTGTTCTATTAGCTTTTGAAAACAGATTTAAAAAAAAAGGCTGGCATCACTCTCCCTCACAAAAATATTGTGATATTACACAGTATTTTTCTCTCTGTGTTTAGTTGATTTCACTTAGCATGTTTTCCTCCAAGGTCCTCAGGTTTTGGCAAATGGCAAGATCTCACTCTTGTTCAGGGCTAAATAATACTTCATTATACTGGACAGTAAGATTTTTTTCATATCTTAGCTATTGTTAATAATGCTGCAATGAACATGAGAGTACAGATACCTCTATGAGGTAGTGATTCCCTTTGTTTATATGTCTAAAGGAAGAGTTGGTGAGGCATATGGTTGTTCTATTTTTAATTTTCCAGAAACCTCCATATCAATTTTTATAATGGCTATATATCACCAACAACACTCTTCAAGAGTCTCATTTTCTCTACATCCTAGCCAACATTTGTGATCTTTTGAGTTTTTGATAATAGCCATCCCGATGTGAGTTATGTAATGTCTCAAAGTACTTTTGATTTAAAATTTTCTGATGATTAATGATGTCAAATATGTTTTAAATACCTGTTGCCCATTTTTGTGTTCCTTGGAGAAATGTTAATTCAGAGCTTTTGCCCATCTTTTAGTGTGTTTATTTGTTTTTCTACTATTGAGTTGTACAAGTTCTTTATAAGTTTTAGATTTTAACCCATCATCATATATGTAGCTTGAAAACATTTTTTCCAACATTTAGGCTATTTTTATTTTGTTGATTGTTTCCTTTACTGTGCAAACGCTTTTTCATTGAATGCAGTCTTGCTCATTTATTTTCAACATATCCTCAGTTGATTTTTGTGTATGATGTAAAATGTGGGTCCAATTTTGTTCTTTTGCGTGTGGAAATCTAGTTTTCCCAGCACTGCTCATAGGAGAGATGATCCCCTTCTATCATATCATTTTGCTGCACAATTCAAAAATTAATTGACTATATATGATTGGATTTATTTCTGGACTCTCTGCTCTGTTCATTTGGCCAGGATTCCATGTTCATGCCAGTTGCAAATAAGGTAGGGTGATTCCTCCTACTTCATTTTTCTTTATTAAGAATTGTTTTGACAATTGAAAGACTTCCAGATTGCTATATAAATTTTATATTTTGTTTTCTATTTCTATGAAGAATGCCATTGAAATTTTGATTGGCTAGCATTGAATCTGTGTATTGCTTTGGATGCTAAAAACATTTTAACAATATTAACTCTCCCAATCCATAAGCATGGACCACCTTTCCATTTATTTGTGTCTTCTTCAATTGCTTTTATCAACATTTCATAGTTTTCAGTGGAGACATCTTTTACTTTCTGGATAAATTTTTTCTTAAGAATTTAACTTCTTTGATATGCTTATAAATGAGAAGAGTTTATTTCTTTTTCAGTTAGGTAATTATGTGTACAATGACTTTACTAAATTTATTCATTACTTATAAAAGTTTCCTAAATAGAATATTTGAGCTGTTTATACATATAGGAGTCTGTCATCTGCAAATAGAGATAATTTTATTTCTTGCTCTATAATTTGTCTGCCTTGCTTTTTTTTTTTCTTACCCGATTACTCTTGCCAGTACTTTCAGAACTATGTTAAATACAAGTGGGGAGAGTGGGCATCCTCGTGTTGTACCAGATGTCTTTGGAAAACCATCAATTTTTCCTTGTTAATGATAAAGTTAGCTTTTCCTTTTTTTCTTAAATGGCCTTTATTACAAAAAAAAAAACAACCCTTTATTTCTATACTTAAACTGTTGAGGGTTTTTTAATCAAGAAAGATTGTTGGGATTTTCCAAAGTGTTTTCCACATTAATTGGGATGTATACATGCTTTTAATCTTTTATTCTGTTAATGTGATGAATCACATTGATTTATTTGTATACATAACCAGCCTTGCATGACAGGGATGTAAAATCTTGGCCACGATGTATAATATTTTTGGCATGTTGCTGGATTCAGATTGCTCATATTTTATTAGGGATTTTTGGTCCAATGTTTATCAGAGGTAATGGCCTATAGTTCTCACTTCTCATGATGTTTTTGTTTGCCTTAGTATCAAGATGATATAGGACTCATAAAAAAAATTTGGAAGCATTACATTTAACTTCTTTTTTTGAAGACTTTGAAGCATATTAATATTCTTTTCTGAAAATATGGTAGAATTCATCTCCAAAGCCATTTGTTGTTTACCTTTTCTTTGTTGGAAAGCCTTATAAAATCACTCCTCATCCATCATTTGTAATTGTTTTGTTTGTTTGTTTATTGTAATTTCTATAACTTAATTTTTTATTGTTTTTCAGTCATTTTTTTCTTCATCTAGCTATGTTTGCTTTGCTTCTGTTTTAATTATTATTCTATTTATTGTGTTAATTTTGAATTTAGTTGTTTTGTCTTCTAATTCAGTAGGTACAATGAGATGTTGCTTATTTGGAATCTCTATCTTTTTTTTAAATGCATGCACTTATTGCTATAATCTTCCATCATAATACTGCCTCACTGAACATCATAGGTTTAGGTATGTTGTGTTTCCACTGTCATTTATCTGAAGATATTTATAAATTTTCATTTTTATTTTTCTTTTCATCAATGGTTATTTAGGAGCAATATTTTAAAAATGTTCATGTGTTCATGATTTTTTTCAAGATCCATCCTGCTACTGATTTTTGGTTTGCTACTATGATGGCCTGAAACAATATTAAATATGTTTTTAGCCATCTTAATTTTGTTAAGACTTGTTAAATATCTGTCAAGTTTATCTATTCCTTGTTGCAGTTGAAGTACTGAAATTTCCTACTGTTGTTTTATTTGCTATGTACTATTTTACCTACTATTATTTTATTTATTGTTTGTTTTTCATTTCTATTTATCTTTGCTTTAAATATTTAGGTGCTCCAATGTTGAGTGCATATGTGTGTATATATGACAGTTATATACTTTTGATGAATTGATTGCTTTATTATTAAATGATGACATTTTCAGTCTTATGACATGTTTTCACTTGAAATCACTTTTATCAGATATGAGTATAGCCACCCCTAATTTTTTTAATTACCATTTTCATAGGTTAACTTCTTCTATTCATTCATTTTCAGCCTATGTTTGTCCTTAAAGATTAAGTGGGTCTCATAGTTAAAATGTAGTTGAATCTCATTTTTAAAATCCATTTGGTCACTCTATGTCTTTTAGTTGTATGATTTAATTCATTTACATTCAAGATAATTATTGATAAGTAAGTTCTTACTACTGTTATCTTGTTAGTTGTTTTCTGATTGAGTCAGAAAACAAGAAAAAATCTGATTGATTATTTCCTTTCTTCCTCTGATGTTTGCTTTTAAATGTTTAGCATTTAAATATTTTCAGTAGTGCTAAGCTTTAATTCCTTTGTATTTATCGTTGGTTTTGCTGCTGTACTTTTTGATGGCCATTAAAGGCTCAGAGAAAACATCTTATAGTTAATAATCAAGTAGTTTAAGCTGAAAATTTTGTGACATAAAAACTCTAGACTTTTACCCTTTCTTCCAACTATGTTTTTGACGTCACAATTTATATTTTTAATTCTGGGTCTTCCTTAAAAACCTATCGTTGACAAGTCTTTTGCCGAATGATTTCAAACTCCTCCAATTTTTGTTTATTTGCCAGTATTGCTTTTAGAATTTTCTTTATTTCTCGGCCTTTGAGAGTTAGATTCTTATTTGTTGTGTGGTAGTTTTATGGGGTATTAAAGTTTTTTGTAGTCTAGGATTTTTCTGAAGCTGTATAAGTAGCTGTTTCTCAAATTTTTGAAAGCTGTAATTATTCATGTGAATATGCTGTATATACCTTCCTCTTGCTAAGCTCTTCCATGAATAGTGCTAAATCTTCGATTTGCTTATTTTAGGTAATTTTTATATCATGTAAATGTTCTATTTTTTATTGTTTTTGTGTTTCATTCTGTTTGTTTCCTAATAACCTGTGTTAATTTTCTTTTCTTTTTTCTTTTTTTTTTTTTCCTTTGAGACAAAGTCTCATTGTGTTGCCCAGGCTGGAGTTCAATGGCACGACATTAACTCACTGCAACATCTGCCTCCCAGGTTCGAGTGATTCTCCTCTCTCAGGCTCCTGATTAGCTGGGATTAGAGGTGTGCACCACTATGCCCAGAGAATTTTTTGTATTCTTAGTAGAGCCTGAGTTTCACCATGATGTCCAAACTGGTCATGAACTGCCAACCTCAAGTGATCAAACTGTCACAGCCTCCCAAAGTGCTGTGGTTACAGTCATGAGCTGGCACACCTGGCCCTAATAATTCGTTTTAAAGCTAATGATTCTTTATTCTGTTTCACCTATTCTGCTGTTGAAAGCCTTTTGAATTTTTTACTTCAGAAAATATAGTTCTCAGTTTCAGAAATTTTTTATTTTTAAATTAATTAAGTCCATTTTTAAAAATTTCTTTCAGAAGTATATCAGTTCCTTTTCTCTGCTGTTTTAGAGATCTGAGTTTCCTGAAAACTGATATTTTGAATTCTTGATCAAATAACCACTGGTAGCCATCTCATTAATTAGCACTGGTCAATGGTTTATGGCTTTGTCCATTTAAGGAGGTTACAATTTCTTGTTTGGTGTTATTTATTGTGGTAATATAACTATATATTTTTATTGAAGGCCTAATTATTTAGTCCTTTGTTTTCTCTGTCTTAGTTTGCATTTTATTGTATATGATTGCTTTGAGTTTTCTTTAAGACATAACCATTGTTAGGGTTTTGTTTACTTGCTTTTGGCTAGCTCGGTGCCTCTGTTTTGGCAGTAGATGGTGCCTTAATCCCAGGTGTGTCTCAGCTTTAACAAACTTTGAAACAGTCAGTCTCCTATCTGAGCGATCTTGAAGGTGATCTATAGGATCTGTGGGAAAGCAGTCTATAGATTTGTGATCAAGGAAATTATGAAATATCCCTCCTACCCCATGGTAATGCTGCACAGGCACTCGGGTTTGGCATCTCCTGTGACTGAGATATCCAGGCTGGAGGTGGGAGTCCTGCCTTTCTACTTTGTCTCTGTTGTATTTTTGAGTAACCCAGCTTCCTTGGGTTAAAGCAGGAATAGGTCTCCTGCCAGGGAATCCAAAGTCGTGGGGAAGCTGGTCATCCACTTCAACTTTATTTTATCCAGTGTAGTAATCATGAGTCAGAGGATTTTTGTTTTGTTTTGTTTTTTTCCACACTTGGTTGCCAGCTGACTAGGGGAAGAGTGTCGTGAATATAAAAGGCAAACTTTCTTACCATCTGCCTGGTTTCTTCACTTTTCTGTCACCCTAGGAGCTGCCTCATTATCATATTTGGGCTCTGCGTTATTGCTGGTAATAATCTCAGCACTGTGTACTTGGTTTGGTTTTTCTGTGTGTGTTCTTTGGGGTTAGTGTTGGGGGCCAATGATGGCAGCTTCCTTTACTAGGCCATTTTTTTTTTTTTTTTTAAAGTACTCTCCTCTACTTTGCACATTTTCTGCTTCCTTGTGTGTAAATTTATGTTAGAAATTTTACATTTCTTCTTTTTTATCTATATGTTTACATGTGTATATTTCACAACATTGATTTAGCTGCATTTCAGAAGTTTTAGTATGTTTTAATTTTTTATTTATCTGCAAAAGTTATTTAATTCCTTGCAGATTCTTCAGTTAACCACAGGTTGTTGAAGAGTGTAATTTTTAGTTACCAACATTATATATTTTTCAGTTTTTAAAAAAAGAGTCTTGGCCAGGAGTGGTGTCCAAGACTAATCTATTCATTTTTGTTTTATATATCCTGAGAATGTGTTATTAGATATATACATAAGTATTGTATCTTCTTGATGAATTAAACAATTTTGATATTTGTACAGTTTTTCCAGCTCTAATTTGGTTACTGTTTGCACTATTTTTTTCCTCACCTTTAAAACATTTAAAATGTTACTCTGCTAATCTTTGACATTTAACTGGATTTTAGTTTATTTGGATGGAAAGCAATTGCTGACAAGAATTTATTTTCCTATTTGTGTCATTTTTTCTACTAGTTTTGTTGTTGTTATTATTCTTCTATTTCCCCAAAACTGTTCAATTTGCATTTGATTGTTTTTCTAGGGTACCATTTTGACTTCCATGTTTCTCTTCAGTATATTTGAACAGTATTTTTCTTAGTGATTATTAATGGTATTATAATTAATATCTTAACTTTGTAATTATGTAATGTGAATTATAAAAACTGAGTGTTGATATTATACAAAAATCATTTACCTATAGTACTCTCCGTAACTTCCTATTTTATTGTCAAAAATTGTTTGTTATACAATGAGTGAGAACAACACAGATGTGTAATTATTGTTTTATTCTTTATTATTTCTTTATCTTATTTTACTTTATTGAGACAGAGTTTCAGTCACACAGGCTAACCCTTGTTCACTACAGCCTCAAGCTCATGGGCTCAAGGGATCCTTCCACCTCAGCTCCCTGTACCTGGGATAGAAGTGCATGCCACCATAGCTGGATAATTTTGTTTATTTTCTGTAGACACAGAGTCACACATTGTTGCCGTGGCTGGTCTCAAACTCCTGTGCTCAAGGAAATCTCCCACATTGGTTGGTATTACATTTGTGAGATACTGTGGCTTACCTCTTGTCATTTAAATCTAGTAGAAAAATAAAGTTGCAGAATCCGCAAATACAATAATATTGGCTTTTCTATTTCCTGGTGTAATTACTTTTCTTCTTCTTATTATTATTGTTATACTTTTAAGTTTTAGGGTACATGTGCACAACGTGCAGGTTTGTTATATAGGTATACATGTGCCATGTTGGTGTGCTGCACCCATTAACTCATCATTTGACATTAGGCATATCTCCTAATGCTATCCCTCCCCCATCCCCCACCGAACAACAGTCCCTGGGGTTTGATGTTCCCCTTCCTCTGTCCATGTGTTCTCACTGTTCAATTCCCACCTATGAGTGAGAACATGCGGTGTTTGTATTTTTGTCCTTGAAATAGTTTGCTGAGAATGATGGTTTCCAGCTTCATCCATGTGCCTACAAAGGACATGAACTCATCATTTTTTATGGCTGCATAGTACTCCATGGTGTATATGTGCCACATTTTCTTAATCCAGACTATCATTGTTGGACATTTGGGTTGGTTCCCAGTCTTTCCTATTGTGAATAGTGCCACAATAAACATACACGTACATGTGTCCTTATAGCAGCATGATTCATAATCCTTTGGGTATATACCCAGTAATGGGATGGTTGGATCAAATGGTATTTCTAATTCTAGATCCTTGAGGAATCAACCCACTGACTTCCACAATGGTTGAACCAGCTTACAGTCCCACCAACAGTGTAAAATATTCCTATTTCACCACATCCTCTCCAGGACCTGTTGTTTCCTAACTTTTTAATGATAGCCATTCTAACTGGTGTGAGATGGTATCTCATTGTGGTTTTGATTTGCATTTCTCTGATGGCCAGTGATGATGAGCATTTTTTCATGTGTCTTTTGGCTGCATAAAAGTCTTCTTTTGAGAAGCATCTATTCATATCCTTCACCCACTTTTTGATGGAGTTGTTTGTTTTTTTCTTGTAAATTTGTTTGAGTTCCTTGCAGATTCTTGATATTAGCGCTTTGTCAGCTGAGTAGGTTGCAGAAATTTTCTCCCATTCTGTAGGTTGCCTGTTCACTCTGATGGAAGTTTCTTCAGCTGTGCTGAAGCTCTTTAGTTTAATTAGATCCTATTTGTCAATTTCGGCTTTTGTTGCCATTGCTTTTGGTGTTTTAGACATGCACATGCTTATGTCCTGAATGGTATTGCCTAGGTTTTCTTCTAGGGTTTTTATGGTTTTAGGCCTAACATGTAAGTCTTTAATCAATCTTTAATTAATTTTTGTATAAGATGTAAGAATGTATCCGGTTTCGGCTTTCTACATATGGCTAGCCAGTTTTCCCAACACTATTTATTAAATGGGGAATCTTTGCATTTAATAAATGGGGAAATTATAACCGTTTGTTAAAATTTCCAGTATTTTACATTTACTAAGGAGTGCTTTACTTCCAACTATGTTTTCAATTTTGGAATAAGTGTGGTGTGGTGCTGAAAAGAATGTGTATTCTGTTGATTTGGGGTGGAGAGTTCTGTGGATGTCTATTAGGTTCGCTTAGTGCAGAGCTGAGTTCAATTCTTGGATATCCTTGTTAACTTTCTGTCTCATTGATCTGTCTAATGTTGACAGTGGGGTGTTAAAGTCTTCCATTATGTAATGGTCTTCTTTGTCTCTTTTGATCTTTGTTGGTTTAAAGTCTGTTTTATCTGAGACTAGGATTGCAACCTCTGCCTTTTTTGGTTTTTCATTTGCTTGGTAGATCTTCCTCCATCCCTTTATTTTGAGCCTATGTGTGTCTCTGCACATCAGATGGGTTTCCTGAATATAACACACTGATGGGTCTTGACTCTTTATCCAATTTGCCAGTCTGTGCCTTTTAATTGGAGCATTTATCCCATTTACATTTAAGGTTGTATTGTTATGTGTGAATTTGATTCTGTCATTATGATGTTAGCTGGTTATTTTGCTTGTTAGTTGATGCAGTTTCTTCCTAGCCTTGATGGTCTTTACAATTTGGCATGTTTTTGCAGTGGCTGGTACTGATTGTTCCTTTCCATGTTTAGTGCTTCCTTCAGGAGCTCTTTTGGGGCAGGCCTGGTGGTGACAAAAATCTCTCAGCCTTTGCTTGTCTGTAAATATTTTATTACTCCTTCACTTATGAAGCTTAGTTTGGCAGCATATGAAATCCTGGGTTGAAAATTCTTTTCTTTAAGAATGTTGAATATTGGACCCCACTTTCTTCTGGCTTGTAGAGTTTCTGCTGAGAGATCAGCTATTAGTCTGATGGGCTTCCCTTTGTGGGTAACCTGATCTTTCTCTCTGGCTGCCCTAACATTTTTTCCTTCATTTCAACTTTGGTAAATCTGACTATTATGTGTCTTGGAGTTGCTCTTCTCGAGGCGTATCTTTGTGGCATTCTCTGTATTTCCTGAATTTGAATGTTGGCCTGCCTTGCTAGGTCAGGGAAGTTCTCCTGGATAATATCCTGCAGAATGTTTTCCAACTTAGTTCCATTCTCCCCGTCACTTTCAGGTACACCAATTAGACATAGATTTGGTCTTTTCACATAGTCCCATATTTCTTGGAGGCTTTGATCTTTTCTTTTTATTCTTTTTTCTCTAAACTTCTCTTCCCACTTCATTTCATCTTCCATCGCTGATACCCTTTCTTCCAGTTGATGGCATCGGTTACTGAGGCTTGTGCATTCATCAGGTAGTTCTCATGCTGTGGTTTTCAGCTCCATCAGTTCCTTTAAGGACTTCTCTGCATTGGTTATTCTAGTTATCCATTCATCTAATATTTTTTTCAAAGTTTTAACTTCTTTGCCATTGGTTCGAACTTCCTCCTTTAGCTCAGAGTAGTTCGATCTTCTGAAGCCTTCCTCTCTCAACTCGTCAAAGTCATTCTCCATCCAGCTTTGTTCCATTGCTGGTGAGGAGCTGTTTTCCTTTGGAGGAGGAGAGGCACTCTGATTTTTAGAGTTTCCGTTTTTCTACTCTGTTTCGTCCCCATCTTTGTGGTTTTATCTACCTTTGGTCTTTGATGATGGTGATGTACAGATGGGTTTTTGGTGTGGATGTCCTTTCTGTTTGTTAGTTTTCCTTCTAACAGTCAGGAACCTCAGCTGCAGGTCTGTTGGAGTTTACTGGAGGTCTACCCCATACCCTCTTTGCCTGGGTATCAGAAGTGGTGACTGCAGAACAGCGGATATTGGTGAACCGCAAATGCTGCTGCCTGATCGTTCCTCTGCAAGTTTTTCTCAGAGGAGTACCTGGCTGTGTGAGGTGTCAGTCTGCCCCTACTGATGGGTGCCTCCCAGTTAGGCTGCTCAGGGTCAGGGGTCAGGGACCGACTTGAGGAGGCAGTCTGCCTGTTCTCAGATATCCATCTGCATGCTGGGAGAATCACTACTCTCTTCAAAGCTGTCAGACAGGGACATTTAAGTCTGCAGAGGTTATTGCTGTCTTTTGTTTGTCTGTGCCCTGCACCAAGAGATGGAGCCTACAGAGGCAGGCAGGCCTCCTTGAGCTATGGTGGGCTCCACCTAGTTCGAACTTCCTTGCGGCTTTGTTTACCTACTCAAGCCTAAGCAATGGCGGGCTCCCCTCCCCCAGCCTCGCTGCCACCTTGCAGTTTGATCTCAGACTGCTGTTCTAGCAATGAGCAAGGCTCCATGGGTGTAGGTCCCTTTGAGCCAGGTGTGGGATAAAATCTCCAGGTGTGCCATTTGTTAAGCCCATTGGAAAAGTGCAGTATTACGGTGGGAGTGACCCGATTTTCCAGGTGCCCTCTGTCACCCCTTTCTTTGACTAGGAAAGGGAATTCCCTGACCCCTTGTGCTTCCTGGGTGAGGCAATGCCTTGCCCTGCTTCAGCTTACATACGGTGCCCTGCACCCACTGTCCTGCACCCACTGTCTGGCACTCCCCAGTGAGATGAACCCTGTACCTCCATTGGAAATACAGAAATTTCCCATATTCTGCTTCACTCATGCTGGGAGCTGGAGACTGGAGCTGTTCCTATTTGGCCATCTTGGGTCCACCCCCTATAATCTGGTGTAATTACTTTATTGATATTCTTTATTTCTTTATTTGCACAATGAGTTACTATTTTTCTTTCATTCCTTACTTGTTTTTATCATGTTTTATAAAGCTGATCTATTCTGTTTGCTTGGAAATGACTTATTTGCTCATAAATTTGAATTTTGGTTTGGCCAGATATTGAATTTATGATCAACTTCATTTTTTATTTCAGCACTTTAAAGATCTCATCACAGTGACTTCTTTCCTCATAATTTTTAATGAGATATTGGCTGTTAATATCATGGAGGGTAACTTGCATATGGTCAGTTACTTCTGCCTTGCTTCTTTTAAAGTTCTCTATTTATTTGTCTTCTATCAAATTCAGTGCATGTGTTTCACTGTGGGTATCTTTGAATTTATTCTTTCTGGAGTGCCTTTTTCTTTGTAGATACTTGGATCAGTAGATTTATATCTACCAACACATTTGGCAAGTTACATCCACTGTTTCTTCAAATATTCCTTTTTTCCCCCATCTCTCCTTTTCCAGTGGGACTCCCATTATCACTATGTTGATATTCTTGATGGTGTCCCATGAAAACCTTAGTTTTTTTCATTATTGTTGTTTCTCTTCTTGTTCCTTACACTGAATAATATCAAACAATCCATCTTCAAGTTGCCTCATTCTGTGTTCTGCATGCTCACCCAGGCTACTCAGTCCTTCTAGTTACAGATTATTGATTTCATTTTTTAAAATAATTTGTCTGTCTTTATTGGTATTTTCAATTTTGAATCGCTATTCTTCTGGGTTCCTTTAGGTCTTTGAGAACATTAAAATTTAGTGAATTGAAATATTTCCCTAATTAGTACCATGCCTGGGCTTCAGGAAGTAGTTTTTTTTTGTTTGTTTGTTTGTTATGACTTCTCGTGGTGTACCTTTTTTTTCCATTGAATGCCTTTCAGTTTATTGTTGAACACTGAACACTTTGGATATTATTCAGCATATTCAGATAACAAATCCTTGATCTCCACAAATGCTTAGTTTGTGGGTTGTTTGCTTGTTTAGGAGCCATCCAGACCTATGTTTGTAGTCTGAATTCTTTGTCATGTATGGCCACTTTACCTGTGTTCTGTCACCCTTTTGGTCATCTACTCTTATTGCCACATTTTTAAAAAACAATCCAAGCAAAGAAAAGAAAAAATAGAAAAAGAAAGTAGAGAAAAACCGCCCAGACTTTGCATATGGACTCCTTGAGGAACTCTAGTATTTAGCCCAAAGCCAAGGAAAAATGAAAAGTTTCGGGGTCTTCTCCACACATGCATCCAAAAATGGACATACTTATATCCCTCTAAATATATCAGTAGGAATATGGATGTGGTGCTTCATATCTATAACCCCACCAATTTGGAAGGCTTAGGAGAACAAATCACTTGAGCCCAGAAGTGTGAGACAAGCCTTGACAACATGGCAAGATCTCTTCTGTATAAAAAAAAAAATACAAAAATAAGCTGGTTATGGTGGCCAATGCCTGTACTGTGAGACACTGAGAGGGGAGGATAGGTGGAACCCAGAGACATAACATGCTCAGGAGGCTGAAGTGGGAAGACCATTTGAACCAAAGGAGGTTGAGCTTTGGACATGATCATGCCAGAGGACTCTAACGTGGGCCACAGCGCAAACTCTGTCTCTATTTAAAACCCAATCCACAACAAACAACAACAAACTGAGGGTTTTTCAAACCTGGTTTTCCACATCAATTTTTTTCCTCAGCCTCTTCCTTCCAGGTATTTTGTTGGTGTACTGCTTGACCTGACTCTTATTCCTTGCTACAGATGGCTCTGACTAGTATATTTCCTTTCCACAAATGCCTCCCGGGAGTCAGCTTCTGCCCCCAAGAAAACTGTGTGGTGAGCTAAAGAAAAGCCTCTGAGCCAGTAATCTTCAAGGGAACCTCAAACATTTTAAATCACACAACCACAATTCTTTGAGATAAGCTCTGTATTTCCCCCACAGACATCAAAAGCTGAATCTATAATTTAATCTTCTTCACAGTTTCCATGAAGCCATGGAGTGGATGATGATGGGCAGTTAAAATGCCCCATACTATCATCCCCAAATTTAGAGGTCTGTTCTTTCTTCAATAAACACTCCCCTGAGTTATGTTATTAGATTCCAGAGCTCCCAAAATCATGGCTGAAGTTTTCTTTTTTTCTTTCTTATATCTCTTCACTTTTAACCTAATGAACTTTAAAGACAGCATGAAATAGAAACTTGATTAAATTTACCTTGCTTTTTAATGTTTAGAAGCCATGAAGTGGATGATGATGGGCAGTTAAAATACCACATACTCTTTTGCCCAAATGGAGAGGTCTGGTCTTTCTTCATTGAACATTCCCCTGAGTTATGTTGTTAGATTCCAGAGCCCCCAAAATCAAGTCTGAGGTTTATTTTATCTTCCTTGTATCTCTTCCCTTTTATCCTAATGAACTTATATGATAGCATGAAATAGAAACTTGATTAAATTTACCTTGCTTTTTAAAGTTTAGAGGGGTTTTTATGAGATGGAGTCTCACTCTCTCACCCAGGCTAGAGTGTAGTGGCCCGATCTCAGCTCCCTGCAGCCTCTGCCTTCCAGGCTCAAGGGATTCTCTTGTCTCAGCCTCCTGACTAGCTGGGATTACAGGCATGCACCACCATGCCTGGATAATATTCTTATTTTTAGTAGAGAGGGGGTTTCACCATGTTAGCCAGGCTGGTCTCAAACACTTGACCTCAAGTCATCCACCTGTCTCAGCCTCCCAAAGTGCTGGGATTACAGGCATAGGCCATCATGTCCAGACTGTTTTGTAACATTTCATTTGAAGCTGCTTCCATCATTATCATGAGAGCCATTCGGTCTTTCAGGTAGTAACAAATAGTTAAGAAATACACGTTTTTGTTAGTAACATTTAAGTAATATAACTTTATTATTTTCCAAATTATTAAAAGTTCAGTTCTTCCATTTGTTTGTATCCTCTTTTATTTCCTTGAGCAGTGGTTTGTAGCTCTCCTTGAAGAGGTCCTTCACATCCCTTGTAAGTTGGATTCCTAGGTATTTTATTCTCTTTGAAGCTATTATGAATGGGAGTTCACTCATGATTTGGCTCTCTATTTGTCTGTTGTTGGTGTATAAGAATGCTTGTGATTTTTGTACACTGATTTTGTATCCTGAGACTTTGCTGAAGTTGCTTATCAGCTTAAGGAGATTTTGGGCTGAGACAATGGGGTTTTCTAGATATACAATCATGTCGTCTGCAAACAGGGACAATTTGACTTCCTCTTTTCCTAATTGAATACCCTTTATTTCCTTCTCCTGCCTAATTGCCCTGGCCAGAACTTCCAACACTATGTTGAATAGGAGTGGTGAGAGAGGGCATCCCTGACTTGTGCCAGTTTTCAAAGGGAATGCTTCCAGTTTTTGCCCATTCAGTATGATATTGGCTGTGGGTTTGTCATAGATAGCTCTTATTATTTTGAAATACATCCCATCAATACTTAATTTATTGAGAGTTTTTAGCATGAAGGGTTGTTGAATTTTGTCAAAGGCTTTTTCTGCATCTATTGAGATAATCAGGTGGTTTTTGTCTTTGGCTCTGTTTATATGCTGGATTACATTTATTGATTTGCATATATTGAACCAGCCTTGCATCCCAGGGATGAAGCCCACTTGATCATGGTGGATAAGTTTTTGATATGCTGCTGGATTCGGTTTGCCAGTATTTTATTGAGGATTTTTGCATCAAAGTTCATCAAGGATATTGGTCTAAAATTCTCTTTTTTTTGTTGCAAAAAAGAACAAAGCTGGAGGTATCACACTACCTGACTTCAAACTATACTACAAGGCTACAGTAACCAAAACAGCATTGTACTTGTACCAAAACAGAGATGTAGATCAATGGAACAGAACAGAGCCCTCAGAAATAATGCTGCATATCTACAACTATCTGATCTTTGACAAACCTGACAAAAACAAGCAATGGGGAAAGGATTCCCTATGTAATAAATGGTGCTGGGAAAACTGGCTAGCCATATGTAGAAACCTGAAACTGGATCCCTTCCTTACACCTTATACAAAAATCAATTCAAGATGGATTAAAGACTTAAATGTTAGACCTAAAACCATAAAAACCCTAGAAGAAAACCTAGGCATTACCATTCAGGACATAGGCATGGGCAAGGACTTTATGTCTAAAACACCAAAAGCAATGGCAACAAAAGACAAAATTGAGAAGTGGGATCTAATTAAACTAAAGAGCTTCTGCACAGCCAAAGATACTACCATCAGAGTGAACAGGCAACCAACAAAACGGGAGAAAATTTTTGCAGCCTACTCATCTGACAAAGGGCTAATAACCAGAATCTACAATGAACTCAAACAAATTTATAAGAAAAAAACAAACAACACCATCAAAAAGTGGGTGAAGGACATGAACAGACACTTCTCAAAAGAAGACATTTATGCAGCCAAAAAACACATGAAAAAATGCTCATCATCCCTGGCCATCAGGGAAATGCAAATCAAAACCACAATGAGATACCATCTCACACCAGTTAGAATGGCAATCATTAAAAAGTCAGGAAACTACAGGTGCTGGACAGGATGTGGAGAAATAGGAACACTTTTACACTGTTGGTGGGACTGTAAACTAGTTCAACCATTGTGGAAGTCAGTGTGGCGATTCCTCAGGGATCTAGAACTGGAAATACCATTTGACCCAGCCATCCCATTACTGGGTATATACCCAAAGGACTATAAATCATGCTGCTATAAAGACACATGCACACGTATGTTTATTGCGGCATTATTCACAATAGCAAAGACTTGGAACCAACCCAAATGTCCAACAATGATAGACTGGATTAAGAAAATGTGGCACATATACACCATGGAATACTATGCAGCCGTAAGAAATGATGAGTTCATGTCCTTTGTAGGGACATGGATGAAATTGGAAATCATCATTCTCAGTAAACTATCCCAAGAACAAAAAACCAAACACTGCATATTCTCACTCATAGGTGAGAATTGAACAATGAGATCACATGGACACAGGAAGGGGAATATCACACTCTGGGGACTGTTGTGGGGTTGGAGGAGGGGGGAGGGATAGCATCGGGAGATATACCTAATGCTAGATGACGAGTTAGTGGGTGCAGCGCACCAGCATGGCACATGTATATATGTAACTAACCTGCACAATGTACACATGTACCCTAAAACTTAAAGTATAATAAAAAAAAAAAGAGTCCAGTTAACTCATTTCATCACAGTGTGGTAGTTTTTACAAATAATTAATTTCCATCTTGGCCAGTTTAATCTCACAGTATCTAACTAAACTATTTGAGTGTAAAATTAACTCTCTAATTAGACTACATAATGTACAGCTCATATATTGTTAATATTAGTGGTGTTTTATATAATTAAATGTAAGGGTGATATTTTAGGTCATTATCATATTCACCTTGTAGAATCATACCGTCCAAGAAGACACAATTACACTGGGTAGTTTTAGGCATATCACTATGGAGTTCAAAAGAAACTCCTCAGATTTCCTTGGGAAATGAAAAGTGAAATGTTATGAGTGTTCTGGAAATACGGCCTTAAGCAGTAAGGAGATGGCCTGTGTTTTCTATGATAAAAAGAAAGATAAATAATGAATTACTTGAGATTTTCCCACATTTTTGTTTCCTGTATTGTTTGAGATTTAAATAATAAAAATCTAAATAATAACTGTAATAATAAATTTAAGTAATTAAAATAAATAGATTTTAAATATAATACATTTATATTTAGTTACATGAATTAAATTGTCAGTGTACTTTTCTTTATTCATATAACTTCAATAGGCTGTCAAGTACAGGGAAGAATATGCCAGGTTCATACCTCTAAATATCTTATAGCTAGGATGGATAAAAATGGAAGGAGTGAGTAAAAAAATAGCATAAGCTTATCTGCAACTCAACTAAAATCTTGTTTTATGAATAATCTATAGACATTATTCAAAAATTTAATACTGAAATTATAGTTTCATTATTTTTGTAATATTAAACACTTATAGAGAGGCTATTATATCTCTGAATTTTAGCTTAAAATGGTGGATATAATAGTACACTGAAATTGCTCCTCAATTCGTATAGTAACAGTATTAAAGCAGAAGGTAAGAAGAAAAGAAAGAAAAAGGAAAGAGATGTGTTGTATTCATTGAAAAGAAGAATAATTCTAGACCCTCAATAAAAAATAAATTGAATAGGGTAACACAGAAGCAGGAAGTAAATTAAGTTGTTGATATTATCATTTAGTGAAGAATGAATGATGACCTCAACTGGAATGTATAAAGAGCAATAAGAAAAACACATTTGTAATTGGTAGATAATAAAAAAGTTCTTGTAGATAAAATATGTAAAAGATGAGGGAAAATAATGCATTTGGGATATCTCCAGTTTTTATGTTATATAGATGATATATTTTTATACAAAAAAGGGTGGAAGACAGAGGCATGTAGGAAGTGTGAAGAAGTTCAGGAGAAGTTTACAATTTAGCTGTCTTAATCTTGGTATGCTCATAAGAAAAAAAAAAAGCACAATGTATAGGATTCCAGAAGTAATATCACTAGTTGAATTCCCTAGAACTGCTGTCGTCTCCGCTACAGAGGAGACCAATCCAGGATGATTGCTTGAGCCCAGAAATTTGAGGCTGTAGTCAGTCAAGTTCTCACTACTGTACTCCAGGCTGGGTGACAGAACCATCTCTTAAAAAAAGAAAAGAAAAGAGGTAAGGGAAAAGAGAAGGGGAAAAGGAAAAAGAGAAAGAGAAGGAGAAAGAGGTATTCTCTGTAGTTACATTAGTAGTCTAATGAATAGACATATATGAGATAAAATGAAACAAAGCACACTGACAATTAAATAGAGAAATCAGTGGAAAGTTGAATCATGTAATCCAAAACAAAATAGTATTTCAGGAATGAGGGTGGGAATCAGTTTTACAGATACACATGACTGTTTGAGTAATATGCTACAGATAAATGAAATATGGGATTTAGTGACAAATATAAGATACGATTCTAAAAAAACAGGGTAAATGCCTTAAAAAAGGATAGTTAAGAGAAATAAAATTAAACCTTTTCAGGGCCAACTCTTTCCATGAGTCTTGCTATCAAATAAAATAAATAAATGAATAGATAGTGGCATATCTAGGACTGGGACAAGCAGCATGTAGTTCTAGTAAAGGAAATGATCAAGCCGGGTGTGGTGTCTCACACCTGTAATTCCAGCACTTTGGGAGGCTGAGAGGGTGGATCACTTGAGGTCAGTTCAACACAAGCCTTGGCAAAATGGTGAAACCACGTCACAATTAAAAATTCAAAAGTCAGCCAAGCATGGTAGTGCATGACTGTAATGTCAGGTATTGAGGAGGCTGAGGCAGGAGAATTACCTGAATCTGGGGGGCCAAGGTTGCAGTGAGCTGAGATTGTGCCAGACACTCCATCTCAAAAAAAAAAAAAAAAAAAAAAAAAAAAAAAAAAAAAAAGACTAAAAGAAAATAAAAAGAAAAAAACGATCCTGCAGGTACAGTGAAGAAGTAGTGGTACAATGAGATGACAAATAGTAAGTAAATCAGTGTTTTATGAAGCTATGAAATCCAAAGCAAAGGCAAAAAGGGTCATAGATAGGAGCAGAAAAAATTTACACAAATCTACATGAACATTATTTTTTGGTGGCGATTTCTCCTGAGAAAGAAACACAAAAGAAAGTGTGAATAAGAAAGTTGTCTCCATTACTTTGGTAGGAAAAAAAGGAGAAAAACAACAAAAACAAAATAATGGAAATTGTATAATATTAAGCTTTATTGTTCTTCATCCCTTCCCAAGGTGATTGCTTCCCTAAGAAATAACAGAAGCCAAATAGTCAAAATAGAAGAAAACCTTAGCATATTTTATTGTCTATGTATATTAAGCCAAGTTTATTTTAATTGTAATTCATTCTTTTAAAATTTTTATTTTAAACTAACAAATGTAAATATTTATGGGACACAAAGTGATTTTATAATGCATGTATATATTGCAAAAGAATTAAATTGGGCTAGTTACCATATCCATCACCTCACATACTTATCATTTCTTTTTTTGTGGTAAGAATATATAAATTCTACTTTTTAAACAATCTGTTTTTTTGAGATAGAGTTTTGCTCCTGTTGCCCAGACTTGAGTACAGTGGCGCAATCTCAGCTTATTTCAACTGCCATCTCCCGAGTACAAGTTATTTTGCCTCAGTCACTCAAGTAGCTGGGACGACAGGTGAATGCCACCAAACCTGGCTAATTCTTATATTTTCAGTAGTGACGATGTTTCATCGTGTTGGCCAGGCTGGCCTCCAACTCCTGACCTCTAGTGATCCTCCTGCCATGGCTGCATAAAGTGCTGGGATTTCAAACATGAGCCACCATGCCTGCTCTTTTTTTTATTAAGCAATTTTGAAGTTGACATGTATTAATGTGGTCACCATTCTGTGCAATGGATCAGAACTTCTTCCTGTCTCACTAAAATTTGTTACCCTTTGACGAACATCTTGCCTTTCTCTATCCACCCCCATCACCACGTCCCAGTCCAATCTCTGACTACTTTTTGTGGGTTTGTTTAAAGAGTCAGGGCCTTGCTGCATTGCCCAGGCTGGAGTACAGTGGCTCACTGGGGCCTCAAAGTTCTGACCTCAAGTGATCCAGCCATCTCTTACTCCCAAATTGCTGGAGTTACAGGCATGAGCCACCACATCTGGCATATTCACTGTTTGAATGAGTTCAACTTTTTTAGATTTTACATATAATTGTGATCATTCTATACTTGTCTTTTTGTGCCTCTCTTATTACACTGAGCATCGTATCTTCCCATACCATTCATTTGGTCACAAATAAATAACAGAACTTCCTCCTTTGTTTAAGGATGCATAGTATATTTCATTGTGTATATGTGCAACACTTTATCTGTTGATCTGTTGATGAGCACTTGGGTTGTTACCATATCTTAGCTATTAGGAATAATGCTGAGATGAATATAGGACTGCAGATATGTCTCTGACAATCTAATTGTATACCCTTTGAGTACATATTCTGAAGTAGAGTAGCTGGATCATGTAGTAATTCTATTTTTGATTTTATTTTATTTTTGAAACCTCAATTCTATGACCCCAAAACACAGGCTACTAAAGCACCACACAAAACAAGTGGATCACGTTACATCAAACTAAAATGTTTCTGCACAGCAAAGGGAAAAGGGAAACAAATAGTAAAGTGAAGAGACACCCCAAACACTTGGAGAAAATATCTGCAAACCATATGTATGATAAAGGGCGAATAATGAATACATACAAGGAACACAAGTCATTTAACAACAGAAAACCCAATTAAGTCTATTAAATATGGTCAAAGGACCTGAATTTACACTTCTCAAAAGAAGATATACAACTGGCCAACAACTCTATATTTAATATTGATTGATTGATTGATTTGAGAGGTATTCTCACTCTGTCATCCATGCTTAAATGCAATGGTGTGATCTCAGCTCACTGAATCTTCCACCCACTGGTTTCCAGCAATTCTGCCTCATCCTCCCTAGTAGGTGTTTACAGATGTGCACTCTGTCGCCCGGCTAATTCCTGAACAACTGTATATTTAAAGATGCTCAAAACCACCGATCATCAGGGAAATGCAAATTAAAACCAAAAATGAGCCCTCCTCTCACACATGTTGGAATAGCTATTATTATCAGGATGAAAGATGACAAGTGTTTTGAGAATATGGAGCACAGAGAATCCTTGTGCACTGTTGGTAGGAATGTAAATTAGTATTTTAAATTGTTAACATGGTGATGTCTTTTTAATAAAACAGGTTTGTGCTTTAAGATGCATTAATATGAGTTGCTTTCTGTTAGTCAAAGTTTAATGAAAAAGACTTTAGTTACCTTAAATTAATATAAACTGGAGCATGCTCATAAGACTTCTCTTTCAGATTCTCATTAAGTACAGAATGAAACCTGTGGTAAGTACCAATTCTGAAAAATAAAAAAAAGTTCACCGATAATGTGTATGCTAGATTACAAACACTTGTTAAATTAAAGGCATAGGTTCTAAAAATGTACTAGGTGAAAAATTAGTTATAGTTATTTTTTTGTGCTCAGTTTTTGGACCCAGATGGATTTTTTGTTTTGTTTTGTTTAATAAGTTGTACAATTATATTTCAGAAAACAAAAATTACTAATGTATAGTCACAGGAGAAAAATCAATTTTATTAGAAACTACTTCCACAATTTTGCTGTTTATAATTTTTTATGAGTATCTTTATAAAGTCACATTCAGCTTCTCTACTGTTAGTTCTGTGAAAGTATATATGTGTATTTTGTGGATATTGCATACTTTTTTATTGAAAATATCCAACCCTTCTCCATGAATAATAGTAATTCCTCAGCTGCTTATTTTTATTCTTTTAACTGAGTTTTCTCTACATGTTTACACAATATCACAATGCTTCTGGATGATTTTCAGTATGTTCTGGCAATACTTTGCCTGATGACCTTGAGTGCAAATACTGACAGAAGCGGAGCCTAAAATAATGGCTAATAGGTAGGTTATGATGAGCTACATGGCAATTAATGAGTCACAAGTCTTCAGTAAAATTTCCCTCCAAAGAACTTAAATACCAATATTATTATCACATTTTCTAAAAACTCAAAGCTGTAGTATAGGATTCTATGGCCCACCTGTCTCTCATCAATTATTTCCTCATTTGACAGCTACAGTTTCACTGCTGACCAGCAAGAGAAGTTGATGGCAGCATATGCTAGCATGGTTAAAATAAGCATCCGTACTGTACCCACCATGCTAGAATTATTTTCTGTGTTGCTGGGAGGATGAGCTCCACTTTTCCAAAACTCCAGCCATGGTGCCAACAATAATACAAAATACATGATTAATAGAAAGGGTAGGCTCCTCAGTTTCAGAGATGCAGGCAAAAATGCCAGAGCCATTACACATGAGATTACCACCAAGGAACGCAATACCACGACACGGATGAATTTTATCACCTGTAGCTTAATGGCAGCAAAGTCGTTGCTGGTGTGGATGGCCAGTATATTGCAGTGAATGGCCCCATACACAGCTGATAAAAGGGAAAATGTCATCAGCAATGCTATTAGATAAACATGAAAATGTTACGGAATAATTTTCATTAGTAATGGCCACTTTCTCTTTCAATCTTGCCATGTTAAGATATATTCCTCCCAACCCTCCTCCTTCAGAAAATAATTTACTTAAAAAAGGAAAAAAAAAAGATTTGTTAACTTTCCATTATCAGGGATTTAGTAAATATTTGCATGCAAAACATATATTACACATGGAAAAAACAAATAATAAGCTAATACATATATACCCACATTTATAAATATATATACACATTCCCCCCCCAATAAAACTGGAACAGCTGAAATAGGATAGAGATATTCATATCTGACGCTGTAAGGTGTGACAGCACATAGAAAGAAGTCTCAATTAAGAAAAAATAAAATTACTTAAATTAGACCTTGAAAAGGTAGTTTCTTTTTATAGAAAGTTAGAGTGTAAAATAGGAAATTACAGTCTAAAGTAGGTGGTGAATGTAATATAAGCTGTGTTTTAGAATAAGGTGATAACAGGAAACAAGACATATGCTGTGGAGTTAAAGTCAATTCTGGAAGTGGAGCTGACAGATTTTGCTGAGTAATGCAATACAAGGTACTAGACTAGCAGAAAAAATTAAAAGTTTTAGAAATTAATTGGTATGTGTGTGCTTGTTTTTGTTCATTTGTATTTATGTCATTATATCAGAAAGTTTTTCATAAGCGAATTAATTTTGACATTGTTGTCCCAATAATTTGACCAATATGCACAAGGAAGAAAACCAAAATTATGAAGTCATTGAATAACCAGTTTAAACAGTTTTGTACTACATTATGTTGAAAGAGGAAAAATTCATTTCACATATACAGGCAGGTTAAAAAAAAGTACATTCTTCATACACAATGAAATGAAGCCAGAAAACAAAAAGAGGCCAAATAATCATTACTCATCTGAAGCAATTACTCATTTTCTAACACCATTTAGAAAATGAATGTTAAGAATCCATTTATTACTTCAGGAATACCCCAAATGTTAAGAATCCATTTATTACTTCAGGAATACCCCAAAAGAAGCTCTAAAGCAATAACATTCTTAACTTCATTTATGAGAAATAAGACTGAATAAAAATAAATGACCTAAAAATTAAATTTTAGAAAGTAAATTTTAGCTTGGTGTAGTGACCCATATCTATAATCCTAGCACTTTAGGAGGCTGAGGTGAGTAGATCACTGGAGCCCAGCAACAACAACAACAACAGAATAAAAAAAATTTAGCTGGGCCTGGTGGCACATGCATGTAGTCTCAACTATTCAGGAGGCAGAGATGGGAGGATTGCTTGGGCAAAGGAAATAGGCATCGGACTTTTTTGCCTTGGGAATTCTATTTGCCTGTCCCCTGACTCCAGCACTTTGGGAGGCAGTGTATTCAAGGCATTTTGTAATTAAAATTCATAGTTGCCACAAACTGCATTGAAAACTAAATTATTATATATCACTTCTTAATTGATTGAATTTATTTTCTTTTATTTGTATAAAGGAATCTCACACTGTCTCTTTGGCTGGAGTACAGCAGTGCAATCTTGGCACACTACAACCCCCTGCTTCCCAGTTTCAAGTGATTATTCTGCCTGAACTTCTTGATTAGCTGAGATTACAGGTGAGCACCTCTACACCTGATGGGGTTTCACCATAGTGGCCAGGCCTGTCTCAAGCTCCTGGCTTCAAGTGTGCTGCCTGCCTTGGCCTCCAAAAGTGCTGGAGTTACAGGTGTGAGTCACCATGCCTGTCCCTTGATTGTACTCCTAATTGAGAAAAATATCCATCTTGCAAAAACCTATTTTTCATATCATATTTTTGATGAATTTCTTTATATGTCTCATAATACAAGGAAAATAAGATAATTTTCATGCATTTTATTTTTATTGAAAATAATTTTTTTCCATTAATATGTAATTAAAAGAGTAGATTAATTTAGAATGCTATTTTTCTTTTCAGTCAAGTTCTCAAGTTTTAGAAATTTCTTCAAAAATTAATTATGGAAATGAATTATATTTATTGATTTACTTCTTTTTTAAATAATTTTGCTTTGGAATAAAATTCAAAATTGTTTAAGATATAATGAGATGTTTAATTATGTCAAATAAACATAAAAGCATGTTCTTGAAAAGACATATTTTTCTTACCATATGTTTTCTAGTAATAATATATGATTCCTTTTTCTAAATTACTAGGAATTAATTGATGTTATCTTCCCTGCATCAAAAGCTTAACTGTAACGTATAAGAAGTAAAGAACTGCCAGAAGAGCCAGCACTTCCAGTCTGTAGCTCTCCCATTACCATCAATCCTGGTTTTGATCTACTTGTAGCACCAGCTATTGGCTGTGTAAAGAACCTCAAAAAGATAGTAAACTGTTTAAATGAAATATATTACATAGACAAAGCAATTACTCATGAATTTTTAAATTATAAAGCTGTTTTTCTTTATTAATAATTGTTTACTTTGAAAGTCCATTTTTCATTTAGAAAAAATTAACTCATGTTTTTTTTTTTTTGTCTGTTTGTGGTTTTTTTTTTTTGAACAACTAGTTTAACATTTTGTAGCCATCAGGTGTACATTTAAAACCATTTACATCAGACAATATTAAATTTAAAAAATGTATGTATTTCTTTAGTGCTCCCCCCTATACTTGGCATTTGTAACCAAAGTGGGTTTTATTGAATCACATGTTTAAAAATACTGAATCCTCAGGGTAACCAGAGCCAAATTTAATGCTACAAATAGTTTATCTTTAAAATGTATGCATTAAAAAGATTTTTATAAACTTGAAGTTGCTTAATGTTATTTTAGTTAAATTCTAAGAGAGGTATGGCTTTAAAAATCATAATGTGAGAAGAGAAATTTGAGTACATTTTATTAGTTCTAAATGTCTGCTAGAGTCCAAAAAAATAAGCAGTAATGTTCAAATCTTACACAGAACTGACACTGAGGGTGGGAAGTAATATATGTAAATTAACAAACGATAACAACATTTAGTTTATTTCAAGAGCAAACTGAGTGTTAAAAGGCCAATTAACAGCATTCTTTAATTGAATTAACAGATCTTTAATTGAAAAATGTGAAATATTTTTTTATGTTTTTCTCTGTGTGAGTATATTTTCTAGCACACTGTATGAGTTTCTAGCTGAACTCACTGCTTAAAAATTCAGATCTTTGTCTTGTGGGATCCATGTAGAGAGAAGAGTTTCCTTTTAAAAACACATTTTATGTTAATTTATTTAACAATTGAATTGACATAGTTAACATATATGTATTCAAAGGAGATTTTTTAAACAAATAACTTTTTTTAAAAAATAAACAGATGTAATGCCATTAAAATATGGACGTGAGTGGTCTGTGGTTAAACATCTGTAATGGTCTCTCAACTTGTTGTTAACATGAAAATTTAAAGTACTCTTTCAAAATGGTTGTGTTGATAAGTGAATGTTTGTTAATATCAATTTGCCACTAGATGGAAAGAAGAGTGGGCAAGATCATTATTTTCATAGTAGAAGCATTATTTTTTCTTCTGATCTCAGGTTGTGAAGCACTTTTTAAGTGAGAATACCTGCTCCCTGTTAGATCTCACCCACCAGAAAGATTTGTGGGACTCAAAAATGCTGGTGCTACTTATCAAATGAATTCTGTGATGCAGTATATATATATACATACACACATATGTATATATACACATATTATACATATATATATATTCCACTAGAAACAGTGCTCTTGCTAATGAATGCATAGCTGAAAATATAGACAATGATTTTCCAAAGATGAGAAGCAGAACAGTGAGGTAAATTCTAATTATTAATTACTATCACTTTGAAGGTTCTGATAGCAGCTACTGTTTTTCTCTCTGACATTATTTTACTTTAAGTGAATTATGCGGGAAGTACTTTTTCATAATATGTCTAAGATCTCTAAGACACTATGACTGATGTATTTATATTTATCTTTCAAAAGCCGTGCTTATTTTTAAAATTATCTATACATTTTTCTCAAATCAGAGCTTTTCCTGCTAAAGAAAAAAATTTGTTCTTCAAATTATGCTATGTGAACTTGTAAAAAATATTAGTTAAGAATTATCATCAAACTGCTATGAAGAGTATTCATTTGAAAATAAAGCAGTTAAAAAGTTAGGTTATAGTGGCAGATCACCAATTTAGGATATAACACCAAATCAGTGAATATGGAATACCTAAATTTTGGTAATGTTTATACTCAAGCTCTTTCTCCTTATTATTATTTTTACTTTTCTGTATAGATACTGATAAAATCTAAATTAAAAAATTAGAATATTTTAACTGTAATAAATGGATTTCCTACAATTTTTTCATTTTTCCTTTCAATAGGCAAAAATAGTTTGTCTTTCAGCTACCAGTGTGTCAGCACTTAACCGTTTATAGAAATTACAAAACACACACTTTCTTCCTCTTTCTTAGACAGAGAAAATTATATCATCCAAGCATCGCAGTCAGGGTAGCTTTACTTTTAGTAGAATCTTCATATAGGATATTCACCAATCCTTGGTTAACAGCCACTATCGGAAGAAAAATTGGAAGGTAAGTTCTGGAACTATAGCCCGTGTTACCCCTAGGGGGTTGAATTTAACACACATAGAGATGGTTAGTCACAACAGCAAGAAGCAAATGAAACAGAATATAAAATTTCAAATTAGGTATCTTACCTTTGGACTTGGTTGCTTGTGATTTATGTTGTTTCATTACTGTACTGTGGCATGTATATCTGCCTAGTTCCTTTTTCTATGCAATGAGCTTCTCCAGGGCAGGAACTGGGGATTGTTTATTTCTTCATCACAAATCTAAGACACAATGAAAACCATAAGAAACCTCTCAGATACTTGGAAACCAACTGTATTTTATTCTATGGCTACAGTCATGTTTTGACTTTTGGAGCTTCTGTCTATGCTCCCCAACCTTCCAAAATTGTGTTTAATGGGTATATTTATTGAGTGTTAATAATGCTGATTTCATCATGTAAATAATCTTATATAATTTGGAAAATGCATTATTCTCAAAGGAAGATACTGAATCCTACAAAGACTAAGTAAGTTATTCCCCCAAAGTTACTTATTCCCCCAAAGTTACTCATGGCAGAGGACTCATTTGTCTTACTCCTGCCTACTTCATCAAATTTTACCATATTATATTACCTCCAGTGTAGATTATTATTTTACTACTCTTTTATGATAACTTTTCTGTTAACCCAGTTATAAACCTGGAAATGAGTCAGCTTTACCAGTCAAATTACTCCAGCCATGAAATTCTGCTCATTAGTATTTTCCCTTGTGTTACCAGGGCTGAAGTAATCATAGATTTAAAGACCTTAGTTTCCTTCTTCTCCTTGCCCTGAATCTCTGTACAGGCTTACTGTAGAAGAAAGCTTCCAAACAAAGCCAAACCATGAACACTGAATTAGGCACCTACATCACTGCACAGCCATCAGTGCATAGTCACAAGGATTAGGATCAATGAGAGAAACATGATGGCATCAGATGGTCAAAATAAGGTGCTAGAAGTGACTGACCCAAAAGAGATGGGCATGGAACATGGCCTGACAAGGAATTCAAAATATTTATTTTACGACAATGCAGAGGACTTCAGCAAAACACAAAGAATTCTGGAATTTATCGGAGAAATTTACCTGAGAGTTTAAAATAACAGGATGGAAAAACAAACAGAAACCTTGAAGAATAAAACACAACAAAATAAAAAATGCAATTGACAGTAGTGACAACGGAAGTGGCCAAGCAGCAAAACTCAAACAGGAGTCAATTGAAAATATGCAATCAGAGAGAAAACATAAATAAGATTTATGAGATTAATGGGATAACATCCGAAGAGCAAAGGTATCAGACACTGGCATTCAAGAGTGTGGTAGAGCTGGGCCCAATGACTCATGCCTGTATCCCCTGCACTTTGGGAGGCCAAGGCTGGTGGATCATATGTTGTCAAGAGCTTGAGAGCATCCTGCACAACATGGTGAAACAGTTTCTTTACTAAAATACAAAAATTAGCCAGGTATATTGGTGGACATCTGTAATCCCAGCTACTCAGAAGTCTCAGTCAGGAGAGTCACTGGAACTCAGGAGAATCACTGGAACTGAGGACGTGGAGGTTGCAGTGAGCTACAATCACATGATTGCACTCCAACCTAAGAGACAAGAGCAAACCTCCAACTCAATAAAAACTATTAAAAAAGAGTAGAAATCTTATTTAGATAAATAATAACAGAAACCTTTCCAAATTGATATAAAATATTAATATTCTGCTACAGGAATATTGAAGGCTTCCAATCAGATTCAATTTCAATGAAAATATTCCCATAACTTAATCTAATCAAACCACCAAATATCAAAGACAAAGAGAGGATACAGAATTAAGCAGAACAAAAAAAAGACAATATTATATCTGGAATACAGCTATATAAGTAATATGTGCATATATGTAATGCAGATGTTAATAGATCCAAAGGAAGAAAAGAAGTGCAAGATAATCCTAGAAAACTTCAGCACATTACTTTCAGCAATGAATAGATAATGCAGACAGAATTCAACAAGTAAACACTGGATTAAAATGCCCCGTAGGGAAAATGCTAAAAACAGTTACTGAACTATCCATCCAAGAGCTATGGAGTAAACATTCTTCTCCACTGCATATATGGAACATCTTTCAGGATATATCATACATTAGCCAAAAAATCACATCTTAATGAATTTGAAAAAATCAAAGTCATATCAAGTGTCTCTTCTGAAATCACTAATTCATAAGCACATCAAAATTAAACAACATACTCCTGAACAACCGCTGAGTCAATGAAGACATTAAAGAGAAACACCCTATTTATTGAGACAAAAACAGAAACACAACACAACAAAACCTATGGGATACATTCAAAGCAGTTTTAAGACGGAAGTTATGGCAATAAATGCCTTCAACTAAAAGAAGATATTAAATACACAACTTGATGTTTCAATCAAGGAATTATAAAAACAGAAAGCTAAACTCAAAAGTAATAACAAACAAACAATCTCTTAATAAAGTGTATTGGAGCCAAAAAAGAGATACCATAACTGATACCAAGAAACAAATTAATAGTAAGAAATCGAATCAGCAATAAAAAGGCACCTATTAAAGAAAAGACCAGGACCTGACGTATTCACTGCTGCATTCTACCTACCACAAAAAATAAACTACTGCCACTTTTTGTGTAATCTAGTCAAAACAAAAACAAAATCATTAAACAGAAATGAATATATGGGAACTGTTTGTTCCAACTCATTCCGTCAGGACGGCATTATGCTGATTGCAAAACCAGACAAGGATACAAGAAAAAAGAGAAAACTATGGGCCAATAAATCTGAAAAACATAGTGCAAAAACCCTCAACAAAATACTGGGAAAATGACTTATCATGCATATTTAGAAAGTCATTCACTGTGATCAAGAGAGATTACAGGGATGCAGGAATGTTTTAATACACAAGAATCATTAAATGTCATACATTACATCAGCAAAATAAGAACAAAATCTATGCAGTCATTTCAATATGTGAAAAAAAATTTGATAGAATTCAACATTTTTCACAGTATAATCTCTTAACAAATTATGCATGGAACAACTGTAACTCAACACAACAAATGACCTAGACCCAAATAAGCAGATAATGCTATGTATGACAAAACCTTAGCTAATATCCACTCAATGGGAGTTAAAAGTTGAAAGGTTTCTGTGAAGAGCTGGAAGAAGACCAGGGTGTTCACTTCCACTACTTATATTCACATAATACTAAAAGTCCTTAGCCAGAGTAATTAGACAAGAGAAAGTAAGAAAAGGTGCCCAAATTGGAGAGGAAGTAAAATTTTCCATATATGCTAATGATGTAATATGAAAATCCTTAAACACACCACTAAAAAGTAGTTAGAACTAATTCAGAAAGTCAGTAAAGTTTCAGTTTACAAAATCAACATATACAACTCCATAGCATTTCCATACACTAATAGCAAGATATATATTAAAAAAACTTAAGAAAAAATCTCATTTACAGTAGCTATGGAGGATAAAAAGCAGTAAATTTAACCAAGGAGGTAAAAAAAAATCTACATTCTGAAACCTATGAAACATTAATAAAATGTTAAAATGGCATAAATAAATGGAAAAATATCTATGTTCATTGATTGGAAAAAGTAATGTCATTAAAATGTTTATATGATCCAAAGCAGTGCACAGATTGAATGCAATATCTATCAAAACACCCATGGCATTTTTCACAGAAATTGAAAAATATCCTAAATTAATATGAAACCACAAAAAAATCCTGAATAGCCAAAGCACTCCTGAAGATGGCAGTGGGATTGGCGTTGTGGAGTGAACTGACAATGTCACAATGCTATAAACCAATAAAATATAATACAGTGAGTAAAAATAAATTTCCACCTGTATAGCCAACTGATATACTGCAGAGGTGCCAAGAACACAAAATGAAGAAAGGTCAGTCTCTTCAATAAGTGGTGCTGGGAAAACAAGAGAGCTACATGCAGAAGAATATAATAAGAACCTATCTCTCACCACATGCAAAAATTAACTCAAATGGATTAAAATGCCTAGTGGAGTGGTGTTCACCTATAGTTTCAGCTACTCAGGAGTGTCAGACAGGAGGATCATCTGGGCCTAGGTGTTCAAAGCTATAGCATGAAAGACTTGTGCCACTGCACTCCACACTAGGTAAAATAGTGAGACCTCACCAATAAGAATATATTTTTAAAAACATTTAAAAATAAAGATGTAATGAAAACACCAAAATGTCAAACTAGTAGAACAAATCACAAAACACATTTAATGATCTTGGTCTGGGCAAGAGTATTTTTTGGATCAGACAAAAACGCAAGCAGAAAACACACAAACAGAAAAACGAGGTTACATCATACTAGAAAACTTCCATACAGCAAAAAATAAAAATAAAATAAAATAAGTCACCACAGTAATAGAATGACAGCAAATATTTGCAAAGTGTACATCAGAAAAGGGGTTAATCAAAATATACAAGGAACTAAAAACAGATTCAAAAGAATAAGAAAATAATAACCCAATTAAAAATAAGTATCTTCTGTTTTCAAAAGTATATATATACAGCTAACAGATGTGTGTATGTGTGGGGGGGTGGGCTCTGTGTGGCTGTGTGTGTGTGTGTGTGTGTGTGTGTGTTTGTGTTTGTATATATATATATTCTCAACATTTCTCCTCATTACAGAATTGCAACCTCTCCCTCTCAGGTTCAAGCGATTCTACTGCCTCAATCTCCTGAATAGCTGGGATTACAGGCATGAGTCAGGGTGCCCAGCTAGTTTTGTATTTTTAGTAGAGATGGGATTTCACCATGTTCGCTAAGCTGGCCATGAACCGCCAACCTCAGGGGATCTGCCCACCTCAGCCTTTCAAAGTGCTGGGATTAAAGGTGTGAGCCACCATGCTTGGCTTATTTTAAGAAATTTAAGAAATGTATAAAATTAAAGAATGTAAATTTAAGAAATTTATAAAATTTCTTAAATTAGGCTTGTAAAAAAGAAAAAGTTGGCCAGGTACGATGGCACATGGGAGGCCAAGGTGGGTGGATCACTAGATCAGGAGCTTGAGACCAGCAGGGCCAATATAGGGAAACCCCATCTCTACTAAACACGTAAAAATTAGCTGGGTGTGCTGGTGTGCACCTGTAGCCCCAGCTACTCAGGAGGCTGAGGTAGGAGAATCCCTTGAACCTGGGAGTTGGAGGTTGCAGGAGCTTAGATCATGCCACTGCACTCTAGCCTGGGCGACAGAGCAAGACACTGTCCAAACAACAAGTATAGCAACAAAATTAGGTACATGGAGATTTACTACATGGAGATTTATTGGTTCTAATATTGCCAGGAGTTTTATTTACTTGTTGAGTTTACTGGCTAAAGTGTTGTTCATTTTTTTTGTTGTTTCTGCCTAAATCCTTTTCTTTCAGGAGATTCAGTCAATTAAACTTAAATTCGCTCCAGAGTACGGCCCAAAATCACTTCATGCATTGTCACTGGAATTAACTCTTTGGCTTTGCAGGAATGTTTATTGCCCTGCTAGTATTACTAACTGTCCCTGCGATTACTAATTTTTATTTGCAAAGAAGTTTAAATCGTGAGGTTGCATATTTTTGCATGTGTTTATAAACTTCTTCACTTACCTTTTTAATGAAAGGTAACACTTATCCCCATTGGTTCCTAAATCTATAAAATGTATATAATTTTTATACATTTTACTCTCTTGGAACTGTCAGTGCAGATCTGAATGAAATTAGTTCTTACAAAATTTATAGTACTCATGTAAATCACTATAGTAACAGATAGAAGTCATATGGAAATGAGTTGCTTAGCTATGTTTTGATATTCAAAGTCACAGCTACAAATTTAAGGAGTCTAGAAAATCTACCACTAACATATTAAATCACATCAGTTGACAAATAAAATCTACAAGATTATTTCTGAACCATAGTCTTTTCTCACTCACTCTACTTTCATTCATTAATTTAAGGTTATATTTCTATTCCTCATAACTATTTAGAATGCTCATTAGGCTGAATGAGAATCATATTAAAAGAAACAGAAAAAATGACCGACTTAATCGCATTTGCATTTTTTAAAAACTATCATTACCTTAAGACTGAAAAATTGCATAGAAAATAATTCAGAATTGTGAAAAACAAACAGGGACACATTTCTATTAGAAGAATGATGATCACATCTTAATCTTGTTAGTGAACTATTCATATTTATTTACTTGTTGGAAACAGAGAACGAGAGATATTTGTGTCACTTACCTCATGATATGTCCTAAAGGAAGAATGCGCCAACAAAAGTAATGCAGCTTTATTTCACCTCAAGTCTTTACTGAAAAACTTTAGGGTAATTTGATCCAAAATTACCTCCACAATAATAAAGCTCATAGCAAATAACATTAGAATATGTCAATAGCTTTTCAATTAATTTCAAACCTATACAAAGCATAGGTGGCCTCACCACAGCAGAGAACAGTTGAGCAGAGAATGCTGAAAGGAAAGCTGTACTTTATTTATTAGTCTCTTCAAACGCTGTGTCCATTCTCAGCATGCTGCTAATTCGTACTCTTCTGTCAGTGCATCCAGTATAATTTGGTATCAGATCCAAACAGAAGAAAACAAGATTCTGTATAATTCAGTATTCACGGAAAATCTAAAAAGGTAAATAAGGATCACTAATCACGATAAAAAAATCTATGTCTGGTTTAGGAAATATTGAACCACCACTTGACATAATTTAGTCAATTAAAGCATTTGTCATAAGTTAGTCAATATGTCAAATAACTTGACATATTATTTCTTTAGCAAACAGTGTTTTAAGGAAATAGACAATAAAACTTCTATGAGGCCTTAACTACCTCTTAACGCCAAGATGATAGTCCTGTCTTCAAGTAGTATGAAACAAGGTGTATATTTCTCATAAGTTTGTGTGTTTGTGTGTGTGTGTGTGTGCTCTTCAGCCACTGTCTGATGCTGACATTGACTAAAACAAAACAGCACAAGGTCTAAGCCAATTCTAATGATGATGACACTAAGAAAAATATCTAGCAGATATTTCTGATTAGGAAAGAAATAAAAAACAGTGAGCCCTGTAAGTTCCACTTATTGTTAGACGATGGCCATTTTGCATATAAAAAACTGTTTCTTGGCTTGATTTAATGCTATGAAGTTATGAATCAAGTAAAGTTTCAATTTATATAGATGTGAAATCCAGAGTTTGCATGGTTATTGAAGATCTAAAATCTCTTTTCTTGGGGGGTTGGGGGGAGGCCAAATAGCTCATATTAGGTGCTTTCTAGTCAAACAGCCAGATAAATTACTAATATATTGTGAAGGTCAATTAGCCATTATTTGTGGGAAACAATATTCAACAAACATGAATAAGAAGGAAGATAAAAGGCAACAGTAAATATTGAAACCGAATTTAGACAGAAACCTTTTTCTGATTAAAAATGTTGTTAATATAATAAAAACACATGAAATATGTAAGAATCTAATGCAAATTACAAGAGAGAAAGCATAATATTTCCCCAGAAGATGTTGGTCATTGGTTAAAATATATCAGTGGGGAAAACTGAAGTAGTAGTTTTAAAAAGAGGGAGGGAAGAATCAAGAAGTTACCTATTTTATTTTATTTGATAAGATGTTCATTTCCTGAACTTTCTTTGCATTGCTTTGATTCTCATAACTTAACATAAATATGCTTTCCTCCAATTTGTTAAGTTTTATGCTGCAGAATTTTAAATTCCTCAACTTCTGTGGTTGGTTACTCTGATCTAAATCACACCTTTATCTACATGCACTTATTTATTCAAACACAAAGAAAAAACCTTTATCATATTTTAAAATACATCCTCCTGGACCCAACCCATTAATATGATTGATCTTTTCCTCTTTCATGTAATTTATTTTATTCTCTTCTTCACTACCCTGATTTCCTTATCGCAAATGTAAAACAAACTCCATATTTTATGATCCACAACAAAAACTGTCTCTTTTGTTACTGATGTTTTCGTCTGCTTTTAATTTCCACACAGAATTTCTATTAGCTATTTGATTTTGATCAGTTCTTATTCTGTCTCAGGTTTTATCCCACATCAGTGAAGTCACGGTCCTTTCTCAAAGGTCATCAGTGACACCCTAACTGCTAAATTTAAAATGTTACCTTGAATTTCAGATGAATATTTTTACCATTGATAATATGCTCTCATTTCAAAATTCCACTTACCTTTACCATTCAGGCTTTCATCCCCAACAATCTATCAAATGTACTATATTTAAAATAATCAACTTCCTTTTTGCCAAATATAATAGTTTTAAAACAAAAATTCTTGTCTTTGTTGTTCGTGTGTCTATTGAGACAGGGTCTGCCTCTGTTGTCCAGGCTGGAGTTCAGTGGTGCAATCAAGAATTCACTGCAGCCTCAACTTCCTGGGCTCAAGTGATCTTTCCACCTCATCCTCCTGGGTGACTGTGACTACAGGTCACCCAGACTAGCTAATTTTGGTAGAAACAGGGCCTTTCCATTATCCCAGGCTGGTCTTGAGTTCCTGGGATCAAGCTGTCTGCCTGCCTCAGGCTCCCAAAGTGCAGCCACTGGAGGCATGAGCCACCAGGCCTGGCCAAATATGAGTTATTTCTTAGTCTCCCTCTTCCTTGAACTATCCCTGATGAATTTACTGTCAATCTCTCAGTTATGTCTTCCTGTACAATCAATTTCTGCATGGTACTATGATTCCCAAATTGTTATTCCAGCCAGTCTCTTACCAAACCCCAAATCATATATGACTCTATTACATGTACTCATGTTTAACGGGCAATTTGATCTCAAGGCTACACACTGAATTCTGATGCTCTATTGGAGGAAATTCAGCCCCTGATATTTCACGTAGGTTCTTTTCTATTTTCCCTAAGTGTTGGCCTCTTTGAGAAATAAAGGGAAAGGGTACAAAAGAGAGAAATTTTAAACCTGGGTGTCCGGGGGAGACCTCACATGTTGGCAGGTTCCGTGATGCCCCAGAAGCTTCAAAGCCAGCAAATTTTTAACAGTTATTTTCAAAAGGAGAGGGAGTGTATGAATAGGGTTTGAGTCACAGAGATCACATGCTTCATAAGGTAATAAGATATCACAAGGCAAATGGAGGCAGGGTGAGATCACAGGACCACAAGACCGGGGCAAAATTTAAATTGCAAGTGAAGTTTTGTGCACACATTGTCATTGATAACATCTTGTCAGGAGACAGGGTTTGAGAGCAGACAACCGGTCTGACCAAAATTTATTAGGCAGGAATTTCCTCGTCCTAATAAGCCTGGGAGTGCTATGGGAGACCGGGTCTTATTTCTTCCCTCAGCTATGACCATAAAAGACAGCCATCACCAAAGCGGCCATTTCAGAGGCCTCTCCTCAGGGGCACATTCTCTTTCTCAGGGATGTTCCTTGCTGAGAAAAAGAATTCAGTAATATATCTCCCATTTGCTTTTGAATGAAGAGAAATATGGCTGTGTTCTGCCTGGCTCACTGGCAGTCAGAGTTTGTTATCTCCCCTGTTCCCTGAACATTGCTGTTATCCTCTTCTTTTTTCAAGGTGCCCAGATTTCACATTGTTCAAACACACATGCTCTACAAACAATTTGCACAGTTAACGCAATCATCACAGGGTCCTGAGGTGACATACATCCTCCTCAGCTTACTTAAATGACAGGATTAATAGATTAAAATAAAGACAGGTATAGGAAATCACAAGGGTATTGATTGGGGAATTGATAAGTGTCCATGAAATCTTCACAATTTATGTTCAGAGATTGCAGTAAAGACAGGCATAATAAATTATAAAAGTGTTAATTTGGGGAACTAATAAATGTCCATGAACTCTTCACAATTTATGTTCATCTGCCATGGCTTCAGCAGGTCCCTCTGTTCGGGGTTCCTGACTTCCTGAAACAATGCTTTTTCCAAATAACCTTCCCGAATTGTTTCCCATTTCACCTGATAGTAATCACGTCCTGTTGCAAAGGCCTAAAACTGTAAGGTCATCCTTGATGCTTTTATTTTCATCTCATCTTTTCTATTAATCCTCAAATTCTGCATGTTTTCTTTTTAAAATAGGTTCACAATCTAACCACTTTTCCCTATTTCTCCTGCGTCACCCAGATACAGGTCATCCACATTTCTCATCTGATTCACTCATCCCCTTTAGTTATCTTCTACCTTCCACCGTAAATAAACCCACCATCCTTGTCCTTCTTAATTAAAATTAAATCACTAGATATTGTCACTACTTTCCACTAAAGCCAAAATATAAGTTCCATCAGTATGTGGATTTTTGTCTTTTGTCAGGTGAACTGGGGTAAATAATACCTGATATATTTGCAGTTAATTTGATCCTTTTTTCTTATTTATTTATTTATTTATTTATTTATTTATTTATTTATTTACCTATTTTTGGCCTGCAGTGGGGTGTGATTAAGTCTTGCTCTGTTGCTCAAGCTGGAGTGACAGGATCTCAGTTAACTGCAACCTCTGCCTCTCAAGTTCAAGCAATTCTCCTGTGTCAACATCCTGAGTAGCTGGGAACACAGGGGACTGCCAGCCCAACTGGCAGTTCTTTTTTGATGTTTTTTTTTTTTTGACATTTTTAGTACAGACGGGATTTCACCATGCTGGCCAGGCTGGTCTCAAACTCCTGACCTCAGGTTGTCCACCCGCCTTGGACCCCCTGTATTCTTTCAATTATAGGTGTGATTAACCATGCCTGGCATGATCTCTATTCTAAAAGATTCATAGACATAATTTCTGCAACAGACTTATTATTTGGTCTTCTTATTAAACTGTGGAGATTGAAGCAATAAAAGGTTAAGCAATTATTTATCCTGCTGGTTTTATTAACAAACTAGATAATTCTGTGTGATTCTATTTATGTATAACAAGAATTAAAAGGTAAATTAAATTCTTCAGGTGTATGCTGAACAATTTATAATTTAATGCTGATATTCCTGACTTCTTTCCAGATTCTGAGTTTCGCTTTCTTATAAAAAATGATTTAACATTTAGGGGCATAGTTAGAGGCATTATTTATAAGGAAAGCATCATCCAACTACATGGCCTTTTCCTCCACTTTTTGCTATGTAGACTGGAGAAAGCATTCTTTCATATTTAATTCCAATTTTGAGTTTACCTCACATTGTTTTTCAGTTGTTCAATTCCCTTCCACTTTATGTGACTGGGGCCCATTTCGTACTTTTAAGTTGCTTTTAAACACATATCTGTGTGTTTAACTTGCATCTACATTCCTGCTAAGGCTTGTAGTGCTCAAAACTTTCACTGAGGTTTCAACACATTTTTAATTGAGAGATAACGCACAAACTATCATATTAGCCATTTTAAAGTACACATTCCATGATATTCTGGGTATTCATAAAGGTGTACAAATATCACCACTTTTTAAATACAGATTTCCATCACCTGAAATAAATAAAAAAATACCACTGCACCCATTACCATTAAATCCCAGCTTCCCCATTTCCTAAAGCCCTTGGTATCCAATAAGACATTTTCCGTCACTATGGATTTGCCTACTACAGACACTTCATATAAATGGACTCATACAATATGAGGCTCTTTGTGACTTACAGCCTTGTGCTGTAGATTATCCTCAATGGGGCTATGTATAACAAACACCCATGAAAGATAAAGATAATGCCTCCTTCCAAGGCAGAGTGTCCTTTCTTTAAAATGCCGGCATTTCCTAAGCTTGAGATTTCTGAAACAGGTTTAATATTCTGTCCTATTTTTAAACCAAGCATACTGATGGAAAAAAGTTCCAGTATTTTGTCCAAATTCTTTATCTTGGTGGTTTCACTATGAAATAAATGAATTTGCATCAATTGTATCAGATATATGGTAAGGGAATGTATGATGCGAATGCACTGCAAGGGTAGTGTTGGCCTAGGTCCACCTCCACATCAGGAGTTGATGGAAATATTTATATTGTGAATAATGCTACTACAAACATTCCTATACAAATTGGCATAAATATACCTTAATTTTTGGGAAATATGCTGAATGTACATCCAATTATTTGGGAAACTACTGGACTGTTTTCTAAAGGAGCAACCTCACTTCATGTTCCCGATAGCAATTGGATGAGTTTCCCAATTTTTCCATATATTTGAAAACATCTGTCATTTATTTCTCATTACAGTCCATTCTATTCAATATAAACTTGTATCTCATTGTGGCTTGATTTTTCATTTTTCTGATAACTTATTATCTCTTCATATGCTTAGCTGTAGATTTGATGTGACAATGATAGAAAAAATTAGCTGGGTGTGGTGGCTGACACCTGTAATCTCAGCTACTGAGGAGGCTGAGGCAGGAGAATTGCTTGATCCGGGGAGGCTGAGGTTGCAGTGAGCCAAGATTGCACCATTGCACTACAGTTTGCATGAAAACAGAGAAACTCTGTCAAAAAAAAAAAAGAAAAAACTTGTGGAAATTTTATATGAGATCTCATTTTTCTCTAACTTTCTGCTGTTCTAATATCCTGTCATTTTCTCTATCTAATAAGTTGAGCCTATAATACTTTTTCTTTTGCAGGGTAGTGTTAAAACACCGGGAAATGAGTGCTGATTAGCAGATATAAAGAGGCCACACTGGGGTAAGAAAAGAGTTATGTGTCTTTCATTTCAGAAGACATTTAACTCAAAATGGTCGGCATCACTAATTGTTAGGGAAATGCAAACCAGAATCACAATGAGATATCATCTGAGGCCAGACAAAATGGAGATTACTAAAAAGCCAGGAAACAACAGATGGTAGTGGGTTAGTGCAGACATAGCAATGCTTTTACACTGTTGTTAGGAGTGTAAATCAGTATGGACATTGTGGAAAAGTGTGTAGTAATTCATCAGATATTTAGAACCAGAAATACCACTGGACTCAGCAATTTCATTACTGGGTACATAGCTCCCCTTCAAAATAAGTCATTCTATTTTAAGTATACATGGATGTGTATGTTTATTACAGCACTAATCACAATAGCAAATACATTGAATTAACTCAAATGCCCATCAGTAACAGACTAGATAAAGAAAGCATGGCACATATACATCATGAAATAATATGCAGCCACTAAAATGAAAGAAATCATGTTCTCTGAAGGGAGATGGATGAAGCTGGAAACCATCATCCTCAGAAAACTAACAGAGAAACGAAAAAACAAGCACTCCATGTTCACAATCATTAAACGTTCACACTGAACATTAAAGACACACAGAACAGCTTTCGACTTGGTCTGTCCAGAGGCAGAGAAAAAAAGACCTTCAGAATAAATAGCTTATTTATGTGGGGCTGAATAACCTCGGTGATGGGTTAATAGTTGCAGTGAACAATCACGGAAAAGTTTACCTATGAAATAAACCAGTATGCCCTGCATATGTACCCTGGAACTTAATATAAAATGAAATTGAATACATTAAATAAAAAAAAAGCTTTCTTTTTGTAGAGGTGAGGTTACAGTAACTTTGAAATGTGTGCCACACTTTATTTAAGACATTTTTGTAATTGCAATTCGAAGTTGCCAGAAACTACATTGAAAAGTAAATAAGTAATATATCTCAATTCTTAATTGATTTAATTTATTTTCTTTTATTTTTATAAAGGAATCTCACACTGTCTCTTTGGCTGGAGTACAGCAGTGCAATCTTGGCACACTGCAACCCCCTGCTTCCCGGTTTCAAGTGATTATTCTGCCTGAACTTCTTGATTAGCTTAGATTACAGGTGAGCACCGCTACACCTGATGGGGTTTCACCATATTGGCCAGGCCTGTCTCAAGCTCTTGGCTTCAAGTATGCTGCCTGCCTTGGCCTCCAAAAGTGCTGGAATTACAGATGTGAGCCACCACACCTGTCCCTTGATTGAATTTCTAATTGAGAAAACATTCATCTTGCAAAAACTTATTTTTTATATCATATTTTTGATGTTTTTCTTTATATGTTTCGTAATTCAAGAAAAATAATGTAACTTTAATGCCTTATTATTATTGAAAATAAATTTATTTCCATTAATATGTAATTTAAAAAGTAGGTTAATTTAGAATGCTATTTTTGTTTTGGGTAAAGTTCTCAGGTTTTAGAAATTTCTTCAATAATCTAATTTTGGAAATGAATTACATGCATTGACTGTTCTTGGGTTTTTTGAAATGATTTTTCTTTGGAACAAAATTCAAAATTGTTTCAAAATATAATGAGATTTTAATTATGTCAAATAAACATAAAAGTATTTTCTTGAAAAGACATATTTTTCATAACATATGTTTTCTACTAATAACCTGTGATTTATTTTTCTAACTTACCAAGAATTAATTGATGTTGTTGTCTTCCCTGCATCAAAAGTTTAACTGTAATGTCTAAGAAATAAAAAAACTGCCAGAAGAGCCAGCTCTTCCAGTCTGTTCCTCTTCCATTACCATCAATCCTGGTTTTGATCTGCTTGTAGCACCAGCTATTGGCTGTGTAAAGAACCTTAAAAAGATAGTAGACTGTTTGAATGCAATATATTACAGAGAGAAAGCAACAACTAGTGAATTTTTACATTATAAAGCTGTTTTTCTTCAGGAATAATAGTTTACTTTGAAAGTCTACTTTTTATTTAGAAGGAATTAACTCATAGTTTTCTTGCTTGTTTGCTTTTGATCAACTAGTTTAACATTTTGTAGCCATCAGGTATATATTTAAAACCGTTTATGTCAGACAATATTAAATTTAAAAAAATATATGTATTTCTTAAGTGCTCCCCTATACTTGGTGTTGGTAACCAAAGTGGGTTTTATTGAATCCCATGTTAAAAAATACTGAAACCTCAGAGTATCCAGAAGCCAAATTTAATGGTCCAAATTTTATATTTAAAATGTATGCATTAAAATGATTTTTATAACCCAAACCTCGAAGTTACTTAATGTTATTTTAGTTAAATTCTAAGAGAGGTATGGCTTTAAAAATCATAATGTGAGAAGAAAACTTTTGAGTGAATTTTATTACTTCTAAATGTCCACATAAGTCCAACAAAGTAAGTATCAATGTTCAAATCTTACACAGAACAGAAACTCAGCCTGTGAGTTAATATAAGTAAATGAGCAAATGATAACAAAATTCAGCTTATTTCAAGAGAAAACCAAGGATTAATAATACAGTTAACAACAGCATTCTGTACAGATCTTTAATTGATGAATGTGAAATTCTATTTGTTTACGTTTTTCTCTGGGCGAGTATATTTTCTAGCATATTGTAGGAGTTTCTAGCTAAACTCACCACTTAAAAAGTCAGATCTTTATTTGTCTCGTGAGATCTATGTAAAGAGAAGAGTTTCCCTCTTAAAAACACCTTGTATGTTAATTTATTTAACAATTGAATTGACATAGTTTATATATGTATATATATATTCAAAAGACAGTTTTTAAAATAAACCCTTTTTTAAAAAAACAAACAGATGTGATGGCATTAAACTATGTACCTAAGGGGTCTGAAGTTAAAAATCTGTAATGGTCACTTGATTTATTGTTAGTATGAAAATTCAAAGTACTCTTTCAAAATGGCTGTGATGACAAATGAGTTGTCATCAATATTAATTTGTCACGTGATGGAAAGAAGAGTGGGCAGAATTATGATTTTCATAGTACAAGCATTGTTTTTTCTTCTGATCTCAGGTTGTGAAGCACTTTTTGAGTGGGAATATCTGCTCTCTGTTAGATCTCACCTGCCAGAAATATTTGCGGGACTCAAAAATGCTGGTGCTACTTATCATATGAATGCTGTGATCCAGCAGCCATATATATCTATATATATGTTATAGATATACATACGTGTGTGTATGTGTTTCCCCCCACACTGAAAACAGTATTCTTGCAATTGAATGCATAGGTAAAAATATAGATAATGATTGTTTGAAGATGAGAAGCAGAACAGTGAGGTAAATTCTAATTATTAATTACTAATAGTTTGAAGATTCTGATAGCAGCTACGGTTTTTCTCTCTGCAATTATTGTTCTTTAAAAGAATTTGTGGTAAGTACATTTTTATAATGTGGCTAAAATCGCTGAGAAACTATGACTGTTATATTTATATTGTCTGTGTTTCATAAGCTGTGCTTATTTTTAAAATTCTCTAATATGTTTTTATGAAATTAGAGCTTTTTCTGCTAAAGAATCAAATGTGTTCTTCAAATTATGCTCCCTGATTTTGTAAAAAATATTAGTTAAGAATTATCATAACACTGCCTATGAAAAGTTTAATTTGAACATAAAGCAGTAAAAAATTAGGTTACAGTGGTGATCACCTATTTAGGATACACCTCCAAATAAGTAAACATGGAACACCTAAATTTTGGTAATGTTTATACTCAAGATCTTTATTATTATTATTATTATTATTATTATTAATTTTACTTTTTGTGTGGATATTGATAAAAACTAAATTAAAAAATCAGAATAGTTTTACTGTAATAAATTGTTTTCCTACAATGTCTTCATTTTTTCCTTTCAGTTGGCAGAAATAGTTTGTCTTTCAGTTACCAGTGTCCCAGCATTTAATGATTTATAGACATTACAAAACACACACTTTCTTCCTCTTTCTTAGACCCAGAAAATTATATCATCCAAGCATTGCAGTTGGGGTAGCTTTACTTTTAGTAGAATCTTCATATGGGATGTTCACCAATACTTGGTTAACAGACACTATTGGAAGAAAAGTTGGAAGGTAATTTCTGACATGATAGCCCGTGTTACCCCTAGGGCGTTGAATTTAACACATATAGAGATGGTTAATCACAACAGCAAGAAGCAGATGAAACAGAATATAAAATTTCAAATTAGGTATCTTACCTTTGGACTTGGTTGCTTGTGATTTATGTTGTCTCATTACTGTACTGTGGCATGTATATCTGCCTTGTTCCTTTTTCTATGCAATGAGCTTCTCTAGGGCAGGAACTGGGGATTGTTTATTTCTTCATCACAAACCTATGACACAACGAAAACAATAAGAAACCTCTCAGATACTTGGAAAGCAACTGTACTTTGCTCTATGGCTACAATCATGTTTTGACTTTTGGAGCTTCTCTCTATGCCCCCCACCCCATCCTTCCAAAACTAGGGTTAATAGGCATATTTATTCAGTGTTAATAATTCTGATTTCATCATGTAAATAATCTTATGTAATTTGGAAAATGCATTATTCCCAGAAGAAGATACAGAATCCTACAAAGACTAAGTAACTTATTCCCCCAAAGTTACTTATTCCCCAAAGTTACTCATGGCAGAGGACTCATTTGTCTTACTCCTGCCTGCTTGAACAAATTTTACTATATTATATTATCTCCAGTGTAGGTTATTATTTTATGAATCTTTTATGATAACTTTTCTGTAAACCCAGTTATAATAGTCTATGTTTGAACTGAGCAATAAGAGTAAAAAATAAAAAGTAATTTAAGTGTTTTGAAAATTAGGAATGTACAAAATGTATATAATTTTATTCAGCAAGTTTTTTATTTGTTTCAACTTCTTTCCTTATATTTATAAAGTTAAATGAGTGCATTACTGATTTTTTGGTCATTAATGTTGATCCCCAAGGTAATTTATCAGAATATTTTTATTAATTGGAAGACAATCCAGAGTTAATAAAGACAGAAGATAGAAAAGAGAACAATATTTGTGTCATAAGACATCTTCAAGACATCTTTGTTCATTGAGCTGTTTTCAAAGTACAATCATATGTACCCAAAGAATTTTGGTAACAGTTATGGTAAATTTTAGGTGAGTGATTATTTCAGTTGTATAAAAGCCTCAATAAGTTAACTAAATATTACTGAGGCAAAATACTTCATTTAAGAGACATTATATTAAGTGAAATTTGCCAGGAAATATAAAGCGCAAGGATTGGTTGATTTTATTCATATGTGAGAAATAACAAAGTTGATCTCATATAGGTAGAGAATAGAATGACAGATTATTATAGGCTATGAAAGACATTAAGCAAATAAATGAGTTAGTTAATGTGTAAAAAATAGTTAGAAAGAATAGGTTCTAAAGTTTGATTGTATAGGAGGGAGGTTATAGGTATGAATAATTTATTATAGATTTCATAATAACTAGAAGTTTAGATTTGGAAAGTTCTTGAAACAAATATGTCATATATGTCGGAAATGACTAATATACCAATTACCAGTATGCCATTTAAAAATTTGGTCATTGCTGATTTTGTGCATGTATCAAGATAACGGTTCTACATTGTAAATATGGAAAATTATAATGCATCAGTTTAAAAATGATAAATAGTGGTCTGTTTAAATAAGAAATTTCACTAAATGTGGCCATTTCTGAATTGTAAAAACCTCTTTCTCTCTACACATTGGGACTTTGTGATCCAAATTCTGATTTTAGAAGTACTTGCGACATGTTCTTGGGCAGACTGAGGACATGGCAGAAAAGCCACACATGCCCCTCTTCAGCATTAGCTGGAAATTGTGGTCCAGGGCTCTCCTGGATGCCATGAAACAATATGTGCCATTGGAAAGATAATTACTAGGTTTTCTTGCCTTAGTGTTGAGACAGCTTCTTTGACTGAAGACCATAAAATAATTATAAAACTTGCAACACGTATAAAGTGTTGGGCAAATTAAAGAAACAGTCTAATGAGGAAGTGCTCAGAAGACTTTCAAATAACATAAAAAGATGGTTTTATAGAGGAAAATATTACCAGGGAAGTGCAATGAGATGATGATCCTATTCAAGAGCAGGCAGTCTGGTATTTTCTAGCATGTAGTTTGCAATAACCTCAGGAATTACTGGATCCCACTGTCACATGGGCAATGCCCTTTGAAGAGCTCCCTATTGACAACAACAACCTGCTTAGTTGATGAATGGCAGTTTCAAAGTGGGTGTATAATGTCCTGTTGCAAGGCTCTCATAGAGACCAGAAATGAAGACCAGTTGAAGATTGAATGAGTAAATTAGCTCAATGATTGAACTCTATGCTGTTAAATGATTGTTTTATAAAGGCAATTGTTTGAATTCATGAGTCGTAAACAGTAATCAGTATCCTGGCCATGTGAACAATAGAAAACTGGACTTTCAAACAGATGCCAGTATGTGATACACGGACTTTCAATGGGCTGAATCATATCCTGGCATCCACTTAATAGTAGAAATTTAAGGGGTACCTTAAATAAGGACATGTTGATCCCCATTTGAAGAATCTTCTGCAGGATGATTGGGAGGTCATTAGAAACAGGACATCATGATGTAGTCCCTTGAAGTGGCAACCTTAAAGAGGTGCAGCAGTAATGCAGAAATGGGATTAATCTAAATATGCTTCTCTTGTACTTTCTAAGGAACAGAAATTCCAAAATCTAAGTCTAGGCCAGAAGAGAAACATAGACTGCAAATAACAATAGTCCATATAGGAAGACACATGACATAGTTGGATTACAATATACCAATATCAGTAGCCCTGATAGTGTATTTATAGGTCTTGACTAATGTAGACTGCATTTTGCATTCATGGTGTTCAATGCTAATGCTTATATACTATAAAAAGATAAAAACATAGTATATTGTAACCGGTTCAAACAAATGAATTGCTGATCCTCACACTATGCAACACACTTCATATCCTACTGTTTCCAACAGGGGCATAGAGATATTACATCAAATAAAAAATTATATTAATTATTTAAAATCAGAAGGCACTTTTATCTTCAGTAAACCCTACATCTAATGACAAAAGCTTTAAAATAATATAGAAATAAACTAGGAGACTTACTGCTTTCAAGGAAAATTGTGACTGGCTAGCAAAACAGTCAGAAATCTTGGCACAATGGTGCTTCAAAGTACTGTGGATTCTGATAATATGCACTTTACTGGAATTAGGTGAAGCAAATTTTAGAAGCATCCCTTAGTAAATTCTACCACAAAAGTGCCCCCAGCACAAAAAAATACAACTTCCCATGCTCCAAACATTGTGACATATGAAAAGTATGTATATTGGTTGTAATATTTAAGAATTCCTATTAAAAATATGGCAATATCTTTATCTCAGCAAGAAATTAAGCTATCAAACATTAAAGGTGAAGAATGTGTAGAATTAAAATCTGCTTGTTTTTTACATTTTTACCCTGTCTTTGATTGTTTCTGGCATAAAAAAATAAGGTTTCTGAGCAATAGAGCTGTTACTCTGGACAACTGCTGTAATTTAGGTAATTCCAATTTTTGGCTACATGAACTTGGTGAGAAGTCATGCTAAATGTTATAGCACACTAAAATCTTTTAAATGATTAACCTGGCTGGGTGCCATGACTCAAAATAATCCCAGCACTTTGAGAGGCTGAGGAGGGTGGATCGTGAGGTCAGGAGATCCAGACCACCCTGGCTAACAAGGTGAAACCTTGTCTCTACCAAAAATACAGAATTAACCAGGTGTGGTGGCACATGACTGTAATCCCAGCTACTTGGGAGGCTGAGGCAGGAGAATCGATTGAACTCCTGGGGTGGAAGTTGCAGTGAGCCAAAATCACAACCATTGCACTCCAGCCGAGGCAACAAGAGTGAAACACCATCAAAAAAAAAAAAAAAAAAAAGGAAAGAAAGAAAGGAAAGAAGAGAGGAAGAAAAGAAAGAGAAAAAACAAAGGAAGAAAGAAAGGAAGAAAGAAAACAAAGAAAGAAAGAAAGAAAAAGAGAGAAAGAAAGAAAGAAAAAGAGAAAGAAAGAGAAAGAAAAAAGGTAAGAAAAGAAAAGAGAAGACTGCATTACTCTTGTTGTGGCTAATCTTCCCAGAAAATTTTAACAAAAATATTCGTTTTAACTTAGAAGTGTTCATAAATGGTATTTATTTATATTTTGATCAGTATTTGTTTTTTAGTAAACTTTGTATTAAAGCCCGTAAAATGGTTAATTTTTACTGTCTCTGCATTTTGAGAAAGAATAAATAAATTACTTTATGCTCTTCTTGAAATATCACAAATTTTTATGAACTAGGACAAGGTAGTACCTATTGACAAAGAAAATGTCACAAGGGTAAAATAAAACATGACCACACTTAAAGTATTCTTCTTCTGGGCCGGGCGCGGTGGCTCACGCCTGTAATCCCAGCACTTTGGGAGGCCGAGGCGGGCGGATCACGAGGTCAGGAGATCGAGACCATCCCGGCTAAAACGGTGAAACCCCGTCTCTACTAAAAATACAAAAAATTAGCCGGGCGTAGTGGCGGGCGCCTGTAGTCCCAGCTACTTGGGAGGCTGAGGCAGGAGAATGGCGTGAACCCGGGAGGCGGAGCTTGCAGTGAGCCGAGATCCCGCCACTGCACTCCAGCCTGGGCGACAGAGCGAGACTCCGTCTCAAAAAAAAAAAAAAAAAAAAAAAAAAGTATTCTTCTTCTGATCATCTTGCCAAAGCTGTCCTAGATAATTCTTTCCTTTTTTTTTTCTAGTAGGTGCTTGATACAATTTTTTTATTAGACTTTAAGTTTTAGGCTACATGTGCACAATGTGAAGGTTAGTTACATACGTATACATGTGCCATGTTGGTGTGCTGCACCCATTAGCTTGTCATTTAACATTAGGTATATCTCCAAATGCTATGCCTCCCCACTCACCCCATCCCACAACAGTCCCCAGTGTATGATGTTCCCCTTCCTGTGTCCATGTGTTCTCATTGTTCAATTCATACCTATGAGTGAGAATATGCAGTGTTTGGTTTTTTGTCCTTACGATAGTTTGCTGAGAATGATGATTTCCAGCTTCATCCATGTCCCTACAAAGGACATGAATTCATCAGGTTTTAGGGCTGCATAGTATTCCATGGTGTATATGTGCCACATTTTCTTAATCTAGTCTATCATTGTTGGATATTTGGCTTGGTTCCAAGTCTTTGCTGTTGTGAGTAGTGCCACAATAAACATACATGTGAATGTGTCTTTAAAGAAGCAAGATTTATAATCTTTTGGGTATATACCCAGTAATGGGATGCCTGGGTCAAATGATATTTCTAGTTCTACATCCCTGAGGAACTGCCACACTGACTTCCACAATGGTTGAACTAGTTTACAGTCCCACCAACACTGTAAAAGTGTTCCTACTTCTCCACATCCTCTCCAGCACCTGTTGTTTCCTGACTTTTTAATCATTGCCATTCTAACTGGTGTGAGATGATATCTCATTGTGGTTTTGATTTGCATTTCTCTGATAGCCAGTGATGATGAACATTTTTTCATGTGTCTTTTGGCTGCATAAATGTCTTCTTTTGAGAAGAGTCTGTTCATATCTTTTGCCCACTTTTTGATGGTTTTTTTTTTTCTTGTAAATGTGTTGGAGTTCATTATAGATTCTGGATATTAGCCCTTTGTCAGATGAGTAGATTGCAAAAATTTTCTCCCATTCTGTAGGTTGCCTGTTCACTCTGATGGTACTTTCTTTTGCTGTGCAGAAGCTCTTGAGTTGAATTAGATCCCATTTGTTAATTCTGGCTTTTGTTGCCATTGCTTTTGGTGTTTTAGACATGAAGTCCTTGCACATGCCTATGTCCTGAATGGTATTGCCTAGGTTTTCTTCTAGGGATTTTATGGTTTTAGGTATGACATTTAAGTCTTTAATCCATCTTGAATTAATTTTTATATAAGGTGTAAGGAAGCATCCAGTTTCAGCTTTCTACATAGCCTGTTTTCACAGGACCATTTATTAAATAGGGAATCCTTTCCCTATTTCTTATTTTTGTCAGGTTTGTCAAAGATCAGATAATTGTAGATATGTGGCATTATTTCTGAGGGCTCTGTTCTGTTCCATTGGTCTATATCTCTGTTTTGGTACCAATACCATGCTGTTTTGGTTACTGTAGCCTTGTACTATAGTTTGAAGTCAGGTAGTGTGATGCCTCCAGCTTTGTTCTTTTGGCTTAGGATTGACTTGGCAATGCACGCTCTTTCTTGGTTCCATATGAACTTTAAAGTAGTTTTTCCAAATTATTTGAAGAAAGTCATTTGTAGCTTGATGGGGATGGCATTGAATCTATAAATTGCCTTAGGCAGTATGGCCATTTTCATGATACTGATTCTTCCTACCCATGAGCATGGAAGGTTCTTCTATTTGTTTGTAACCTCTTATTTCATTGAGCAGTGGTTTGTAGTTCTCCTTGTAGAGGACCTCCACGTCCATTGTAAGCTGGATTCCTAGGTATTTTATTCTCTTTGAAGCAATTGTGAATGGGAGTTCACTCATGATTTGGCCCTATGTCTGTTATTGGTGTATAAGAATGCTTGTGATTTTTGCACATTGATTGTGTATCCTGAGACTCTGCTGAAGTTGCCTATCAGCTTAAGGAGATTTGGGGCTGAGACAATGGGGTTTTGTAGATATGCAATCATGTCATCTGCAAACAGGGACAATTTGACTTCCTCTTTTCCTAATTGAATACCCTTTATTTCTTTCAATAACTTCTTTTTCTTAATTTGAAGTCACAGCTGATATGTTACCAAATATGTAAGGAAATAAAATTGAAGACCATATAAGTAAAGATCAAAATGAGTTTGAAAAAGAAAAATAAAAATTTATGTATGTATGTATTTATTTATTTTTACCTGTTCATACATAAATCCTGTTGGATGAGGACATAATGTGGCATCTTCTGTTGAAGAGGACTTACGCTCATCTAAGGAATCTTGATTATCTGGCTTCAAATTCAAAATATTTAAAAAGATTGACAATTTTATTATGAAAGTAACTTTATACCTTATATTTAATTTTCTTCATTTAGAATAAACTTCTAAGAAATGCAAAAAAGCTGGCATCTTTAACATCTTCACAACTCCTGCAAATGATGTATAAGTCAGGGAAAAATCTGAATTATTCTAGCTGTGTAATTTCTAGACCATTTCACATCAGTCATTTCCAAAAGAAAACCTACTTTTTAAGGTCAAAGAAACCAATGTTAACCATTTAATAAAATAAATATTTTTAAGGGAAATATTAATACATAAACATTGGCTTACACATTTAAAAATGACTTCTCTTTTTCCCAGATTTATCTGCTTCCTTTGGGTGCTTCCCCTCGTCCCCTCATGTGGACTCAGTTTGCAAGGTTTTGCAAGTGTCATCCTAACACTATTTGATCTGCCTAAGACATAACCATTTGATGTTTTATTGTTTTGTGCTGGAGACCAACTTTTGTAGGCATACTGAATTGTTTCCAGTACATGGTCTAGTTTCAAGTTTCTATATCCACTAAACAAGTCAATTTTCTTTTCTTTTCTTTTCTGTTTCTTTTCCACGTGAAAGCGCAAACACAGTCCTTCATTTCCATAAATTATGCAGTTGAGTTTCCCACAATTTTGTAAATCTCAGGGGTCGGCACATCCATAGTGCAATAGATCAGTCTTGCCCTGGGAAGTTGGATTCCTAGGTATCTCCCCTGTCAGGGAAGTATCCATTTTCTTTTTAAGACTTCCATTATCCTTTGAAAGAAAATACAACTATAAATGTAATAGAAGTTAGAATAACTTTCAGTATCAGCTTAAAATGTCAATTTCAATCATCCATGATTATCCTCTTCTATAAAAGTTCTTAACTCTGACACAGGCTTCCACAAAATTGTAAGAAAAAACACTACGGTAAACAATGAAACAACCGTTAAATAAAACTACCATACATTTTACACACCGATATGCTCATTTTTGATAATGACTCTTAGAGTGTTCTATTGTATCTAACAGTCATTTTCGCTCTGCTGGAATTTTATTATATGCACTATGAGCTTTAAAATAAGCAGATGAAAATAATCTGTAATATCTAGTAGTAGCTAATATTTTATTGCCTAATATGTGCCTAATATTTTATTGCCTAATATGTGCTAATATTTTATTGCCTATTATGTAACAAGTTTTTGAGGTAATCTAATTAATATCAGAGTTAGTTCCCTAAGAGGGTAGCACTAGTAAATCCATTTAACAAATAAAAAAATCAATTACTGTTAGGAGAAATACTTTGCCAAATGTTACATATTTAGCCAGTTGAGGAGCTAGCAATCTGACTAAAACATCTGATCTCTTGGCATGTTACTAATTTAAAATGTTTTGGCTAAATATACTATCCATGCATTATTAAAAGTGAATTAAAAACAGTCAGGCTTTATTACTTTTCATAGTTCTATTTTTTATTCTACACATAGGATTATGCTCTGTGGCCCAGGCTGGACTACAGTGGCATGATGATAGCTCATAGCTCAATGAGGTCTCACACTCCAGGGTTCAAGGAATACTCCTGCCTGAGCCTTCCAACTACTTGGGATTAGAGAAATGCCTCACCATATTCACTCACCTCATTATTTTTATTAAAGAGGAATAGCCTTTTAAGACTAACTTTTTGAATAAAAAAGAAAAACTTGTTTGGTAGTCACTCATTTTTCAGAGACAACATTTAAGAATGTAAAGCAAGAATCCCATGATGATAGAACAGCAATATAAATTGGCAGTAGAAAATTGATTTCAATTCTAATAGTGTAAGAACACACACATGATGGCTAAAGCAATTTTCAATGGCAACAATAAAATTTTCCTGATTTGCTAATAATCAGTCATTTTTCTTCTAGGTCTGGCTAAATTGCAACATATTGACACTGAAAATTGTTTACTCTTCTTAAGAGTCAATATTAAAAATGCAAAAAATAGAGACTTCTACCTTTTTTGTCATTACCATGAAAGATAAATAAAATTGTTTTTTTCTCTCTACCATGTGTCTTACTTAATATAGTAATATTATATTCCAAGTCAGAAGCTATGTTTTTTTTTTTTTGCCATAGGAGCATTTATAATATAAATTTCTTTTGAAAAAGGTAATTTGTGTAATCTAATTATTTCAGGTAAGGAATAACATGGATAGACTTCTTGTAACACTGACAGTACATATTTCATTGTATTATTCTCTTAAAAATTATAATAAAGTGAAAATCAAGTCATTTGCCACATTATCAATAGTATCATTTGTTTTCACGTGCAATTTGGATTAATATTATCTTTGCCTATATTGTTATCTGCTGCCTTGAACAGTGGTTGGTACATAGCAGATGTTGATATATATCTGTTGATATATATCTGAATAACGCCTATTGAATAGACTAAATATTCATTACACAAAACATTTCAAGCTAATCTTAATAAGGAGAATACTAAATTCTTGCAAAAAACCCACATTAATCTACATTCACTGTTTTCCACATTAACCCAACATGTATAATTTTACTGTAATCACTTCCTTGAATGAGATGAGGTTAAGATGTGATTTAGCCTTACTTTAGAGCAAATAAAAGAAGTTACATAGTAAACAATATATGACTACAAACTATTTTTTAAATGGTATAAATTAAACCCCATTGATAGAGACTCTTAATGTCGTTTTACAACATTAATTAATCTGCTTGAAATCTATGATGGTGGACCAAAGAACAATTAGAAAAATTTAATTGTTAAAATCTAACATTTTCAGTTGTTTAAAATTTAAGATTATGATTTGGCTTTAATCATCGTGTTCTACAACTTTATAATACCTTTAGTTTATTATCAGGTTTTCAGTATGCTTATTATAATGTCTATTGAGTGAAAATCAGGTTTTTTAGTATGCTTATTATAATGTCTATTGAGTGAAAATTGTGTATGATTTTGTGTTTGGGGGGGCGTGTGTGTATAGAGTTTCCAGTTATATACTATGATTTGTTTCTACAATCCTATAACAATAAAACTTTTAATCTCCTAGCAGAGTTGGGTAACTAATTCTGGTCAATCTTAGTCTTATTTTACTGCAGATGACACAGCTAAGAATTCTAGAAGAAGGCTAAAGATCTGTCTTGAGTGTAACCACAGTTTTTTAAAATTATAATTTTTCTCAAAACCAATTTGGCCAAGGTTGTGAAACCCCATCTCTTCTAAAAATATAAAATTATCCAGGTGTGGTGGTGGACACTTGTAATCCCAGCTACTCAGGAGGGTGACACACAGAATTGCTTGAACCCAGGAAGCGGAGGTTTCAGTGAGCCGAGATTGCGTTCCTGCCCTCCAGTCTGGGTGACAGAGTGAGACTCCCTCAAAAAAACAAACAAACAAACAAAAACTCTCCTTCTTACATACAAGTTAAACTAACTACTTATAGAGGCTATGGATTGTTTTTGGATAACTTAATGTTATCTACCATGATAACATTAACTTTTTTTAAAAAAGTTTCCATTCAATGACATTCCTTTCTATGACTTTTTTTCATTGTTACATCTGTAGTAACACATGTATTGTTTTAGATGATTCCAAATTCTGGACATAGGTATCCAACTCCCCATTACAATTTTCTATTTGATCTCCCATATGCTTCTAAATCACAATCCGCTCAGATTCTTTTCTTTCTATCAGTAAATTGCATTACTATTCCCTCAGCATATCAAATCACACAAGAGACATAGGTGTTAACATCTCTTTCCTATTCCACTTCCTCAAATATCCAATTACCAACACCTACCTATTGTAACTCATAAAGAGCTCGTGAATCTGTCCACACATATGTTCCACATTGCCAGTTTTTCTTTTTTATTATACTTTAAGTTTTAGGGTACTTGTGCACAATGTGCAGGTTAGTTACATAATACAGAGTACCCACAATCTTTTTCTACACATAATTTTGAATACTTTCTTACTGTGGTTTATTGTGAAACTTTCTATGCTATAGCCAGTGAGATGTTACTAATTTATGCCTTTTGTGATCCTCTAATGGTTTATCAAGTCACACTGAATATCGCACATAATTGCTAAAAAGTCAAGTTATGTCAATACTAAGTCTGTACCAACTAGCTATTTAGAAAAAAAAAAGCTTAACAAAGCAAGTATTTTTTACTGCAAGATGCTTTTTACCTCCAAATCTAAGTCATATACTCCCTACAACAGGCAGCAGGTCACTTTGTATTTTTCTTGTTTATTATGAAGCTTTGTATCCCACCTGGGCTGTTTATTCAGTACTGTATTTTCAAAATCATAATTAAGACAGATTCAAAACACTTTATCTGAAATTCAAAATGCTCAATTAAGCAAGGCTTTTAAAAATAAGGTTGGTATGTAATTTGATTTCTGATGTAATAAAGACTTAATTGAGGGAAGCTATTAAGTCTTCATTCATGTACCCTTCATCCTTAAAGGGAATATTCATTTCTCTTCATAGAAACATTAGTATGTTTGATTCTTGGGTACCTTTGGGGCCTCACAAGGAATAGTACACAATGTGTTGCAAATGTGTTGACTCAGTTTCCTCAAATTCAAAAATTCCTAAAACCTAAAACACACTGCCTAAATGCCTTCAGATGTATAAATGTATAATGAATCTTGTCAATTAAAATTACACTTAGGTTATATTATAAACCAATCATGTGTTGTGTATGAGCCACTGAAATCTCAAGTTAAATTGTGCAAAACAAATTTTTTTTGAGTTCTTAAGTTTTATATTTTTACATTTAAAATAAATATTGTATTTATATTTGAATATATGCTCCTACTCTACTAAAAGTATCCCAGCATCTCAGATGTAGTCAGGCAAGGATGAGAAAAAAGAAAGCACAGAGATGATCAGAGCAGGAAGAGTAAAGGGTCAAATTTGTTTCCTCTTGAAGGTAAATAAAATAACACTTTCATTACAGGAATGTGTGACCATAGAACTTAGTTTTGATAGTAAAATGTTTGTGACTTTAACAAGTTACATGAAGTGAAATCCTAATTGTCTGAGTCAATCATTCATATGTGTGACATAATATTTATCAACATCACATATAAATGTAAAATTTAATAGTAATTAAATTTTAACTATATCCATAAATTAGTAACTTTGAAATGTTGCCCTAACACTGAAAACAGTACAAATATTTTTGTTTTACATTTTTGACAATCTATCAATGCCTTTAGTACTACTGTGCAATAGGTTGATGTGAGAAAAATCAGGCTACCCTAAGAGAGATTTAGTGAAAATCACATTTCTTAATTTATGTTAACATCAACAAAAAATTTAAGTAAATTATTTATTTACATTGTAACTGTTTATTTTACTTTATTTTAACAAAAACACACATACGTTCTAAAAGTTTCTCATAGAAGACATTTTTAAAACTGACAAACAAAATGACCAGTTGAGATCCCTTAAGGATATAGATTCCTTTTCCAAGTTCTAGAAATTCTGATTTAGATAGTGTGGCATATGACCTGGAAGCCAGTAGTTTTCAAAAAGCAATACTAAGAGATAACGTCTGCTGGGCACAGTGACTCAAGTCCGTGATCACAGCACTTTGAGAGGACGAGATGTGCAGATCACAAGGTCAGGAGAGAGACCATCTTGGCCAATATATATATTAGCCAGGCATGGTGGCATGCCTGTAGTCCCAGCTTTTAGGGAGGCTGAGGCTGAGGAATCACTTGAACATGGGAGGTGGAGGTTGCAGTGAGCCAAGATCTTGCCCCTGCACTCCAGCCTAGCCACAGAGCTAGTCTCCATCTAAAAAAAAAAAAAAAAAAAAAAGAGAGAGAGAGAGAGAAAGACAACATCAATCAGGTACAATATCTAAACTTAAAGATTACCAGAAAAATGAAACAAGTGCATAAATAACCTGAGAATACATGAAATACATTAAAGTTACACAGATTTGGGATGCATTTATATATATTTATATGTATATGTATGTATGTATATGGAATATTGCTTGTACTTTAGGATGCTTTACATATTATAATGATTAAAATGTGCTTCTCATTTAATATTTTAAAATAAAAACCTAATTGACATAAAATTATGAAAATATCTTACCTAAACTGGCATATGTTACAAACAGTTAAATATATTTCTGTAAATATAATAGCTATGCTCTGTATATTTTCTTCTCAGGAGATTAAATACTCCTCTTAGTAACTGATCACCCTTGTTCAAGTTGTTACATTTCTGTGAAAAATAAGTATTCATTGGTGTAATAGAATCAAGATTACAAAACAGCTTCTATTTGAATAAAGAGTCCTGTTCTTATAAAGAGCAAACATCTCACACAGAAAATTATTAAATACAAATTCCTATTTGAGAGAGAAAATAAAGAGCTTTGGTAAATTTTTTTGTAGATTTTGTATGCTGTTCTAATTAAAATAACAACAACACTTCCACAACTTCAACAGAATAATTAAAGTCATTTAATTATTCGTATTATCACTAATTTTAATTTTATGTTACAGTGTTTTTACTAAAATACCCTTCAATTTAATGAAAAGTTAATTTAAAAAAATAAACCTTGGGGATTTCCTTAATAACTGTGAATATTCAATACACAAAATAATTTAATCTTGTTTTTCAGAGGGCCAAGAAATCACTCTTCATTACCATAAAATAACTTTTAAAACTCACAGGTGTTATAATGTTTCTATAATATAAAGCATGCATTTGTGTAAGGCAAATACATCAAATAGAGCCATATAAATTTGCTGATTTGAATTTACAGACAACAGAATTTACTTCTAAGTATATAATTACTCCAAAACAAACAAACAAAGAAAAAAACTAATGGTTGTGCAATTACCTGACTAGAAATTGATGGAACAGGAGCACCTTCATCTTGAACAAATATCACCACTTTAACATCCAACTCTCTTTTTAGCCTCATGCATTTCAAGGAAATCACTTGTCTTCTAACTACAAATAGTAAGCACATTCCTTTCCCTTCAGGTGCAGTAAGATAAGGAAGCTAGAAGCAGACATGGGAAATATGCCTGCAACTCCAGAAAGATGTATGAAAACAGACCCACAGCTCTCTCTGTCAGATAACCACAACAAAGAGACACAGAAGCCGTCCAAGACTCTGACAAACTCTCTGAGACTGAATCTTGAAAATCTCTTAGTCTGTTAAGAGAATGTGGCTCTGACTTAACCTGGCCAGCCACCCCTCTCAGGTTGATTCAAAATAAACCTGTCCTTGTTGACAGTCATGCTGCCCTTTGGGTTTCTCACCTCTTTCTTTAATTTTTACATTTGGTGCTGAAACCCAGGACCAGTGTTGGGGGTAGAGGCCCCGTTGGATCCCAGGAAGCTGTGGGCAGTGGCAGCTTATCCTAAGTTAACTCCTGGATCCTGAGTGTCTCTGGCCACCTGCCCCAACTTTTCTTTCATTTTACTCTTCAAGCAGTTTGTGTGAGAAGGACAAATGACCTGAAGGAAACTGCAAGGCTCAGGCCAGGTCTATAAAACCCTCAAGTCTCAGGAATCCACCCCTAACACTGGCTCCCTCTTTCCTCTTCTCTCTCTCTTCCTCTCTCTCTCCCTTTCTCTCTCTCTCTCTCTCCCTTTGTCTCTCTCTCTCTCTCTCTCTCTCTCTCTCTCTCTCTCTCTCTCTCTCTCTCTCATTCTCTTACTCTCTGTTCCTCATATAGCTCCAGTCTTGGAGTCCCTTTGACAATTCCAAGTGGAACATCCAACAGACAACACTAATTCAGTCGTCTGGTAAGATCTACCTTTTCCTGGCTTTCTCTTGGTACTGGAGAAAGTCCAGCCTGCTGTCGAGTTCTTCGAACGACCAATAGGACTAAGCTAGAGGAAACCTTGGGGACATGTAGTGCTTTCTCAGTGTAACTGTCCTCTTTCATAAAGAGGATTCCGGGTCTCTGTCTATTGTCTGGGGACATTTAGAACAAAACAGACATTTTTCAAAATACCTTTATAGCAAATCCAGCTTCCCAGAAATGCTAATTGTTAAGTACGAGAATGTAAAAATATATTATTCAATTGTACCAAGGGGAAAGGTTTAGTGTTACTGCCATTTACAGGAAAAACAAACAAAACAACTTAACACGTTTTACATAAAGTTAAAAATTGCTAAAATTTCATTATAACATGTAATCAAAAGTGCTAAACATTAATTTTCATGCAAGGTGTATAAAAACAATAAAAAAATTGTAAAAAGATATAAAAATGTACATTTTGATTAAAAATTTAAAAATTGGTTTGGGAAGACACTGAGCTAGCTTGAAGAGTTTTTTTTTTTTTTTTTTTTTTTTTTTTTTTTTTTGGTGCCCCAGTGGCACCTGAAATGCCAGAAAGACAGAATGGTTCACTCCCTTGACAGGGGGGAGAAGCCAGGATGCCAAGTTATCTAGCTCAGTGGATGTCATGCCCATGGAGCCCAGCAAGCTAAAATCCACTGCCTTGAAATCCTTGCTGCCAGTGCAGTAGTCTGAAGTTAATCTGGGATGCTTCAGATTGCTGGGGACAGGGGCACCCGCCAATACTGAGGCTCGAGTTGGTGGTTTTCCCTTCACAGTGTAAACAAAGCCACTGGGAAGTCACTGCAGCTCAGCCAAGCTGCTGTAGCCACACTGCCTCCCTAGATTCCTCCTCTCTGGTCAGGTCATCTCTGAAAGAATGGCAGCAGCCCCAGTTAGGGGCTTATAGATAAAACTTCTATCTCCCTGAAACAGAGCATCTGGGGGAAGGAGTGGCTGTAGGTGCAGCTTCAGCAGACTTAAACCTTCCTGCCTGCTGGCTCTGTAGAAAGCTGCAGATCTCCAACAGACTGTCTCCTCAAGCAGATCCATAAATCCCATGCCTCTTGACTGGCGGACTCCTCTCAGCAGGTATCGACAGACACTTCATACAGGAGTGCTCTGACTGGCACCTGGAGGCTGCCCCTCTGGGATGAAGCTTTCAGAGGAAGGAATAGGCAGCAATCTTTGCTTTTCTGCATTCTCTGATAGCGATACACAGACGAAAATGGTCAGAAGTGGACCTGCAGCAAAGTCCAGCACATCTGCAGCAGAAGGGCCTGACTGTTAGAATGAAAACTAGTAAGAGAAAGGCACAGTATCAACATCTACTAAAAAGATTTCCAAAAAAAAAAAAAAAAACCTATTCAAAACTCACCAACGTGAAAGACCAAAGGAATATCAATGCACAAAGATAAAACAACAACAACAACAAGTGCAAAAAGGCAGAAAATTCCAAAAACGAGAATGCCCCTTCTCCTCCAAAAGATCACAATTCCTCACCAGCAAGAAAACAAAACTGAATAGAGAATGAGTTTGAGGAATTGACATAAGTAGGCTTCAGAAGGTGGGTAACAACAAACTCTTCTGAGATAAAGGATAATGTTTTAACCCAAAGCCAGGAAGCTAAGAACCTCAAAAAAAGGTCAGGGAATTGCTTACTGGAATAACCATCTTAGAGAAAAACATGAACAACATGATGGAGCTGAAAAACACAGCACAGAGATTGAAGATCAAGTTAATGCCATAAAGCATGAAGAAAAGATTAGAAAAATGGAATAAAAAGGAAGAAACAAAGTCTCCAAGAATTATGGGACTATGTGAAAAGACTAAAACTACTTTGCTTGTTTGTTTGTGTGTTTGCTTGTTTGTTTGTGTGTTTGCTTGTTTGTTTGTTTGTGATGGAGTCTTGCTCTATTACCCAAGCTGGAGTGCAGGGGTATGATCTTGACTCACTGCAACCTTCTCCTCCCGGATTAAAGGGATTCTCCTGCCTCAGCCTCCTGAGTATCTAAGTTTACAGGTGCACACCATCACACCTGGCTAATTTTTGTATATTTAGTAGAAATAGGGTTTCAGTATGTTTTTCATGTTTGTCTCAAACTCCTGACCTTGTGATCCACCCATCTTGGCCTCCCAAAGAGCTGGGATTACAGGCGTAGATCAAAATGTACAGCTTAAACCTTGCTCTTCTTTTTGGCCAAGACATAACTATACAGTTTTCTGTTCTCTCAACACTAACTTCTATTACATTTGTCATAAATATACTCCCTAAAGCATGAACCTTGCTGTTTCAGAAACCTACAAACTTTGGTCTTTTATCCATCTCTAACCAAACTGTAGTGGAGCTTAGTATGAGCAGAGAGGGGCTTATCATAGATTCACTGTTCATAACAAGAGCTTTGATGTCACATTTAGGCTAAAGTGCCAGCTTCACAGTCAACTGTGACCTGAGAAAGGGGAAGAGTAAACCCTTTTTAGTCGTTTTAGAGAATCATGGTAGTATAGTACCCTGCTCACGGCTACATGCTCAGTAAACAACAAGTCTTATTATTACATATTCCCTAGGGCTATGTTTTATTTCAGCTAAATGCTGATATTCATAGACTCATATAGAAGAATAGGTAGGTAAAAAGGAATGTTATGGTACCTTTTTTATTTTCTAGGGCTCTTGAAGCCCTTGAGATGAACAGTGGAAGGAAATTAATCACTTCTTAAAGTAATTCTCTTTGGAAATGGTGGGATTGGGAGGAGTTCGTTTATGAACAGATATGTAATGGATAAGTTTGATACTCTACTGTTCCATGCAATAGATGTGAACATTTTAAATAAGATTTGAAAGGGATGGACATTTTTTTTTACCATGCACATTTGTGGCATGGCAGGTCAAGAGATATTGCAAAGCCTGAGGATGCCATTTTACAGACATTCTTTTTTTTTTTTTTTTTTGCTTTATTTTTATTTTATTTTATTTATTTATTTATTTATTTATTTTTTATTTTTTATTTTTTTTTATTATACTCTAAGTTTTAGGGTACATGTGCACATTGTGCAGGTTAGTTACATATGTATACATGTGCCATGCTGGTGCGCTGCACCCACTAATGTGTCATCTAGCATTAGGTATATCTCCCAATGCTATCCCTCCCCCCTCCCCCGACACCACCACAGTCCCCAGAGTGTGATATTCCCCTTCCTGTGTCCATGTGATCTCATTGTTCAATTCCCACCTATGAGTGAGAATATGCGGTGTTTGGTTTTTTGTTCTTGCGATAGTTTACTGAGAATGATGGTTTCCAATTTCATCCATGTCCCTACAAAGGATATGAACTCATCATTTTTTATGGCTGCATAGTATTCCATGGTGTATATGTGCCACATTTTCTTAATCCAGTCTATCATTGTTGGACATTTGGGTTGGTTCCAAGTCTTTGCTATTGTGAATAGTGCCGCAATAAACATACGTGTGCATGTGTCTTTATAGCAGCATGATTTATACTCATTTGGGTATATACCCAGTAATGGGATGGCTGGGTCAAATGGTATTTCCAGTTCTAGATCCCTGAGGAATCGCCACACTGACTTCCACAATGGTTGAACTAGTTTACAGTCCCACCAACAGTGTAAAAGTGTTCCTATTTCTCCGCATCCTCTCCAGCACCTGTTGTTTCCTGACTTTTTAATCATTGCCATTCTAACTGGTGTGAGATGATATCTCATAGTGGTTTTGATTTGCATTTCTCTGATGGCCAGTGATGATGAGCATTTCTTCATGTGTTTTTTGGCTGCATAAATGTCTTCTTTTGAGAAGTGTCTGTTCATGTCCTTCGCCCACTTTTTGATGGGGTTGTTTGTTTTTTTCTTCTAAATTTGTTTGAGTTCATTGTAGATTCTGGATATTAGCCCTTTGTCAGATGAGTAGGTTGCGAAAATTTTCTCCCATGTTGTAGGTTGCCTGTTCACTCTGATGGTAGTTTCTTTTGCTGTGCAGAAGCTCTTTAGTTTAATTAGATCCCATTTGTCAATTTTGGCTTTTGTTGCCATTGCTTTTGGTGTTTTGGACATGAAGTCCTTGCCCACGCCTATGTCCTGAATGGTAATGCCTAGGTTTTCTTCTAGGGTTTTTATGGTTTTAGGTTTAACGTTTAAATCTTTAATCCATCTTGAATTGATTTTTGTATAAGGTGTAAGGAAGGGATCCAGTTTCAGCTCTCTACATATGGCTAGCCAGTTTTCCCAGCACCATTTATTAAATAGGGAATCCTTTCCCCATTGCTTGTTTTTCTCAGGTTTGTCAAAGATCAGATAGTTGTAGATATGCGGCATTATTTCTGAGGGCTCTGTTCTATTCCATTGATCTATATCTCTGTTTTGGTACCAGTACCATGCTGTTTTGGTTACTGTAGCCTTGTAGTATAGTTTGAAGTCAGGTAGTGTGATGCCTCCAGCTTTGTTCTTTTGGCTTAGGATTGACTTGGCAATGCGGGCTCTTTTTTGGTTCCATATGAACTTTAAAGTAGTTTTTTCCAATTCTGTGAAGAAAGTCATTGGTAGCTTGATGGGGATGGCATTGAATCTGTAAATTACCTTGTGCAGTATGGCCATTTTCACGATATTGATTCTTCCTACCCATGAGCATGGAATGTTCTTCCATTTGTTTGTGTCCTCTTTTATTTCCTTGAGCAGTGGTTTGTAGTTCTCCTTGAAGAGGTCCTTCACATCCCTTGTAAGTTGGATTCCTAGGTATTTTATTCTCTTTGAAGCAGTTGTGAATGGGAGTTCACCCATGATTTGGCTCTCTGTTTGTCTGTTGTTGGTGTATAAGAATGCTTGTGATTTTTGTACATTGATTTTGTATCCTGAGACTTTGCTGAAGTTGCTTATCAGCTTAAGGAGATTTTGGGCTGAAACGATGGGGTTTTCTAGATAAACAATCATGTCGTCTGCAAACAGGGACAATTTGACTTCCTCTTTTCCTAATTGAATACCCTTTATTTCCTTCTCCTGCCTGATTGCCCTGGCCAGAACTTCCAACACTATGTTGAATAGGAGTGGTGAGAGAGGGCATCCCTGTCTTGTGCCAGTTTTCAAAGGGAATGCTTCCAGTTTTTGCCCATTCAGTATGATATTGGCTGTGGGTTTGTCATAGATAGCTCTTATTATTTTGAAATACGTCCCATCAATACCTAATTTATTGAGAGTTTTTAGCATGAAGGGTTGTTGAATTTTGTCAAAGGCTTTTTCTTCATCTATTGAGATAATCATGTGGTTTTTGTCTTTGGTTCTGTTTATATGCTGGATTACATTTATTGATTTGCATATATTGAACCAGCCTTGCATCCCAGGGATGAAGCCCACTTGATCATGGTGGATAAGCTTTTTGATGTGCTGCTGGATTCGGTTTGCCAGTATTTTATTGAGGATTTTTGCATCAATGTTCATCAAGGATATTGGTCTAAAATTCTCTTTTTTGGTTGTGTCTCTGCCCGGCTTTGGTGTCAGAATGATGCTGGCCTCATAAAATGAGTTAGGGAGGATTCCCTCTTTTTCTATTGATTGGAATAGTTTCAGAAGGAATGGTACCAGTTCCTCCTTGTACCTCTGGTAGAATTCGGCTGTGAATCCATCTGGTCCTGGACTCTTTTTGGTTGGTAAACTATTGATTATTGCCCCAATTTCAGAGCCTGTTATTGGTCTATTCAGAGATTCAACTTCTTCCTGGTTTAGTCTTGGGAGGGTGTATGTGTCGAGGAATGTATCCATTTCTTCTAGATTTTCTAGTTTATTTGCGTAGAGGTGTTTGTAATATTCTCTGATGGTAGTTTGTATTTCTGTGGGATCGGTGGTGATATCCCCTTTATCATTTTTTATTGTGTCTAGTTGATTCTTCTCTCTTTTTTTCTTTATTAGTCTTGCTAGCGGTCTATCAATTTTGTTGATCCTTTCAAAAAACCAGCTCCTGGACAGCCATTTTACAGACATTCTGAGAGTTGTCTGCTTACTTTTAGTATAAGTGATTTACAAGGTTCCAGAACTTAACTAACTGGAAGAAAGAGTTCATAAGTTATGCAGAGGTAGAAGAACCCGAGAGCATTCCTTTTGTGATTCTGGATTCCTAGACTGGCATAATCCAATGGCAGGTGTTCATAGAAGAAGTGAAGCTTATGCAGTGAGAACAGTGACTATCCTTACTTTGTCAAAAGTGCAAAAGATGCCACAAATGCAGCAGCAGCCTTTGAGGAAGGGTTTCAAAACATTCGTGCAACTGAGGATATGTCAGATCACTTGATGCACAAAGGCATGGTCGACCTTCACCTAAACCCCAAGCCTTGCTCATCTTTCTGTTGAGTGTTAGAGATAAGGCAGATGCATTCTAACCAACTCACATGTATAAAGAAAATCAACACGTACTTGGAGAAGAGAATTAGTGTTTGTAGCAGTGTATTACTTTACTAATACAATTCAGTGAGTCTATATTATTGTATCATTAGTGGGTGGGAGAAGGGACACATTCACTCATGGAGGAATATATTTTCTCAATAATGGCACCTTACATTTATAAATTGTAATGGTTTTCTGAAAACATTGCTTGATTTACATATGCAAATAGAGAGCTAATAAATGAGATGACCAAAACTTAAATTATAATTAAAATAAGAAACTTGACTACTCTAGAATTTATACTCAGATTTTTTTCCTGGAAAAATGGGAAAATACTTTTGTATGTATATGATTTTTATACAATTAGCATTCTATTCTTGGTGAAAGATAACGATTTCCTAAAGCAATAATGTTAGATATGAATCTAATGTATTTGCAATGCATTCTTATTTAATTTACTTCTTTATCCTTTCCAAAATTACTTCACATTTTTTATTTTCATTCTACATATCATTAGGATTACTCTCGCTAGCAATTACTCATCATTTGTGTGCCATTAATGAACTTCTACCACAATAGATCATGTTTCACAGCCCCAGGAGGATGAAGGGCCAATAGTAGTAAAAGAGTTGCTTCATACAGTCTGTCACACACGCAGCTAAATTCGAGCTGTCTATGACTAAAAAATCTTTCCATACAGAGTTCAGTTTTCAGAAAAAGGCTAACTACTGAACTTGGAGAAAAGACAAATTTGCATTTGATAACTGATTTAACAATTATAACATGTGTGTGGAGGATACAAACTGACAATTCCACTAATGGGATAGTTAATATTTGTGTCACATTCTTGACCCCTCTGGAAAGTCTTCTAGTTCAAGTTAATCCATTCCTTTTTAACACAAGACACAAGCTAATTTTATCACTTTCAAAGGAAATACTAAGAAGGATTGTACTTTGTCAGAGGGTGAATCAAGACATCTTTATTAGGCCATGTATTTACTTAGTGTCTCCTCTAATACGGAACATTGTTTAGTGAATTGCTCTCGAGGTTTTTTGTGTTTGTTTCAAAAAAATCCTTGCTGCAATGATCAGACTTGATAAAGCAAATTGTGGCCTCTTGTGGATGTTCATATTCTGTGCAATTGGTGACTATCTGATTCTATGGAAGTTAACTGAAGCTTGGAATGAATGTGGATGAGACCTGCAACTGGGGAGTGATGGGGGTATCAAAGGACATGCTGGGTGAGGGGAGGTGGCTTTCACATAGGGAGGGGAGTTTTGAAAAATTACATCAAAACATTTCTCTTCCTGGCCTCACTCAATATTGCCATCTGGAAATATTTAATAAAAAATACAATAGAAAATGATAGAAGAACAAAGCAGGTGTTGAGTGTAGCAGCAGGAGCAGTGAGAAGCAGCTGCAGAGCCACCTTGGACAGAAGAACCAGAGATGATGCTCCATAGTTTGAAGGAAGTGTGGTTCCCAGTGGTGCAGAAGTTGCTCCATACATTATGTCATATATTTAGCTAGACTTGAGCTATGAATGGAAAGCTTTTCCATAGAGAAAGTTCGGATTATAGAAAAAGGCTAACTACAGAACTTGGAGAATAGACAAATGTACATTTAATAACTTCTGTAACAATTACAATGTGCTGAGTAGAGGATAGAAAATTACAATTCCATTACAATCAAATAAATATTTTTGTTAATTTTCATCATTGGGAAAAGTTTCCTAGCTGAAGATAAAATATTTATACTGTTTCTTGTCTTAGAAGAAAACTATTTATGTTTCTGTACAAACCTGTTTTCACTTTTATATTATGACACCACCATGTAAGTTTTCTCACAATAAACATGTCATGTAGAGTAGTAAACTGATAAGTAGGGAAACACACCAGTGTGGTACCCAGCGAAAGGTGGAATCTGGGCAGTCAGTGCTTTCTGGAACTCTGGACTGACAACCAGGGAGTGTTAAAGTGACTGAAAAGTTAAAGATCACAAGTACAGCATGGGCAAAACAGGGATTGACAGTATCTATGTCCATGCCAAAGGAAGTATCCTGGGAAGTTTCTGGCTATAGCAAGAGGAAAAAACTTCATATGCACATTTCTTCTGGATCACTTTTGGAGTACGAAAGCAGATAAACAACTCAGTACTAACATACACATGCTAAGGGGAGCCTGATTTTAAGACTGATTTCATTTCATTGTTCTTATGTTAAGGAGCCTTCAAGGGAAATCTACTGCAAGATCCCAGCTTTGCCAGCTTATCTTTCCTCATGATCAGCTCCTATCAATCAGCTAACAGTTCTACCCATGTGCCCCCAGGAGTGCTCTCCTTCAAACCTTCATGCCTGCAATACTTTTATCTGTAGCCCACATTGAAGGTCCTACTTAATGCTCCACTTTCCTTCCAGCTCCATCAAAAAATTTGTCACACATGAAATTTGTCACTTAACTTTACTCATACACACCCAGGACTTGGATTACTAGTGTCTACCTCAACTTCATTAGTGTGGAAAAAAGACTCTTATCAATGTGCCACTGTTGTGCAGCTGAGCCACATCTTCCTGCTGTCACTCATCCTGCTGCTTTTGGCTGGATTTCAACATAACCCTTGGGATTATATGCTCATTGAGGGCAGAAAAATCTGTATGGAAAATTACATGTTTGTTGAAATGACTCCCAGATTTCCAGATGTGTCTTACATTTTTCTGCACCCACAGATCTGGAATTTGGTTTGTTTCAATATGAGTGCTGTATAACAGGTTAAGAAATCATATTAGTTTGCACAATACTAACAGGGGAAATAGGACAAAAACAACTGTTTTGGGTAGCACTTAAAAAATTAATCTTGAACAAACATTCATTTTAAACAATCTTGAACAAACATGTTTATTTTAAAAATCAAATAAGTAGGGTAAAAATGTTGGTAGCTATTTCACACAAGGACACAAGACAAAAATTGGCAATTACTCGCTTAAAGATAATTCAGAATGGAACAAAATGGTTCAAGTGCTCACCATTAGCACAGGCTGTATGACCTGATATTCAATGGATATTGCCTATTTTAAAGTAAGACATTATAGGAAACAAGGAGACCATTGCCAGCCTTTACTGGTGTATCACCTCAGCCTCCCAAAATGCTGAGATTACAGGCATGATCCACCATGTACAGGCCAATTCCAAAAGTTTTATAAAGGTTCTGTGACTTCCTCCGACTTCCCTTCACCTACAAAACAAGCATTACTGAGAATTCCAATATATAATACAAATAAAGCAACTGCTGTGACCAAAGTACCTATCTTGATATGAGTGTGTATTCATGGTCTGCTAAACTTTTTAAAATTGCTTTAAATAGAGGCCTTTTAGATGCAATAAAAATGATAGAGATGATATCACCACCAATCCCACAGAAATATAAACTACCATCAGAGAATACTATAAACACCTCTACACAAATAAACTAGAAATTCTGGAAGAAATGGGTAAATTCCTCCACACATACACCCTCCCACGACTAAACCAGGAAGAAGCTGAATCTCTGAATAGACCAATAACAGGCTCTGAAATTGAGGCAATAATTAATAGCTTACAAACCAAAAAAAGTCAAAGTTGTATTCTACCAGAGGTACAAGGAGGAGCTGGTACCATTCCTTCTGAAACTATTCCAATCAATAGAAAATGAAGGAATTCTCTCTAACTCATTTTACTAGGCCAGCATCATCCTGATACCAAAGCCTGGCAGAGACACAACAACAAAAAAAGAGAATTTTAGATCAATATCCCTGATGAACATTGATGCAAAAATCCTCAATAAAATACTGATAAACTGAATCCAGCAGCACATCAAAAAGCTTATCCACCATGATCAACTGGGCTTCATCCCTGGGATGCAAGTCTGGTTCAACATATGCAAATCAATAAATGTAATCCAGCATATAAACAGAACCAGTGACAGAAACCACATGATAATCTCAACAGGTGCAGAAAAGACTTTTGACAAGATTCAACAGCGAGTCATGCTAAAATCTCTAAATAAATTAGGTATTGAATGGAATGTTCTCAAACTAATAAGAGCTATTGATGACATATCCACAGCCAGTATCATACTGAATGAGCAAAAACTGGAAGCATTCCCTTTGAAACTTGGCACAAGACAGGGATCCCCTCTCTCACCACTCCTATTCAACATAGTGTTGGAAGTTCTGGACAGGGCAATCAGGCAGGAGAAAGAAGTAAATGGTATTCAATTAGGAAAAGAGGAAGTCAAATTGTCCCTGTTTGCAGATGACATGATTGTGTATCTAGAAAACCTCATCATCTCAGCCCCAAATCTCCCTAAGCTGATAAGCCACTTCAGCAAACTCTCAGGATACAAAATCAGTGTGCAAAAATCACAAGCATCCTTATACACCAATAACAGACACACAGAGAGCCAAATCATGAGTGAACTCCCATTCACAATTGCTTCAAAGAGAATAAAATACCTAGGAATCCAACTTATAAGGGATGTGAAAGACCTCTTCAAGGAGAACTACAAACCACTGCTCAATGAAATAAAAGAAGATACAAACAAATGGAAGAACATTCCATGCTCATGGGGAGGAAGAATCAATATCGTGAAACTGGCCATACTGCCCAAGGTAATTTATAGATTTAATGTCATCCCCATCCAGCTACAAATCACTTTCTTCACAGAACTGGAAAAAACTACCTTAAAGTTCATATGGAACCAAAAAAGAGCCCTCATTGCTAAGTCAATCCTAAGCCAAAAGAACAAAGCTGGCAGCATCACGTTACCTGACTTCAAACTGTACTACAAGGCTACAGTAACCAAAACAGCATGGTGCTGGTACCAAAACAGAGATATAGAACAATGGAACAGAACAGAGCCCTCAGAAATAATGCCGCATATCTACAACTATCTGATCTTTGACAAACCTGACAATAATAAGCAATGGGGAAAGGATTCCCCATTCAATAAATGGTGCTGGGAAAAGAGGCTAGCCATATGTAGGAAACTGTAACTGGATCCCTTCCTTACACCTTATACCAAAAGCAATGGCAACAAAAGCCAGAATTAACAAATGGGATCTAATTCAACTCAAGAGCTTCTGCACAGCAAAAGAAACTACCATCAGAGTGATCAGGCAACCTACAGAATGGGAGAAACTTTTTGCAATCTGCTCATCTGACAAAGGGCTAATATCCAGAATGCAGAAGCTACAATGAACTCCAACACATTTACAAGAAAAAAACAACCCCATCAAAAAGTGGGCGAAGGATATGAACAGACACTTCTCTAAAAAACTTTTATGCATCCAAACGACAGATGAAAAAATGCTCATCATCACTGACCATCAGAGAAATGCAAATCAAAACCAAAATAGATACCATCTCACACCAGTTAGAATGGCGATCATTAAAAAGTCAGGAAACAACAGGTGCTGGAGAGGACGTTTAGAAATAGAAACACTTTTACACTGTTGATGGGACGTTAAACTAGTTCGACCATTGTGGAAGTCAGTATGGTGATTCCTCACAGATCTAGAACTAGAAATATACCATTTGACCCAGCCATCCCATTATGGGGTATATACCCAAAGGATTATAAATCATGTTGCTATAAAGACACATGCACATGTATGTTTATTGTGGCACTATTCTCAACAGCAAAGACTTGGAACCAACCCAAATGTCCAACAGTGATAGACTGGATTAAGAAAATGTGGTACATGTACAGTATGGAATAGTATTCAGCCATAAAAAATGATGAGTTCATGTCCTTTGTAGGGACATGGATGAAGCTGGAAATCATCATTCTCAGCAAACTATCACAAGGACAAAAAACCAAACACAGCATGTTGTCACTCATAGGTGAGAATTGAACAATGAGAACACATGGACACAGGAAGGGGAATGTCACACCCTGGGGCCTGTTGTGGGGTGAGGGGAGGAGGGGGAGGGATAGCATTAGGGGATGTACCTAATGTTAAATGATGAGTTAATGGGTGCAGCACACCAACATGGCACATGTATAGATATGTAACAAACCTGCACACTGTGCACATGTACCCTAAAACTTAAAGTATAATAAAAATATAAAATAAATAAATATATAAATATATAAATAGAGGCTTTTGACACATCTAAATGGCTGAGCACAAATGTTAATGTAATCCTGGATTATCTTTGGCAACTCTCCTAAAAACTGCCTTACAACTTTTTGCAAGTATGAGTATCAACGGTTTACTCTCTGAGGGAAAGGAAATCATCAGCAGGACCACTATTCCTAGCCACTGGCAGAAGCATATATGCAACACTTAGCACAGCACACATGTTTCCTTGGCTTCTTGACTCCTGCTGTGTATACTGCCTATACATTTTTATAACATCTCTAAATGTATAAATGAATTACTGTGAATGTATGTGCTATCACATTTCATTCCCAGCTGCAGAATATGTTAGTTTTAAATCTATCTACCAAATCTTGACTCTGACATTTATTTTTGGATTGTTACATTAAAATCAACCACCTAGGACATTCTCCGTGGCTCACACCTGTAACCTCAGGGCTTCGGAAAGCCGAGGTGGGTAAATCACCTGAGGTCAGGAGTTTGAGACCAGTCTGGCTAACATGGTGAATCCCTGTCTCTACTAAAAATACAAAAATTCAGCACACATGGTGTTGGGGCCTGTAGTCCCAGCTACTCCAGAGACTGAGCCAGGAGAGACACTTGAAACCGTGAGGCAAATATCATTCCATTGCACTCCAGCCTGGGCAGCAGAACGAGACTTCATCACAACAACAACAGCAATAAAATCACAAACAAACCAAATAAACAAGTGGCACCATTATTCTAGATTGAGTATTTGATCATGGAAAACTCAATTCCTGCCAGTTCATGATCTCTATTAATAGCACAGCAACTTATTTGAAAGCAGATGGAAACATTTCAGATTAAATTTTAATTAGTTTTCCCTTATATAGGCTGCTTCCTTGCTCTCTTTAGAGTTCGCTAATAAAATCAACTATGAACACTAAGAGGGAAAATATAAAAACAATTTGCCTCCAGAATATTCTACTAATTACTATCATAAGTTGTGTTCCTAAATACCCATTTGACTGGCTCTGAAGACTTGCTTGCCAAGGGAGTTGACAGAGATAGTTCTGATGAGAAAAGGCCCTCTGAAAGGTAAGCTGTGCAGCGTAAGGAAGTTACTTGAAAAGGCCAGTTTCCTGACAGAAATTGAATCCTTTATTCTATCATCAGATTTTAAAATTTAAAAATTATAGAACATGCCTTACTTTTATATGTAAATCATAAACATCAGTAAAGATGTGATTTATTCCATCTTCTTGCCATGAAGCATAATAAATCTCATATGTGACATAAATAAGGCAATATTTTCCTTATAAATAAAAAACAAAAAGCAACCAGTTCATTGATATAATAGTCTTCAAACTGGTCATGTGCCACGTATTTCTGATGGAAGAGTTGAATACATTACCTGTGTTTAAAATTATCTTAGTTGTATCAGAAAGTGAATATAAGCATTGTAAATGAAAAAATAACTACAAAATAAGGTAACATCACCCTCGATATGATTCAGATAAACTTTTTGGTGTGTATGCAACTTAGTTTAAAAATTAGCTGTTCAACAAAATATTTTCTCCCCTAATAAAAAAAAGTAGCCCCATAAATGGAAACTTTTACATGCATACAAATTGTGTCGTGTACAGTGTCAGAGCCTGGCATCTGTGTTACATGTTCTTCTAGTTTGTGAACCCAAACTTTAGTTAATTATCTTTACTAAAAAGGTAAAGGTATGCCCTGGAGTAATGAATACTGACACAAACCAGTTTCTGGACTTGCCTACAGTTTTCAAGTACATGTTCAAAAGTCACATGTTCTCATCTATGAGGTCGAGAGCAGCATGGCCTATGAACTGGTGCAGATGACGTCAGTGGTTGTAAATGACAGTGTGAGCAACAACAGATTAACATACCCACATGGAATGAAGAATGCCAACATTTCATTCTGTAAATCCTATAGATTGTTTTGTGCATGCAGGAAAAAAAAAAACAGTTTAATTTTACTGTGTTTGTTATTGTCAAGAGACATACGAGAGATCTGTTTTCACATTATATTCTATTTTTAAATTTCATATCTAAAACTCAAAGAACAGAAACAGTCAATTAATAAATGATACACAAACACATACACACAGAACACATAGACACACACACACACACACATACACATATCCTGTGGAGAAGAGGTGCCATTCACACCAGGCCTCAAGGTCTGAGAGGAAGCTGAGAGGGCTGGGCTTTATGCAAATTAGCACCAGGTATCACCAGGTAAGCACTACAGACAGTTGAAATGACACTTGGAAGGGCTACAGATGCCTTTATTCAGTGCATGTAGTTAACATGGTAGCCGGTCCTGGGCGTAGTTAGAGATGATGCCCAGCCCCGACTGTGAGCAGTCATCTGTGTCATCAAAAGGAAAAAGTTTTGTTAGAGCTGGGGGTGTCCTTTTCCTGGGCTGAAATGGCTAAAGTTAACAGGAGGTGGAACTGTCTGACCATGATATGAAGAAGAAATTCACAACTTGGAATGTAATCTTACACCAATGTAATTATTTCTTTAAAAATATAGTTTTAAAATAACACCTCAGTTACAGGTTGAAGTGTCTTCTCTCCAAAATTCCTTTGTTGATGTCCAAAGGGGCAGTACCATAGAATGTGGCCTCACTGAGAAAGAGAGTTTACATGTACATGTCATTATTTCAGAAGAGGTCATTTTAGAGTGGGGTGGGCCCCTAATAAAACCACTCATGTATATAGAAAAAGGGAGCATTTGGAGATGCACACAGGGAGAAAAATGACACAGGAAGACTGGCGTTACATTGCCACAAGCCAGGGAAATTCCAGAAGCTGAGAGATAAACCAAACAGATTTTACCTGAGGACCCACATAGGAAGCATGGCACCACTGACACCTTGATTTTAGACAGTGGCCCTCAGAAATGAGGCAATAAATTTCTGCTGTCCAAAGCCACTAAATTTTTGGTACTTTGTTACAACAGGCACAGGAAACAGAGAGAGCCTCCTCGCCAAGGAAGCTGTTCCCAATCCTGGGCTGGAAGAGGGTGGCCAAATGCCCCCAAATCCCTCAGACATCTAAAGCATGTTTTACTTCACTCATGTCATCACAACAAACCTAAGTGAATCCTTAGATAAATGGATGTTTTTCTGTCTCAATCCCACAGTGGTTTCTTTTACAGTAATGATCAATACTGAAAGATCAAGAGCAAATTGTGAAAATGCCTTAACGAGGTGAATGGTAGCAGGAGAAAGAAATAAAATCAATATATGCAACAAATTATTTTTATGTGTGCTCCTTTGTTTACTAGAGGGCCAGTGGAGTGCACAGAACATATATACAAATAGCTGCATCCCAGAAAGCAATACTGCTACAACTACTCAAAACAAGTTTTAATGAGTAGTGTTCTCATAATATGAAAAAATAATGTCACAACAACACCTGTCATATAATTCTGTCTATCATATTTTGGTGACAGGTCCTCAATAGTTGAAAAATATCACACACATTAACATTATACATTGCAAGTAACTTACCATGTCAGTTCCTTAAAGGTCATTAAATCTGACTTAGGTGCTTGAGAGAAACAGTGCAAACATGACAGCAACGTATTAGAAACATAAATTGGAAAGGACTGGGCTCTTATATAAAAAATCTACCAGCCTGTTTCCTCCAAATGGCAACATGTTCTCGAGACAAGCCTGGTTTCTGGAAACATTGTTGACAAGAAAGTCAGTGTCATCACCTCTGGTGCTGCTTTTGAGCTTCCTGTGCAGGGCCATGGTGGTCACTGGGGAGGAAAGCATGCATGTATGACCAGCCAGGAAGTGCTGCTAGGGGTCACTGAACGTCTTTTTTACCCCATAGGTCCTGATGGGAAAACGGGATTCATGAAAACTGCCTAAACATTCATGGATGACATTTCAAGGCCACAACTTGCTACATGTGGACTAGGTTTTTAAGTGCTGAAGCAGCAGCAATTCATGGTCGGTGACACAGTGAACTGAATATCATGGGAAAGTCAGAGGTCATGCTAGTCTGTGCTGAAATAAAGTATACATAAACGACTCATAGGATACTCCCCAGCTGGCTTCTATCAGGCTCTGGGACTCCAGAGTAAGCCTTATTTAATTGTGTTGGATTTCATTTAAATTATGTTACACTATATTATTACAATAGAATAAAAATTCTTATGAAATTTAAGCTTCCACACGTACTTTGGATTCTGCCTTCCCAGCTGGCAAAACCTCCCTTTCAAAAACTGGATTATCATGGTGGCCAACAATTACAAAGTAGAAGCTCCTAGACATGGTCTTAAATATGTGGCTCCTGATGAAGTAAAAAATAGTATATATTTTTAGCAGTCAATACTGAAATTTAAATGTGACTAATGAGAAGTGTAAAATTCTTCTGTTTTGCTTTCTAACTTAAACCTGAATGATGCCACTAAACTTGTCACCATTTCCCGCATACTAGTGAAGATATGTGGCTTCTGGAATAAACAAAGCATATAACTGTGGTATTTCTTGTAGAATCTTATGTGTTTCCATACGAAAACTAAAAGATCTCTGAGATAAAATCACAGACAACATTCTCATGATCTGAAAGCACGGCACATTCAGCTCAAGGGATCCTGAGTGTCTGGTGGAGTAAGCTAGGCTTCACTTGGACTGGACCCGTTAGCAGAAGCACTGACACTTAAAAAAAGCTTAACAGAGGTAGACGGTAAGTTAAGGACCATAGAGTGGTGAGAAGATGAAGGAATTAATTAGCTTGCCTTAGAAATTTCCATAAGACATCCGTTGGCGGAAGCTAAAACCAACTGTCCCTCATGTCACTCACCGAGAAAAGAGAGGCAATGTAGCCCTTTGTGCTCCATTTGTCTTCTTTCTCCCTGAACTATGTGTGCTATAAATATATGTCTTTGCTAATAAAAGAGACTATGATATGCCTCGTCATACGCCAATTTCTAAGAAAGAAAGTTTCGTATTCTATAAAAGATGGAATAAATAATCCATAAAGGAAAACATTCTGAGGCACTGAGAGATCTTAAAACTAAGTTTAACAGATTGGGGCAGGTGTGATTGCTCATGCCGGTAACTCCAGCACATTGGAGGGCTGAGGCAGGCAGCCTGATTAAGCCCAGGAGTTTGAGACCAGCCAAGGCAACAACATGAAAGAAGAAATACATCTCTACAAAAAATACATCTCTACAGAAATACTAAAACTTGCTGGGTGAGTTGGTGTGTGCCTGTAGTCCCAGCTACTCTGGAGTCTGACAGGGGAGAATCACCTGATCCCAGCAGGGCTCAAGGCAGCAGTAAGCTGAAATACCCTGACCAAAAAAAAAAAAAAAAAAAAAAAAAAATAACAGATTAACAAAAGAAATAAATCTATGAGAAACTGGGGAAAATATAAGCGATTTCATTTCTTCTAGTGCAGATAATTAAAATATAGATGAATAATGGATGGGTGGGAACGTGGGTGGATATAATCAATGGTAACCCAACTGTGTGTACTTTTAACACAAGGGATTTAAAATCCAAGGAAGTTAGGTTCCAGATAGCTCTGCTAATTACTTGCAATGTGACCAGAGGGAGCCCATCATCTATTGTTGGTCTTCTCCTTTATGGAATAGTGGTAACTTTGTAACACCTTCCAGTAAAGTACCCAGCACAATGTCTGACTCACAGGACATGCTCAATTAATATTATCTAGAATAACATGGAAGGCCAAATTCATACTGATATGTGGTGACTAGTAAAATTCTCAACATGGGGTGGAAATTGAGTAAACAAGGAGTTAGTCAAACCCCTGGAAGATACATCTGAGGTGGGTTAGAAGACAAGTCTCATGAAGCCTCACCGGGCCTTCAGCTGATTCACATACACACAATGAAATCAGAAGAAACATGATATGTACTTGCTAATGAATGACAAATTTTATAAAGGAAATCAAGGCACAGCTGCCATGACTGACATACCTGCATTGGCATGAGTGTGTATTCATGGTCTGCTCAATTTTTCCATTGCTTTAAATAGGGTCCTTTGAAGAATCTCCAAGGAACACTTGTCCCAGAGGCCCTGAGGAGGTAGCTACACAGAACTACATTTTATAAAGAAAATCAAGGCACAGCTGGCGGTTTTAAATTTAGAATTGGACGGTTATATATATGGCCGGGTGAGTGAGGAGACTTGGGAGGAAGCTGACGATGGGAGAAAGCTGGCACCTGATGACTCAGGAATACACAACTGCCCTTCATCGGGGACAGGTGGAAATGAAGTCTCCTTGATGTTCCTTAAAACCTCTTTCCCCACTAGGACATTCGGGGCTTCCCCAGAGGCCACTGGTCTTTTTTCAGTAGTCCACCTTCCCTCTACCCCCCAGGTAAGCTGTAACCATTTTGTCTTCTAGTCCAACTTGCTCCCTATGTGTGATGTGTTGAGTTAAGATGAGCTGTGCAAAAAACGACACCAAATGTTGAAGGATTGGGGTGTACTGGGCACACTCAAAGTGTCGGATTTAGGTTTATCTGTTCCATATCTTTTAAAAGTGTAACCTGTAACAGGTAGTTCACATTTAAATTCACCCAGTGATTTTCAGTTTTGATACTCTATAATGAAATATTACAGTCTCTTTGAAACCACTGAGAAAATGTTGCATTTGAGTCACATTAAAGGAGAATATTCAAATAAATAATTGAGATGACAATAAGGAGTAGAAAGCATTTGTGTAATGATCACATTTTAATAAGATTGGGCCTGTTTTATAAATTGGCTTACAGGTTCCTAAACTAACAAAAGGGTTTGTAATACATTTGGATGAGGGACATTAACACTATATAGAAAATACTAGTGTACTATTTTAATAGTTTGGGGAACGAATACTTTCATCTTTAAACTATAGTGAAATGCCTGAATATTTCCTTTGAGCAGCACATATCTGGTAGTATAGTTTATATTTGGATTAACAGCTAGGAATTGGGTTAGCTCAATGTGTTTTCATTGCAATATGCATTTCAAAGGCATATTTTACGTTTAAAAATGTATATATGCTCTGTATATATCCGCTTGAAATTTAAATTATATGGTGTGAGCATTTCTCTGTTTCCTTAAAAGTTTCTTGAAATGCCCCTTCTTAGTGGCAACAGGCTGATCTTTGGAAATTTTTGTAACATACATAGCAGTCCCTTGTTGTTGAATATTTTGGTTATATTTTCCAGCATTCCACAAGGTGTGATGAACTGGCAGAATTTTTTCCTATACTTCATATCCCAAGTGTAAGCTGGTGAAATGGGTTTCTAGGGAAGTGAAGTGAAGAGTCTGCAAATGGGTCTGGTTAACCACCAGTTTCACGTGGAAGCTGAGGAAAGAAATATTTTTCTAGAACACACTGGCCTTCTTTTCTCACTTGTGCAGGGGAGGGTTCCTAATTTCTGGTCATGGATCTAGAAACATTATGGAAATAAAAGGGAGTTGTCTAATGAATGTACTACATCTGGTATATCTCTTCTGAGACAATCGTACTGAGTTTTTTTTTCCCTTGCCTGACTTCCTTCTTTATTTCCTTCCTTCCTTTTTTCTTCCTTTCTCCTTTCCTCCCTTTCTCCCTCCCTCACTTTATTCCTTCCTTCCTTCTTTCCTTCCTTCCTTCCTTCCTTCCTTCCTTCCTTCCTTCCTTCCTTCCTTCTTTCTTCCTTTCTCCTTTCCTTCCTTTCTCCCTCCCTCACTTCCTTCCTTCCTTCTTTCCTTCCTTCCTTCCTTCCTTCTTTCCTTCTTCTCTTTCTTCCTTTCTTTCTTTCTTCCTTCCTTCCTTGCTCTCTTGCAAGACGCAAACTCAAAACCAGCTAATTCATGAGTGGTTGCACCCTGTGTTGAATGGAGAATTGCAACCTCAGTCCATTTCATGTCAAAGGAACTCCCTCTTACTACCAGCCTCTAACTCTTTAGTGGCTGATAACTTACAAAGATGCTGCTATGACTATTCACTTTCTGTTTTATTTCCAGAAATTGTTCAGCAAAATAAAAGCTAACATATTTCCTTTTCTGTTTCTGAACTTTTTATTGACAGTTTCTTCTTCGCTGACTGTAACATGCTGCATTATAGTGGATTGCTTTTAAACTAGGTCCATTTCTCATTCCTCTTTGAGTTTACATTGTACCTGCATATGATGCATTTGTTATATAACAAGTGGGTAGTAAATTTGAAATTGATTTCTTGGTATCATATTTAGTCTTTGGTAAAATTGTGATCTACAATCTCTAAATGTTTAAGAGCTAAAATTGATTTATCTATATTCTGTGTTGTTTGATAAGACTCTGCCAACCTGCTGAATGTCTGCTCTGAGCTTGGCACTGTGATATACACACAACAGATGTTTTGTCTGTCACAGATGAGGAACCAGGCTGTGGAGAAGTGAATTAAGTAACTTAAATGATTTAATTCTTAAAACCTGTAAAGTTTCCAAATAATAAAAAGACTTTCATTCTATTTTTAGTATATTTCTAATTATTTAACTATATTTCTTCATCGTTATTGTGAACATTCATCCCACTTTATTATTTTAAAGGTAGATGCAGCAAACTTTTCCCTGTAAATATATGTGCATGTGTGTGTGAGTGTGTGTGCATGTTTCATAGACTTTGCTTTTCAGAGAAGTTTTTAGTTCACAGTGAGGTTGATGGAAATGTACAAAGAATTCCTACACACCCACTGCCCCTACACATGCACAGTCTCTCCCACTGTCAACATTTTGCATCAAGGTGGTACATTTGCTACAATTGATAAAACTACCTTGACATGTCATTATTGCCCAAAATCTATAGTTAACATTAAATTTCACTCTTGGTGGTGTGTATATATTTTTTACTTTCTTTATGTTGTCTATAATTATATAAAGATTTCCTATTCCAAAGTTTTAAGAACACGAGAAGCTTAGTATCATATTTATTTTCTTTGAGATGGAGTATTACTCTGTTGCTCAGGCTGGAGTGCAGTGGCATGATCTTGGTCTGCAAACTTCACCTCCCGAGTTCAAGTGATTATCCTGTCTCAGTCTCCCAAGTACCTGGGATTACAAGTACTTGCCCAAGCACCTGTTTAATTTTTGTATTTCTAGTAGAGGTGGGTTTTCACCATCCTGGCCAGGTTGGTCTCACACTGCTGATCTCAAGTAATCCATTTGCCTCGGCCTCCAAACGTGCTGGAATTACAGATGTGAGCCACAATGCCTGGCCTTAGTACAGTATTTGAATGAAAACTTTAAGTATGCTGAGTTTCTTCATGAGCAACCAAATTTTACTTACCGGCAATATGAATGTATTTGTATACATATTTAATTTTTAGAAGCAGGGTCTCGCTCTGTCATCAAGACTGAAGTGCAATGGCATATTCTCAGGTGACTGCAACATCTGCTCCCAGATTCAAGCAATTATACTACTACACACTTTCAAGCAGCTGGGATTACAGGTGCACACCACTTTCTGCTATTTTTTTTTTTTTTTTTTGGTAGACTGGGTTTTGTATGGTGGTGAGTGTTGTTTCAAATCATGAGCTCATGTATTCTGCCCGTTTAGCCTGCCCAAGTGCTGTAATTATAACTGTGGGGCACTGTGCCTTGCCTGAAATTCATTTTTGATACATCTTTCTCTAACTTTCTAATCACTCTATACTTCTACTTATTGTGTATTTACCAATTGTATAATGGTTATAACAGGAATTAATCCCACTCAAACAACTTAATGGCTTCTGCTAATATAAATTACCCACTCAAATATTTTCTTTAAAGGAAATCCAGCTGAAAACACGTCAGTGTTCTCAGAGTTGACATAATTACTGATACATACTGCAGTAGGAATATATATAAACAGCTGTCCAAAATGTCTGTTTAACAGTATTGTAAGTGCAGTTTAATTATGATTTTAAGGACAGTGAAAATTTAGTTTGTTTACATTTTTAAACACTACTTTTAAAAAATTGTAACTGAATGACCTTTGATGTGAAATACTTAGAGGTTAAGTACATGATCAAGAAAAATTTTTTATTATTTTGACCTCAATATGATTTGTAATTTAACAGTGTAAGAAAGAGCTTTAATTTTGCTTTGTTAGCATGGTCATAATCTTATTTTTTCTGAAAGTTGTCTCTTAATCTCATATTCATAAACATATTATATTGTTTCATTTAAACACTGCTATAAAACTATGTCTGATTAGTAACCTTTTATTTTTTTAAGGTATTTACTTTGCAGTATTGATTACACTCAATAAAAAATCACCCTACTTCCAGTTTCTACAAATCATTGTTAGATTACTTAGTTTCTATAATCTACTTTGGTTTGTTAATGATAAGTGAATAGCTTTATAAAGGTAAAATGGTTTTTTTAACAGGTCTCAGGATTTCATAAAGAAAATCAAAAAGGTAGAAGCATGCAACTTTGTAAACTATTGCAAAATTTTTCTAGTACTTTTTTCTTATAAAAGAATTAAGCTAATTTTGAGGAAGAAGAGTAAGGAATTTAAGTTCATTTAAATTACATGTTTTTCCTGCTGACCATATCTTACTTTTTAAACAATAGTTCACATGTTCTGCAGTTCCCATATTTTCATTTTTGTAATAACTTTTATATAGTCAAATAAGAAAACTTCAGACAGTACCAAGGGTCCTACAGACACTGAAAGATACTGTTTGTAAAAATATCCACTGTTGGGAACATTTCTAAAAAAAAAAAAAACCCTCAAAAAACTGACTTTTAAGCCAATTGTCTTGTATACTAAGTATGCCTCTCACGTACAACTGATAGAGTATTAAATGTATTAATATGTCATTAAAGAAGAAAATACATGTTTAGTAATATGTAATATTACTTTTATTCTTAGATGTTTGCACAGATCTGATTAGTTGACTAAATTTTGGCCTTTATATAAAACTTTTATGAAGTTTGTAACTACTGTGGGTTCCAGATCATTGGTTAGACTTGATAATGGGCTTTGTAGCATAAACATAAGCTGGCAACTTGCACTTTATTCTAAGTTATCCCTTAGGTCTTTTAAAATAATCTGTGAATTAGTAATATTCTTTTTGTGTTGCTACCCCCTTGGGATTTTGTCTGTTGCATGCATTTCTATCATCCTGACAGAGACATTTATTCATTCATCCATTGATTCAGAACTTAATCATTTGAGTACATACTTTCTGCCAGCCATTGACTCCGTGACTTAATTGCCAAGTTTCATTGTAATAATGTTAGCAGAAGATACACAAATTGAACAACAAGACTTTCTAGGCTGCCTGCACACTAGACCATCCCTACTGAAATTCAGTATGGTAAGTGATTCTATATTCTGTGCTCTAAGCATGATCCAGAGTAACTCTTTGTGATGGTGGAGATGTCTTTATCTATACTGTTTAATGTGGTAACTGTTGGTCTCATGTGGCTATTGAGCAACTGAAATGTAGCTAATATAACTGAATAAATTTTTAACTTACATTTAATTAGCTACATATGCACAGTGACTACCATAATGAACAGCATAATTCTAAAGTATATAGCAGGTATCTATTACTTAATTGTTACTTCAAAAGAAAATGTATGGCTTCAAGTGATATTAAGGAATAATGTATGGGCCAGGAACAATGCCTCATGCTTGCAATCCCAGGAGTTTGGGAGGCTGAAGGAGGAGGACCACTGAAGGTCTAACGTTTTAAATCAGCCTGGGCAGAACAGTGAAACCCCATCTCTACCAAAAATTCAAAAATTTGTGAGGTGTGGTGGCAAGTGCCTTTTATCCCTGCTACTCTTGAGGCTGAGGCATGATAACCACTTGAACTTGGGAAGTGAAGTTTGTAGTGTGCTGAGATGACATGACTACACTCCAGCCTGGGTGACACAACTAGATGCCATTTTACTCCCCACCAAAAAAAAAAAAAAAAAAAAAAAAAAAAAAACGAAAGAAAAGAAAAGAAAAAAAAGAAAAAGAAAGAAGAAATAAAAAAGACAGAAAGACAAGAAAGAAAGACAAGAAAGAAAGAAAGAAAAGAAAAGAAAGAAAGAAGAGGGGAAGAAGCAAGGAAGGCAGCAAGGGAAGGAGGGAGGAAGGAAGGAAGGAAGGAGGGAAGGAAGGAAGGAAGGAAGGAAAAAATAAAGAAAGAAAATAAAGGAAGCTCTTGTAGCACTTTTTACATGGTGACACCAGCTTCGAGGATCTGTCTTTTGCAGACATTTGACCCCACAATGGATGCATGAAGTACACTGACACACAGATATTCTGCATTGCCAGTCCAGCCGAAGCTGGGTTTCTGAGCCACTTACAGACTCCAGTAGAGCTTTGTGAACAGTTGCAACTGTGGCCCTGACCAGCTATTGAGACTCGCATTTATCGGTAAAGTTTAATTGACAAAGACTTGAGTCAGTGAAACTAGGGGGTAATTGACATTGTGGACTTCGCGAGTGGAAAGCACTTAAGCACACATGGTATATCAAAGGTTAGTCTTAAGACCACGTGAGTAAACAAGCTAGCTAGATAACTTCGCCACATTCATTTGTTATTACTTTAATTTATTTAACTAAAGGTAAAGCAGGTCACCTTCAACCATATCTATAACTGAAGTTATGCTAACTCTCTGACCTTCCAAGATGGTTTGTGGCTATTACTATAACTATCTAATATTTTTCCCACCAGCCTGACTGAGCCCCCAACATGAAAGAATCTATATACTTACTATATTACATTATCCTTAAAAATAGTTTTTCCATCTTTACACAGTCTCTCTGACTATATCTGGTTTACAAAAACGTCTGACTGTCAAACCTTACCGGCTTTACCTAGCATCCTGGTAAAATTTCCGAAAGTCAGAAAAATGATGAGTAGGAAACATATGAGTCATCCTCGTACCAAAATCTGGATAGAACACTTAGCTAACAATAAAATAGTTTCCGGTAAAACAAAATTGTTTTAAAAAGTGGTGGCTTCCAATTAAACAACAGAAAACTTATAGGAAGATATATTGTACAGAACTCTGTTCTGTGCCCTGACTCAGACACCTGTGATCTTATCTTATCCTACTATACCCACACTCAGGGGATGTTAAGCTGTTGAATAGTCACAATACTCACCTCCTAGATTCTAGTCACCCATTCTTCCCACTCTTAATATTTCCTTTGAGAGATAAAGATACACAGATAGTGATATGCACAAAATTTGGATGAGGAAAGAAAATTTGGACATTGGCCCTTTGCTTTTAGAAACTTAAAATTCTATCTATAATTGGCAAAGAATAGACACATACATCAATGGGAACAGAAATAGAGAATCAAGAAATAGATTCACACAAATATTGTCAATTGATTTTTCAAACAATGGAGCAATGCAATTCAATAGAGGAAAGATAGTCTTTTCAAAGTGTGGTTCTGGAACCATTGAATATTCATACGCAGGGAAATGAACCATAAGCCTAAATGCAAATTGCAAAACTATAAAATTTCCAGGTAAAAGCAAGAGAAAGTCTATGTGGTCCTGAGTTTTGTGATATATGACATATAAAAGATAAATGAAAAAACAAATAGATGCTTAATTGAAATTAAAAGCATCACTCTGGAAGACACTGTTAAGAGAATGAAAGTGACCCACTGTCAAAACCCATAAAGTTTACATCACCAAGAGTAAACATTAATGTTCACAAATTTTGGTCTGATGATTTCTGCATGGAATGCAGACTGTGACAAAACAATCTAACTGTAATCCCCTCACTTAGAGGATGGGGATGGGGATAAGGTGTTGAGCTGACTAATGATTTTAGTTTCAAGAAACTAAAGATTTCTAAAGAATTTATGCTTCCGGTTTAAAACAAAGTTTCAGGCTATTCAGAAGGATATAAAGTGAAAAGAAACTAGCAATTTCTGCTCATTTTGTCTAATCTCACTCACCACTGATAACTAGAATTTTTTATTTTATTTTATTATTATTATACTTTAAGTTTTAGGGTACATGTACACAATGTGCAGGTTAGTTACATATGTATACATGTGCCATGCTGGGGTGTAGCACCCATTACTCGTCATTTAGCATTAGGTATATCTCCTACTGCTATCCCTCCCCCACCCCACAACAGTCCCCAGAGTGTGATGTTCCCCTTCCTGTGTCCATGTGTTCTCATTGTTCAATTACCACCGATGAATGAGAAAATGTGGTGGTTGATTTTTTGTCCTTGTGATAGTTTACTGAGAATGATGATTTCCAATTTCATCCATGTCCCTACAAAGGACATGAACTCATCATTTCTATGGCTGCATAGTATTCCATGGTGTATATGTGCCACATTTTCTTAATCCAGTCTATCATTATTGGACATTTGGGTTGGCTCCAAGTCTTTGCTATTGTGAATAGTGCCTCAATGAACATACGTGTGCATGTGTCTTTATAGCAGCATGATTTATAGTCCTTTGGGTACATACCCAGTAATGGGATGGCTGGGTCAAATGGCATTTCTAGTTCTAGATCCACACTGTCCACAAGACGCCACACTGATTCCCACAATGTTTGAAGTAGTTTACAGTCTCACCAACAGTATAGAACTGTTCCTATTTCTCCACATCCTCTCCAGCACCTGCTGTTTCCTGACTTTTTAATGATTGCCATTCTAACTGGTGTGAGATGGTATCTCATTGTGGTTTTGATTTGCATTTCTCTGATGGCCAGTGATGGTGAGTATTTTTTCATGTGTTTTTTGACTACACAAATGTCTTCTTTTGAGAAGTGTCTGTTCATGTCCTTCACCCACTTTTTGATGGGGTTGTTTGTTTTTTTCTTGTAAATTTGTTTGAGTTCATTGTAGATTCTGGATATTAGCCCTTTGTCGGATGAGTAGGTTGTGAAAATTTTCTCCCATTTTGTAGGTTGCCTGATCACTCTGACGGTAGTTTCTTTTGCTGTGCAGAAGCTCTTTAGTTTAATTAGATCCCATTTGTCAATTTTGGTTTTTGTTACCATTGATTTTGGTGTTTTAGACATGAAGTCCTTGCCCATGCCGATGTCCTGAATGGTAATGCCTAGGTTTTCTTCTCTGGTTTTTATGGTTTTAGGTCTAACGTTTAAGTCGTTAATCCACCTTGAATTGATTTTTGTATAAGGTGTAAGGAAGGGATCCAGTTTCAGGCTTCTACATATGGCTAGCCAGTTTTCCCAGCACCATTTATTAAATAGGGAATCCTTTCCCCATTGCTTGTTTTTCTTGGGTTTGTCAAAGATCAGATAGTTGTAGATATGTGGCATTATTTCTGAGGGATCTGTTCTGTTCCATTGATCTATATGTCTGTTTTGGTACCAGTACCATGCTGTTTTGGTTACTGTAGCCTTGTAGTATAGTTTGAAGTCAGGTAACATGATGCCTCCCACTTTGTTCTTTTGGCTTAGGATTGACTTGGTAATGCGGGCTCTTTTTTGGTTCCATATGAACTTTAAAGTAGTTTTTTTCCAATTCTGTGAAGAAAGTCACTGGTAGCTTGATGGGGATGGCATTGAATCTATAAATTACCTTGGGCAGCATGGCTATTTTCACGATATTGATTCTTCCTACCCATGAGCATGGAATGTTCTTCCATTTCTTTGTATCCTCTTTTATTTCCTTGAGCAGTGGTTTGTCGTTCTCCTTGAAGAGGTCCTTCAGGTCCCTTGTAAGTTGGATTCCTCGGTATTTTATTCTCTTTGAAGCAATTGTGAATGGGAGTTCACTCATGATTTGGTTTTCTGTTTGTCTGTTATTGGTGTATAAGAATGCTTGTGATTTTTGTACATTGATTTTGTATCCTGAGACTTTGCTGAAGTTGCTTATCAGCTTAAGGAGATGTTGGGCTGAGACAATGGGGTTTTCTAGATATACAATCATGTCGTCTGCAAACAGGGACAATTTCACTTCCTCTTTTCCTAATTGAACACCTTTTATTTCCTTCTCCTGCCTAATTGCCCTGGCCAGAACTTCCAACACTATGTTGAATAGGAGTGGTGAGAGAGGGCATCCCTGCCTTGTGCCAGTTTTCAAAGGGAATGCTTCCAGTTTTTGCCCATTCAGTATGATATTGGCTGTGGGTTTGTCATAGATAGCTCTTATTATTTTGAGATACGTCCCACCAATACCTAATTTATTGAGAGTTTCCAGCATGAAGCATTGTTGAATTTTGTCAAAGGCCTTTTCTGCATCTATTGAGATAATCATGCAGTTTTTGTCTTTGGTTCTGTTTATATGCTGGATTACATTTATTGATTTGCGTATATTGAACCAGCCTTGCATCCCAGGGATGAAGCCCACTTGATCATGGTGGATAAGCTTTTTGATGTGCTGCTGGATTCGATTTTCCAGTATTTTATTGGGGATATTTGCATCAATGTTCATCAAGGAATAACAGGCTCTGAAATTGTGGCAATAATCAATAGCTTACCAACCAAAAACAGTCCAGGACCAGATGGATTCACAGCCAAATTCTACCAAAGGTACAAGGAGGAACTGATACCATTCCTTCTGAAACTATTCCAATCAACAGAAAAAGAGGGAATCCTCCCTAACTCATTTTGTGAGGCCAACATCATCCTGATACCAAAGCCGGGCAGAGACACAACCAAAAAAGAGAATCTGAGATAACTAGAATTTCAATAATTTTGTTTCTTGGTTATTTTTGTAGAATTGTTTGTGTTTAAAACTCTATGTATTTCTAATTAAAACACACATTGAATAAAATTATATTATAGATTCTGTAGGCAGATTGCTTTTTCTATCCACCAATATATCTACTTGTAGCAGTATATTGAGACTAATTATTTTTAAAGTAAATATTTAACCCCCTACTGATGGAAATTTAGCTGTCTTCTTGTTTGCCTTTTCCCAATAGAGGTAACCAATATACAGTGTGCACCCTTTATGTGCTTGTACAAATATAGCTGTGTGAATTCATAGAATTGGAATGAGTAGATAAAAAGGCACCTGCATTTTGAATATATATAAGCACTGACACATTTCTCTTCCAAGTGTATCAGCACAGTTATACTTCCACTCCATTGCCAACATTAGCGTTAACAAAGTTTTAATCTTAGTGGTGTTACAGGGAAAATAATGGTTTCTTTTTTACTAATTTGCATTTATGATTTTCTTCATGTTTATTCAACATCTGATAATCTTGCTCATCTTCGAGCCATTTTACTTTTTATTTTTCCTACAATCTGGCCATGTTTTCCCCCATTTTTCAGTTTTGCTTTTTTTATTTTAACTGATTTGTAAGAGCTGTTTAACAATATTAAAATGTCATCACTTTAGTCCTGGTTATGCCTCCATATTATTGCAACTACTTTTCCAGTGTATTATTTATATTTATCTTATGCCATATGTAAATTTTTTATTTACATGTAGTGAGATTGATAAATATTACTCCTTATTCCTTTCAGGTTTTGTATCATGCTTGGGAAAGACTTTTTAAAGATTTATTCTTAAAAGCTATAACCAGACAAAGTGGCTCATTCTTGTGATCCCAGCACACTGTGATGCCCAGGAAGGAGGATCACTTGAGGCCATGAGTTTGAAATCAGCTGGGAAGGCAACATAGCGAGACTCTGTCTCCAAAAAAAAAAAAAAAAATTAAATTAGCTGGGCCTGGTGCATGGTGGTAAATTCCTGGGCATTTTCAACATACAGAAAAGTTGAAACAATTCTGGTCAACACTTACACACCTACCACCTAGATTCTACTAATACATTTGTGTTATATAGGCTTTATCATTTTAATCTGTGCATCTATTCATCTTACATTTTTTTGTATTTCAAAGTACATTGCAGGCAGCGATAGGTTCCCCTAAGTATACTTTTTACTTTCGAACCAGAAATCTGGCCTCTTACACACCTGACCATGCTTCTGTGTCCTAATTTGGCCTGCTACTTTTTAATAGTTGAGAACCTTCAGCTTCTTGATCAATTGGCAGATGCTTATCCTCAGCATATAAAGCTTGAGTCTTTAGAAGTAAAGCTAAATGAATATAAGAGAGAAATAGAAAAACAACTTCTGGCAGAAATGTGTCAAAACGTAATCTGTATCTTGTTACAGTTAACAAGAGTCATATTTTTGTTTGTCATCTAAAGATTTACTCTTAGGTATGTTAAAAAAATACCTGGAATTTTTAATAAAAAATAGGGTACTTCACTGTTGCGCATATCAATTTTTTCTTATGAGATTTGTTTATCCCTTTTGATTGAGTCCTACAAATACAGTAAATGATATAAAACTGTAGATTAAATAAATATAACATATTTGGACAGAGCATTGATATGGAGCCTAGCGGTGGAGAGAGGAACTGTTGCTTTTCTAATAGTATAATGATTGGGACTTTTATATTTTTGTAATCAATTTGCAGTTGAAGTTTTATGGAAGTGATAAGAGAGTATGAGAAGGAATTAGCTATGTTCTGAAGTGATTCTGAGAGAGCTTGTCAAGCAGAATCTGAAGCCCTCAGTCTTCAGGAAAAGTGTATCCTTGAGAGAAATCAAAAGAACCAAGAGGTGGTATTTATGAATATTTTACTGGGTGGCTATTTCCTACAGTTATTACTGGGTTGACTCAAGATCCAGGAATGAGATGTTGCAACTGATGGAACAAGGCCCCAGAGGAGCGGTACGGACTGTGGCTAAGAGTGCAAAAACACAAGGACAATGGACCTTGAAAAGGATACATAGATTTGTGTCCTTCGAGACTAGTGGAAAGGAAAGCATTGCAGAGTTGACCAGTCAACTTGTAATTATGAGAAACACACCATAAAAATGCTTCATCGTCTCAGGCCAATTAAGAAGATAGGTCATGAGTTTTAGGAGCAGCTCGGAGGTGCAGAGTAGCTCATGTGGGTAAGGTAAGAACAGCTCTTTAAAGCAGAGCAGAGTGGTTACCTGTACTGATGGCCCAGCTTTGGTTACAGTAACCTGGGATTGAGAGAGATAAAACCACATGTTTATAGTTGAGTTTTCTGTTCTAGATCTAGGGAGAAATTTTAAGGGTCTCTCTCTGCTGCCCCTTTCAGTGAGGGTGGAGAGATGGAGATACTTGGGAAGTGGAGCTTTGCAGAACATAATTCATTTTCCTTGAGAAAGTCAGAGAATTTAATTGAAGATTATATCATTCTCCTGTGTAGCAAGGGTAAGCAGAGGAGAGGGCAGGTGGCTGGTAACCTTTGGGGAAAGGGAGGGTTAAGTGGTAGTCTCAGTGATCAGGAACTAGATCTGAAGAGACTGACAGGTGCAAGAATAACGATGGTCCAGGAGTGCGGAATTGCAGAATGAGGTTTCAGGTGGAGACTGGAAATCAAAAGCAGTACGCTGTCATTGGATGGAGCCATGGAAATGAGCAAGAGTAAATATTCCTGGGGTGAAGGATTCACCAGAGTCCCCAGGGTCATCAATGTGGCCATTTGATCTCATCACCAGGAAAGTAACTGGAAAGGAGATTAAGACGATGAGGAATGACAAGGAGTTTTAGTTGGCAAGTGGGATTGGATATACTCCTTTAGGTAATCTTATTCCTTTTCCAAGTGTGTGTTTTAGAAGAGACAGGATTTACAGCAGTATTTCAAACATACATCTACAACAGCTACTGACAGATGTTAAAAGTAGGAAGGCTTCCCCCTAGTGCCCACTCTTGCTTGGAAATTCTCAATGAGACATAGCTCTTTAATACTAAGGGCACCGGCTCTAAAATTTTCTATAGAATTTCTGGAAATTTAGGGCTTGCTTCAGCTATAAAGTTGAATTTTGGATGCACAGATCTTAGAGATGATTAGATTGTGTTTAGACTAGTAACTTCAGCTTCAAGATAGTTGACCGACTAGAATTCTGTTTATTCAACTGCGAGGATCTGAGTCTTTGAGGAAGACTGTCCTTCTCATAAAAACCACCATGCCTGTATTTCCTCACCTGGAATATCAATCTCCTTCTCTCCCTGATAAAACCATAGTGTCATTCAAGGCCCAGCTTTGGTGTCACCCCTGAGATGCCTTCCCTGACTGCCACTGAGCAACTCATTTAGGTCTCATTCCTGCATGCGGTCTTTATTAAGTTCAGTTATAAATTTATCCTATCATAGTGTGATTGTTTCTCCCTGACTATACTGTGAGGTCTTCAGAGATGAGGACTGTATCTGTCTAAATTTTATATCTAGTTCCCAGTATGCTTCTTGATATATGACAGGTAGTTAGTAAATTCTTACTCTGTGAAGACATAAGTGGAAGGTTGTCTCATTCTTTTACAAGTTCATATGAGCTTGCTAACTCTCAGTCATGATGACTCATAAACTGAAACATTCAGACAGCAGCACCACTAAAAACCATGGGGATTTTATTCCTTTGGGCTTTATTTCTGAATGTATATTTTAATTATTTTTTCCTGAAGAACTTACAAAATTTTAGTTAAGGAGGCCAGGTGTGTGGCTCATGTCTATAGATTTAGCACTTTGAGAGGCTGAGATGGTGATTCATTTGAATCACAGCTTCAACACCAGCCTGGGAAGCATGGCACAACCCCGACTCTACACAAAATGTAGCTGAACTTGGTGGTCAGTGTTTGTAGTCTTGGCTACTCAGAAGGCTGAGGTAGGAGGATCCTTTGATTCTGGGATGCAGAGGTTGCAGTTATCCAAAACCACAATGCTTCATTCAAGCCTGGGCAACAGAGGAGAACCCAGTCTCAAAAAAAAAAAAAAAAGTTACATAAGGGACTGAGAGAAGTTAACTAAGTAGCATGAATTACACAAGGGATGTTAAAAATATATGGGAAGGTAGTTTAACAGAAATTGAAAAGTAAATATTTATGCAGCTGGAATAGCTAGTTGTGGAATACATTGAAGTGGATTCTTTTTTTGAGACGAAGTTTTAATCTTTTGCCCAGGCTGGAGTGCAATGGCACTACCTTGGATCATTGCAACCTCTGTCTCCCAGGTTCAAGAGATTCTTCTGCCTCAGCCTCCCAATTAGCTGAGATTAGAAGTGCCCACCACCATACCAAGTTAATTTTTGTAATTTTTGTTGAGATGTGGTTTCACCATATTGGCGAGGCTGGCCTCAAAATTTGACCTCAGGTGATCGGCCTGTTTTGGTCTCACAAATGGCTAGGATTATAAGAGTGAATCAGCATGCCCAGCTGAGTTGCAATCATTTGAAGGTGAAATTGTTATTCTCTATTTCTGTACTTTGTTTTTTGGAATTCAGGAAGGAGAGTATTTACTCAAATTTGTTATGCTTTCATTAACTTGCTTGCTAAAACGTAATGCCTTTTTTTGTTGTTGTTTATTTTGAGACAGTCTTGCTCTGTCACCAAGGCTGGAGTGCATTGGCGTGATCTCAGCTCATTGCTGTTTGGCCTACCAAGTTCAAGCAATTCCCTGCCTCAACCTCCTGAGTAGCCTGCCATCATGCCCATCTAACTTTTGCATTTTTAGTAGAGATGGAGTTTTTACCATCTTGGCTGGGCTGATCTTGAACTCCTGACCTCATGACCTTCCTGCCTCAGCCTCCCAAAGTGTTGAGCCACTGTAAGTGGCCAAAATTAATGCTTTTTTACCAGTTGAAATGAGAAACTTTATGCTCAAAGTCTTCTTTTACTTAAAGATATGTATCTGTTAAGAGAAAGAAAAGCAGAGCTGAAGCAGAGAGTTGAAGCTTTTGAATTGCAGGTATGTATGTTTATTTTGGATATTCAGAATGATGAGATTAAAAAGAATTACTAAATATATGTCTAAATATTCTCATGTTTATTACCAAGTAGAATTCTTTTTTTGTAAAGGTGGTATCACGCAGCATTAGAATTTACACTTTAAGAGAAACAAACGCGAAGGCTGTGCTTTTGAAATGTTAACTGTTAAGATGAAAGGCAGAATGAGGTGTTATCACCAGGCTACAGTAACATCAAACAGAAAATTTGGAGACACTGTTAATACTTGAACAGATCATATGTTTTAAAGTTAACTTCAGTCCTTCAGGTCTGATAGTTTTGTGTGTTTATGTATTGTGACTGAATTCCAAATATCCAGGCCTGCGTCTTTTACCAGCTCTGTGCTCAAAAAAAGGAAGTATTGTGGTTTGACTTGACTTGTACTGGATGAAACTATTTCTCAATGCTATTCGCATTGTCCAAGTGCTCAGAAATGTTTTATCATTCATATATTATCTGGGATTGACAGCAATCTCACCTGTCTGTGGTTTGCACAAGAAGCCTTCTTTTCTATTGGGAATGTGCTGTTAATTGACACCCAAAGATAATTTAGGGATTTTAGCTCATTAAATAATTTGTCTCCATCTTATTTAATGTTGTTTTCTCACTTCTCTAGGTTTGATTTTTTTTTTATTTCAGCTCGCTGTGTACCTTACTCTCTTTTTGGGAACAATGAAAAGGTAAATTAATCGAGATAGAGAAAAAAAAGAGAAACAACTTTTGGGCAGAGAGAGTGTGCCACTTTTTTTAACCTCCATTTTCTCTACTCCTTTTCCCTTCTCTCAGCATATATACTAAATCAATGTAGTTTATCTCTCCATGGCTTTCCAGATTACCAGCAGAGGGAGCTAATACCTGGAGCCTTTAACTGTTCTTAGACTAGTCAGTGTTTTATAGAACTTCTCAGGATGGCTGAATCTCATCACCTGTAAATCCACCTCCCTGGCTTAGGAATCAGTGCAATGGGTGACTTGAAGTCTCACTATGAAAATTATTTTATTCTTAAGTATTTGGAAGCCTGGAACGACCCATCTATCTGTTGCCCTCTCTTTTGGTACTTGATCAGTATTCAATCCATAGGGTTTTTTTGTTTGTTTTGTAGGGTTATTTGGTGGTGTTGTTTTGATTTTAAGAGACAGGGTCATGCTATGTTGTCCAGGCTGGTCTGAAACTCTTGGGCTCAAGTGATTCTCCTGCCTCAGCATTCTGCAAAGCTGGGATTATAGCTGAAGGCTACCATACTTGACTAAAGCTGATAGATTATTAAGTGAGAAAAACAAATATTGTACCTTACATATCTATGAGATAATTAATTAAATTCCAGAGTTACAAAGAGCATTATAGAAGATTCAAATACATAAGTACACTTTTTTTTTATTTTTGAGATAAAGTTTTGCTCTTGTTACCCAGGCTGGAGTGCAATGGCACAATCTCAGCTCACTGTGAACTCTGCCTCCGGAGTTCAAGTGATTCTCCTTCCTCAGCCTCTTGAATAGCTGGGATTACAGCTGTGTGACATCATGCTTGGCTAATTTTATATTTTTAGTAGAGATGGGGTTTCAACATGTTGGCCAGGCTGGTCTTGAACTCCTATCCTGAGATGATACACCTGCCTTGGCCTCCCAAAGTGCTGGGATTACAGGCATGAGCCACAGCTCCCAGCCCATAAGTGCACTTTTATGACTTTGTAACTAACAGTATTATTCTTTCATCCCAGAATTGATTTGGACCGTTTATCACCTTTAGCTATTGTTTAAGTGTTAATTATCTTCTATGAGAAATCACTTCTTCATTGAGACTCTCTCACTCCCCTCAGTAAGAGACCCTCCCACTCTTCTCAGTCATATGCCACAGCCCCCTGCTTCTGCTAGTTTCAACACATTGTAACTAGGTCGGTTCATAAAATACACTGAGGACTTCTGGTTCTTTTGTTTTACGTCCCAGTAGTAACTGTCATGTACTAGTTTTAGTCTGTTGAACTAAAAACATGCCACATGATGCTTTTCCTAAATGTGTTAACTCAGCTATTATAGTTTATTTACTTTATGTTTCTGCTAATTTCAGAACCCATAAACTCCAGGAAGAAAAATATAAAAGCATGACTGAGGACTTAGTAGATGGGAGCAGAATACAAAGTGTCTTGAGGAGACCTATCACAGAAACCTAAAATACAAACTTCTAGCATAATGCTTTGGCACGTTTGAAGAAGTAATTTGTTTAAATTACATTGGCAGAAACATAAAACAAAAACTAAGGAAGTATTCTAAGGTTTCCATCTTATGCAAACTTTAGTGTTCAAAAAAATACATATGTTTATCAATAGCCTATACTTTCTCACATTTGAGTTAGAGTAGTTTTTAAAAGACAAGGTATAGAAAAGCACGTCCTCTGTTCTTCTTCCTTGTGTCTTCTCAAATACTTATCAAGGGCAGTGCACATTGTGATTTACTCAGGTTGCATAGTTGATAAGCTGTAAAGTTTCAATTATAATCACTTTCAGTTACATTTTCCTCTACCCCACTCATAGTGCCACAATGATGGGGATATCTAACAATGTATAAATTACACTTAGTGGTCCAAATGTTTGTCAGTGAACATGTTCCTTGTATTCCTTCATGATTCTGCAAAGCCAGAATCAAAAGAAAGGAGGTAAAATTAACTATTTGAGGCAAAAATTGATAGAGGGAAAGAAAATATGGACAATTATGATTACTTTGGCTTTTCTCTACTCTGATCTTTTATATCAGTGAGTAATACCTCAGTGCTAAGACCTTATGCCCATGTGGTCACTTTTCAGTGGGTTTGAAAGCATCAAACACATAAAAAATTCTTAGCTAATATTTGTAGTTTACGTATCAGGAGGAAATGACGCAACTCAGGTGCCCTGGGCATTTATTTGGTCTCCTTTTATTGCCTTCCTCATAATTTATCATGAATATTCCATTACACAGAACTTGCAAAGCTTTCTTGAGGTTATTCTATAAACAAATTCTATCTTCAAAAAAAGACTAGTTTTTTTATAGATTCTGAATTCCTAATATATTCTCTATATATTTTGATAACTCCGTAGTTGTCAAGAAGTTGGCAGCAGCTTACTGCTTCTGGTACATATTACTCCTAACCATGAGAAACTTTATTTTTTACTTATAAAATGATGTATTTTATCCAATTTTTTTGTCAGTTTCTACATTAAAAGAGCTAACATGAAGTTTCTGTAGTTACTGAATTTTCAGGAATACATGTATTAAAGTATGTTTGTTAATTTTATATCATTATGGAGCTACTGAACTATTTGGTATCATTTTGACAGCTTCCATGGTCTGCATGGTGTCTTTCTGGCATTGGGAATTCTCGTATGACTTTGGCAAGTGTTGGAGTTTGGGGACTGTTCACCACAGGAGTGTTTCTTTATCCTTTTGGAATCAAAAGACAGCTTGTAAAAGCTGGGAAAGAAAAGTAAAACTGTGAAAATATGCCTTTAGGTACTGCTAATTCAGATACAATGCTCTTAGCACCTAGTTCCCCAGACTGTGCTTGTTCCCTAGGCACAAAAGTCCTTACATTTGTTTGGCCTAGGCAGATAGTACAGGTGGGATGAAAGTGATTGTCTAATTATCATGTGGGATTGAGTCTGCCGTGTGCTGTGTACATTTATTTTTCTTCCTTGCTCTTTGGGTCACCTGAGACCAACTGGAAAGTGATGCTTTCAGTAACCTTATGACAACATAACCCTCCATTTCGTATGATGGTGCTTTATAACATCAAGGCAGGGTTTTACTGGACATGTTATGTTTGAAATTCCTATCCCTGGCTTTAGTACTGAGGGACATTGAAGTTCACGTAATGTCGTCTTCAGTGCCCTCAGGTTCACCTGTACCGTAGATAAGCTCCCACATTGATAACCATCTTTCTGGAGAGATAACTATGAAATTTATATTGACTCATTATAAATATCAGGTAACAACTTGAACTAATGGATGACTCCATCATTAGAACTAATTGACTGATTGGAGAGAAAAGGAAGAATAAAGGTGAGGTTTGGGTGGGGTAAGTAGCTGTAGTTTTCAGTTTTGATACAGGTTATTAGCTTCCCAATTTGGGTCTGTTTTATATTCTAAAAAAACAAAAAAAAAACTTTATGTTTCATTGTCTCTTCGATAGTTCATATTTTTTGTAATTTTAATTATGTAAAATTAAAAAAATTGTCTTCACTGCCTTTTGAGAAACCATTATTTTTAATATTTTATATAGTCAGAAAGGCCAGTGATTGTTTCTGTATTTTTAATAAGCTTTATTTCAATATATTTTGAAAAACCTGTAATTATCAAGGTGGCAGCAACTTATTGCCTCTGGTGCCTATTACTTTTAGCATGAGATATGTTCTTTTCCACTTAAGGAAAAACTTTAACTTCTCTGTTTCCTGTGACATAGCTTCTTATTTTGTGGCCTTCTAAAATATTTTTATTTATAATATTTTTACTTTACATATAACCTCCTGATTTCTTGTGTATATTTCACTTGAAACTGGAAGATGAGTAATGTCTCAATCTTCAGATATTTTATATTTCAATATATTTTTAGGAAATTGCCTGTTAGGAGAGGTGACGTTTTGTTGGAATTTTCAATTAGACTATTGGGAGTACACCAAGGGTGGTTATTTGATGTCCAGACACCCAGTGTGTGGCTTCCGCTTTTACTACTATCTTGTGGAGACTAACCCTTCTTTTATAAATTACTACCATCATCTATGTAGCAAATTTTGCCTTGATATTATATCTACATAGATTCAAGTTAAATAAAATGAAAATGACAAAGTAATACCTACAATACAATAACAATATTGTCTTTTACAATATAGTAACAGACAGATCTTCTTCTTCAAGGAACTTAAAACCTCTCTGGTTAGCAGGTGTAGATGGTGGAATTTCACCACATAGATGACAGTTATAGCTTCACATCACCTGTTAGCTAACAGGGCTTATTTCTTACTTGCCTGTGAAAGTTTTGTCCCCTACACAGGCTATTTCATATTATAAAATAATGGTCATTAGGTCTGACATACTGGCCATAAATATTAAATAGCTTTTGTATTCACAAGGAAAACATTATGGTGTTTAAAGGGCTATTTCTTTCAGGAAAAGCTGTTTACTTGCAAGACGAACTCACAGTTAGTAATACAAAAAAGGAGGAACTCAATCAATCTGTAAGTTTTATGTAAGAACTCAAGGAATTGTTTAGCATATTTTTTTGAAATAGATTTTAATGAACATACACAATTTTAGTCATGTATAATTTATCCAAAATTTTTCTCTCGAGATGTTTAAACTGCCATTTCTACGGCAAAGATGGGGATGACTAAAGTTAACTCAACAGTTCTTAATTTCAATCAACATCATATATGAAAGTGTAGACAGTGCTTTGATTCTTAGAGTCCTCCTTGAATCCTATCTGTGTCCTAATTTCTTGTGTGCCTTTGGGCAGGTCCTTTGATTGCAGATTCCTCAGCTGTAAACCCTAGGATGTTTTCCACATTATAGGGTTGTTGAGGGAATTCAGTGAGTTAACGTATGAGCCTAGTTCATAGCAGGTGGCCAATATTATTATTGTTCTGTTTCTACATTAACCTGTTCTTTCCTTTCATCAGCAGCAGCTAAAATTTTTGACATTATAGTGTTATCTCACATATTAAAACTAAATGCAATGCATTTATCACCTGCCATTGCTTGTTTAATTTTCTGTTTATTTTTATGCTTGCTGTCTGAAGATGAAGCTGGAATTTTAGGCACTTAAAACATTTTTGCAAGTTGAACTTTTGTGAGAACTTTGTATGCCTTCTTATTCAAATATGACATAGAGAATACTAAGAAAAGAAAAGCTCTACACAAAATGTTACTTTTTTTTTTTTTTTGAGACTGAGCCTCATTATGTCATTCAGTGTGGAGTGCACTAGTGTTATATCGGCTCACTGCAATCATCACCTCCCAGGGTAAAGCAATTCTTGTGTCTCCACCTCCCGAGAAGCTCGGATTATAGCCATACCCCACCACACCAAGAAAATTATGTCTTTTTTTTGTTTTTGTTTTTTACTTTTTAATTTTTTTAAGATGGAGTCTCGTTCTGTTGCCCAGGCTTGAGTGTAATGATGCAAACTGGGCTCACTGCTACCACTGCCTTTGTTTTCAAGTGATTTTTCCTGTTTCAACCTCCTGGGTAGCGGGGAATACAGACACCTGCTACCATGCCTGGCTAATATTTATAGTTTTAGTAGAGATTGGGTTTCACCATGTTGGCTAGGGTGGTTTCAAATTTTTTACCTCAAGTGATCTGTCCATGATGGTCTCCCAGTGTGCTGGGATTACAGGCTTGAGCCAGTGTCCGGCTGCACTTTTAGTAGAGACCGGGTTTTTCCTTGTTGCCCAAGGTAGTCTGGAAATTCTGAGCTCAAGCTATCCTCTCATGTTGGCCTCCCAAAGTGCTGGAGTTACAGGCGGGAGCCACCATGCCTGGCCATTTTTACCTTACCTTTTCATATTTAAAACAAATCTATATTGCTATGATGAGTGACTGTTTTAAGTTCTTCAATGCCTATGCAAAATGAGGTTATAATCTTACTTAGAAGGACTTGCTTCATGGGATGTTGTCCATAAAACTTCCTCTGCCCCAACTGCAGGGCAGAAGACAATTTTTGTTACTGTAGTTTGGGTCTTATTGCAGAGATTCAGACATCGGTTCAGTGACCTCAGTTAAATTGTGACGCTATGCTAAAAGGAGCCTGCCAGCTTTTACTTTTGCAGCACTGTAAAGTCATCATTCAAATGCAAATTTTCCTTTTTAAGTTTCAGATTGAGTTAATGTGTGTCAAAGCACAGTCTTCGGCAATAACAAAACAAATATATTGTGAATGAAAGTGTTCAAGAGATAAGTGACTATTTACTACTAAAGGAAGAAAAACTGGAAGAGAATAAAAATAAAAACATGCATCTCTTAAACCATATGTCCACCTCCTATGTTCAAGCAATTCTCCTGCCTCTGCCTCTCAAGTAGGTAAGACTACAGGAATTTACCGCCCCCCCCCCCACCCGCTCCACACACACACAGCTAATTTTTATATGCTTAATAGAGACAGGGTTTCACCATGTTGGCCAGGCTGGTCTCAATCTTTTCACCAAAATGTTCCACTAGCCTGGGCCTCACAAATAGCCAGGATTACAGACATGAGCCACTGTGCATGGCTTGCATGTATTAGTGATTCATACTAAGTCAGTATAAAACTATGTTTTATACTTGTAAAGGAGGCTTAAATTGGAAAGATTTATAAAATTATGATTTCTGGATTAAACTCTGCTAACCTGCCTCTAGATGGTATCAAGGCATTTTTTTGCTCTCTGCCTGCTGATTGGGTTTGGCTAGTGGGGACACCAGCCTCCACATACAGTGGCCCTAGACTGGCTGCTTCATCTCAAGTCCCAGAGAGGTCATAGTGCCTGTGATGACATCTTTCAAGTGCTCTGAACCATCTCTGTCTCTCCAGTGCTGAGAATTTCTCTCTCCCCTAATTCTCCATTCCCAAGGAGTACAAAGAGTATGGTCCTGTTACTATCCCAGGGAACTCCACCATCTTTTTTAGATACCCTGAATAAGTCCCTCTTTATTAAAAAGTTCTTAGATGACTTTGACTGTGGGGACCATCTGCCTTCTGTCTGGATCCCAGCTACTTCTTACAGATGCACAAATTATATTGGATCTCGAGTCTGTCACCAAAAGGTAGACCAAATAGCACCTTGTGTGTATGATAGAGGATAGAAACAGGCTTTCAGGTTAATATGAGAGTTTGAAAGAGTTCTTTTTCTTTCTGTGCCATCATGCATTCCACAAACAATGAATGAATTGTTGTTTTTCCTGCAGCAAATCAGTTGTCATGTTTTAAAAATGGTTTAGTAGTTCCAACAAATATAGATGAGCCATGCTAACTCATTGTTGTAATTTTCAGTCACTTAAAGATATATGAGTTTGAGCATCTTTTTGTTTGCTTGCCATCTTCGTATTTTCATTGGTGTGTTCAGCTCTTTACTCATTGTTAATTAGGTATTATATCTTATTTTTGAGTTTCAAGATTGGTGTATTTTCAGTGCAAGTTTTTACCCAGATCTGTATTTTGCAGATATTTATTTTCAGTGTGTTGCTTATCTTTCTATTTCCTGAACAAGATTTTACTCAGAGTATAAGCTTTTAATATGAGAAACCTTAAATTATTAATTTTTTTTTTACCATTGCTGATCGGCTTTGTTGTCATTTGTTAAAACTTATGACCAAATCCAAGATCACATACATTTATGTCTGTGCTTTCTTCTAGAATTTGCATAGTTTTACATTTCCAGTTAATGGCTCCTTCACCATTAAAAAAAAAAAAATGAAGGGGAATTGCTGGCAAGATTGCTGAATAAAAACAGCTCCAGATTGCAGCTCCCAAAGAGATCGATGCAGAAGGTGAGTGATTCCTGCATTTCCACCTGAGGTACACTGCTCATCTCACTGGGAATGGTTGGACAGTGGGTGCAGCCCATGGAGTGTGAGATGAAGCAGGGTGGGGCATCACCTCACCCGGGAAGCCCGAGAAACCAAGGGCCCTATTCCAGATATGTGCTTCTCCCGTGGTCTTCACAACCTACAGACCAGGATATTCCCTTTGGTGCCTACCCCATGAAGGCCATGGGTTTCAAGCACAAAACTGGGCAGCTGTTAGAGCAAACACTGAACTAGCTGGAGGAATTTTTTGTTTGTTTGTTTGTTTGTTTTCATACCTTAATTGTGCCTGGAATGTTAAGGAGACAGAACCGTTCACTCCCCTGGAGAGAGGTGATGAGGCCAAGGAGCCAAGTGGTCTGGCTTGGGGAGTGACACCCCCTACAGAGGCAAACAAACTAAGGTTCACTGGCTTGAAATTCTCTCTGCCAGCACAGCAGCAGTCTGAGATCGACCTGAAATACTCGAGCTTGTCTGGGGGGAGGGTCATCCGCCATTGCTGAGTCTTGAGTAGGCCATTTTACCTTAGTAGTGTAAATAAAGCCACAGGAAAGTTTGAATTGGTTGGAGCCAACTGCAGCTCAGCAAGGCTGATGTGGCTAGGCTGCCAGATTTCTCCTCTCTGTGCAAGACATTTCTGAAAAAATGATAGAATCCCCAGTCAGGGGCTTATAAATAAAACCCCTGTCTCCCTGGGACAGTACATCTGGGGGAAGGGGCAGCCATGGATGCAGCATCACAGACTTCAACATAACTGCCTGATGGCTGTGAAGAGAGCAGCAGACGTCCTATCACAGTGTTTGAGCTCTGCTAATGGTCAGACTGCCTTCTCAAGTGGATCCATGGCCTCTGTGTATCCTGACTGGGAGACACCTCATACAGGAGAGCACTGGCTGGAATCTGAAGGTGCCCCCTGGGGATGAAGCTTCCAGAGTAAAGAACAGGCAGCCATCAATGAGACAGAAAATTAACAAGGATTTGCAGGACTTGAAATCAGCTGTGGACTAAGTAAAACTAATAGACATCTGCAGAACTATCCACCCCCAATCAACAGAATATACATTCTTCTCGGTGTCACATAACATGTATTCAAAAATTGACCACATAATTGGAAGTAAAACACTCCTCAACAAATGCCAAAGAATGCAAATTATAACAAAGAGCCTTCCAGACCACAGTGCAATCAAATTAGAACCCAGATTAAGAAACTCACTCAAAACCACACAACAACATAGAAATTGAACAGCCTGTTCCTAAATCACTGATGAGTAAATAACAAAATAAGGAAGAAATAAAGATGTTCTTTGATACCAATGATAATGAAAACACAACATATCACCATCTCTGGGACACATTTAAAGCAGTGTGTAGAGAAAAACGGATAGCACTAAATGCCCACAAGAGAAAGCAGGAAAGGTCTAAAATAGATACACTAACGTCAAAATGAAAAGAACTAGTGAAGTAATAGCAAACCAATTCAACAGCTAGCAGAAGACAAGAAATAACTAACATCAGAGCAGAACTAAAGGAGATAGAGACACCAAAAAAAAACTTTCAAAAATCAGTAAATCCACGCACTGTTTTTTTGAGAATATCAACAAAATAGATAGACCACTAGCCAAAGCAATAAAGAAGAAAAGGAGAGAAAAATAAAATAGATGCAATAAAAAGTGATATAGGCAATATCACCACTGATCCCACAGAAATACAAACTACCATCAGATAATTCTATAAACAGCTCTATGCAAATAAACTAGAAAATCTAAAAGAAATGGAGAAATGCCTTGACATATACACCCTCCCAAGTCTACACCAGGAAGACGTTAAATTCATGAATAGACCATTAACAAGTTCTGAAACTGAGGCAGTAACTGAGAGCCTACCAACCAAGAAAATCCTGTACCAGACAGATTCATAGCCGAATTCTACCAGAGATACAAAGAGGAACTGGTACCATTCCTTCTGATATTATTACAAACTAAAAAAAGGAAATCCTCCTTAAATAATTTTATGAGGCCAGCATCATTCTGATGCTAAAACCTGGCAGAGCCTCACCAAAAAAGAAAATTTCAGACCAATATGCCTCATGAACATTGCTGTGAAAATCCTCAATAAAATACTGGCAAACTGAATCCAGCAGCACATCATAAAGCTTATCCACCACGATTACGTCAGCCTTATCCCTGGGATACAAGGCTAGTTCAACATACGCATATCAATAAATGTAACACATCACATAAACAGAACAAACGACAAAAACCACATGATTATCTTCATAGATGCAGAAAAGGCCTTCATCAAAATTCAACACCACTTTATGTAAAATCTCTCAATCAACTAGGTAAGGATGGAACTTATCTCAAAATAATAAGATCTACTTATGGCAAAGCCACCGCCAATATCATAGCGAACGGGCAAAAATTGGAAGCATTCCCTTTGAAAACCTGTACAATGCAAGGATACACTCTGTTGTCACTCTTATTCAAAATTGTATTGAAACTTCTGGCCAGGGCAATCAGGCAAGAGGAAGAAATAAAGGGTATTCAAATCAGAAGAGAGGAAGTCAAATTGTCTCTGTTTGCAGAGGTCATTATTATAAACTTAGAAAACCCGCCATCTCAGGGCAAAATCACCCTGAGCTGGTAAGCACCTTCAGATAAGCCTCAGGATTCAAAATCAATGTGCAAAAATCACAAGCATTCCTACGCACAATAACAGAGAGACAGTGAAATTATGGGTAAACTCCTATTCACAGTTGCTACTAAGTGAATAAAATACCTATGAATAAAACTTACAGGGGATGTGAAGAAACTATTCAAGGAGAACTTCAGACCAATGCTCAAGGAAATAATAGAGGGCATAAAGAAATGAAAAAACCTTCCATGCTCATGGATAGGAAGATCAATATTGTAAAAATGGCCATACTGCCCAAAGTAATTTATAGATTCAATGCTATCCCCATCAAGCTACCAATCACTTTCTTCACAGAATTGGAAAAAAACCTTAAAATTCATATGGAACCAAAAAAGAGCCTGCACAGCCAAGACAATCTTAAGCAAAAAGAACAAAGCTGGAGGCATCACACTACCTGACTTCAAACTATATTACAAGGCTACGGTAACCAAAACAGCACGGTACTTGTACCAAAACAGATATATAGACCAATGGAACAGCACAGTGGCCTCAGAAATAATACGACACATCTACTACCATCTGATCTTTGACAAACCCGAAACAAGCAAGCAATGGGGGAAATATTTTCCCTTTAATGAATGACGTTGAAAAAACTGGCTAGCTATTCAGAAAACTGAAACTGGACCACTTCCTTACACCTTACACAAAAATGAACTCAAGATGGATTAAAGACTTAAACATAAGGATTAAAACCATAAAATACCTCGAAGAAAACCTAGGCAATACCATTCAGGACATAGGGCATGTGCAAAGTCTTCATGTTTAAACACCAAGAGCGATGGCAATAAAAGCCAAAATTGACAAATGGGATCTAATTAAACTAAAGAGCTTCTGCACAGCAAAATAAACTATCAACAACGTGAACAGACAACCTACAGAATGGGTGAAAAATCTTGCAATCTATCTACCTTGAGACAAGGCTAATATCAGGAATCTACAGGGAACTTAAACAAGTTTACAAGAAATAAACAAACAACCTCATCAAACAGTGGGCAAAGGATATGAACAGACACTCCTCAAAAGAAGACTTTGATGCAGCCAACAAACATATGAAAAAATGCTCATTAAATTATCACTCGTTATTAGAGAAACACAAATCCAAACCACAGTGAGATACCCTCTCAAACCAGTTAGAATGGCGATCATTAAAATAGCAGAAAACTGCAGATGCTGCAGACAATGTGGAGAAATAGAAATGCTTTTACAGTGTTGGTGGGTTTGTTAATAATTTAACCCTTGTGGAAGACTAGGATCTAGAACGAGAAATACCATTTGACCCAGCAATCCCCTTACTGCGCATATAACCAAAGGACTATAAATCATTCTACTATAAAGACACATGCACATGTACATTTATCGCAGCACTATTCACAGTAGCAAACACTTGGAAACAACCCAAATGTGCATTGATAATAGACTGAATAAAGAAAAGGTGACACATATGCACCATGGGATAGTGTGCAGCCGTAAAAGTGGATGAGTTCATGTCTTTTGCAGGGACATGAAAGAAGGTGGCAAACATCATTCTCAGCAATCTATCAGAAAAATAGTAAACCAAACACCACATGTTCTCATTTTCAAGTGGGAGTTGAACAATGAGAACACATGGACACAGGGAGAAAAACATCACATGGTGGCGGGTGGTGGGATAGTGCGGAGAAAACATTAGGAGAAATACCTAATGTAGGTGATGAGTTGATGGGTGCAGCAAACCACCATGGCATGGTAGTTTGCATTTCTCTAATGGCCAGTGATGATGAGCATTTTTCGTATGTTGGCTGCATAAATGTCTTCTTGTGAGAAGTGTGAACACACACTTTTCAAAGGACATACAGGCAGCCAATAAACTTATTTTTAAAAGCTCGATATTATTGATTATTAAAGAAGTGCAAATCAAAGCAAAAAAAAAAGTGAGATACCATCTCATACCTGTCAGAATGGCTATTATTGTAAAGAAAAGTTATAACAGATGCAGGCGAGGTTACAGAAACCAAGGAAAAATTATGCACTGTTGGTAGGAATGTAAATTAGTTCAACTGTTGGGGAAAGCAGTAGGGCAATTCCTCAAAGACTGGAAAGCAGAACTACTGTTCAACCCAGCATTCCCTTTACTGGATATGTACTCAAAGGAATATAAATCATTATACCATAAAGACACATGAATGCAAATGTTCATGCGGACTATTCCCAACAGAAGACATGGAATTAATCTAAATGCCCATCAGTGATGGTTTGGATTAAAGAAAATGTGGCACATACTCACAAAAAATACTATGCCGCCATAAAAAAGAATACAGTTATGCCTTTGAGGGAACATGGATGGAGCTGGAGGATATTATCTTTAGCAAAGTAATGTAGGAACAGTAAACCAAATACCACATATTTTCACTAGAAGTGGGAGCTAAATGATGACAACTCATGAACACAAAGAAGGGAACAATAGACATGGGACCTACTTGAGGGTGGAGGGTGGGAAAAGAGAGACCAGCAGGAAAAATAATTATTGAGTTCTAGTCTTAATACCTGGGTGATGAAATAATCTGTACAACGAACGTCCATGACAGGAGTTTACCTATATAACAAACCTTCACATGTACGCCTGAAACTAAAATAATAATAAAAAAAGAAACCAAGATAATAGGCAACATTTCCATTTGAATTTCTAAAATGACGGCTTTGAACAGTCTGACCTCTGCTTTTATTTGGTGCCGCAGGCCAGCCAGGTGGGGCGTCGCACGCACGCGGCTGCTTCACCTTGACCATGAGTGTCCTGCAGTTCTTCCGGCTGCTAGCAGGGGACGCAAGAGTCTGCCTTTTCTGACCCTGGGAGTGCAGGTGTTTTCAGCGCATGCTGCTTGAGGGGGAGAGCAGCGTTCTTCTCAGCACAGACCAGAGCAACAACGCCTTGCTGTGGGACAGCTGGAGGGAGTGGTAAATAAAAATTTCCCTCTGACTGCTGAGGATCAGGGACCCAGGAGAAGGGCTTCTTGTGGAAAATTAAACATAAAAATATCCCATGGCTTTAAGTGCACCCCAACGTCCTTCCCCACACGCAATTTGTGGTGGCCACAATGCCAGGTCCACACCGTGGCCTCGTGCCACAAATGTATCATTCATCATATAACATCTGTAATAGAAATATAACATCTGTAAACAAATATATCAACCATAATACAGATGTGTCATTCGTAATACTAATGTAACACCTGAAATACTCATCTAACACCCGTATTACCACTGTAACACTCATTAACAGCAATAAAACACTCATAATACCAGTATACCATCTGAAACACAAATATAACAACCGGAATACTTATCTAAGACCCATAATACAAGTGCCAAGCTCATAATACCAATATACAACCCACAATACAAATGAAACATCCATAACACTTGTGTAATAATGCTGTCCTGACACCTGTAATACAACTGTAACACTCATAATACCATTATACCACTCATAATACCATTATATCATCCTGCAATACAAATATAGCAACCGTAATACTGATGTAACAACTGTAATACTGATGTAACACCGGTAATACTAACACCCATAATACTAACACAACATTTGTAATACAAATGAAACAACCATAATATGATGTAACACCCATAATTACTGATGTAACTCTCAACATAAAGATGTAACACCTGCAATGCTGTCATAACATTCCTACTCTTACCAGGGCACTTTTTTTCAGAGCTTCCACTGAGCTGGATTTGGGTTGGATTTGGCCTCTATAATGATGTTTGATGTTGTTGTCTCTGCTTTAGTGACAAGGTATTGACATGGTTGTTTTTATTAAAAAGTAGTTTATTTCTCAATAATTTCATACTTCTAGGAAACTTCCAATAGCTATTAGTATAGAGTAATCCTCTCTCCCAGAATCTCCAGTGGTTTCTGCTGTGCCAGATTTGAAGCTTTATGCAAAATATCCCAGTGGGTTTTACAAAAAGTGGAGACATTCTCCAAGGGTACCACCACATAACTACAACATCGGGAAATACAGGGTTGGTACTGGTAAGGGTAATGGCAAAATATTCACTTACAAACACAAGTTTCATCCTGTCACTCTCCTGATTTAATTTTGCCAATGGTTTCCCACTGACCTTAGAACAAGAACCATAGAACTCACCATAGCTGCAGACCCCAAGTTCTCCTGCCTGTTTCCTGTGCCCACTCAGTCTGCTCAACTACCTGCAGTCTCATCTGATTTTAATTGTGGTAACACAGTGTCTGGAGTGTCTCAGGAATTTTATGTGCTATCTCTCAATCTATTCACCTAGTGCCCACACTTATCTAATTTCCCAAGGCTTTGTCCAGCTAATAAAGTCAGAGCTTGTGCTATTTAACTGTAGAAAAGATAATGATGTGCTGTTTCTAAAGATAAAAAGAAATTCATTATTTGTTAGATAATTGATGAGATCACTCTCAATTTATAAATCAAGGAAATAATAGTTAATGCAATGAAAGTTCATGTTTGGGGAAATTAGTAAATAAAACATCTCAGTGCTGAAGACTAATGACACTATTAATTATTGAAATTACATAAGAATTTATCGGGCAGACTGTTACCTTGCTATCTTCCGTAACCGTGTGTTATTATTTCCAAGTTATGTTAGGTTTAAGTACTTACATGTAACGTAGTCCATCAATACATTTAAGTGACAAAAAAGCCCTAGAACACGACATGACAATTCATATAAATATTTGTAAACCTCCTTAACTGTATAGTGTAAAGTAAATAAAGTAAGCTTAGATATTTAAGCAGATGAATTGTTAATATTTGAATATTGAAATGCTGTGAGGGTATGTAATTATGTCACAGCTTTGATATGAGACTTGGGGCATTTGTGTACCCATGTACCTCATTAACTTAATGACTTCCCTTATTACTTCCTGCTGGATGATAAATTTTGGGCCCATGGAGGCTGAGGGACAAACTATCAGCTCTACTGGAAACTTTAGTCCAGCAAGAAAGTTTTCATTTCAGAATATTATTTCTTGCCAGGTATTTATTTTCTCATCCAAGCAAACTTGCTCCCCAGCAGTATTGTTAACTTAGCTGCTCCTTAAGTCGAGCTGGATAGGACTAATTTTCCCACACGGAATCACATGACTATGAGAAAAGCTTATTTAGGAAACACCTGATGGAGTAAAACTTATATATTTTACTGGTCATCTTTTTATGTGCTTGTATTCCATATGCATGTCTTTTTGGTGAAGTGTGTATTCAACTACTTCTCTGTTTTGTACCTGGATTGTTTGTCTTTTATTTTGTTACTGAGGTATGCAAAGTCTTCATACATTGTCGATAGCAGACTGTTGTTACATACATAAAATGCAAGCCTTCCTTTCTGTACCATGTCTTTTCACTTTCTTGACAGTGTCTTTTGATGCACAAAAATGTTTAATTTTGAGAAAATTCTTTCTTTAGTTGACTGTGCTTTTGGTATCAGATCTAAGAAACCACTGCTAAATCCAACATTATGAAGATCTATCCCCATATATTCTTCTAAAGTTTCTTTTTTTACCTCTAATATGTAGGCTTTGAAACATTTTCTGTTAATTTTATGTTCTGTTGTGAGAAAAGTACAATTTCTTTGTCTGAATGCGGTATTCAGTTGCATAACAGCATTTGTTGAATTTACTGATCTTGGTTACCTGTCAAAAATCAATTGACTATAGAGGTACAGTTGGAATTAACCTTCAGTTCCATTGACCTCTGTGTGTGTCCTTACACCAGTATTATGCTGTTTTGATGACTGCTGCTTAGCAGCAATATTTGTTTTTGTTTTCAAGAATATTTTGGCTATTCAGCATCCCCTGAAATGTATATGAATGTTAGAATTGGCTTGCCCATTTCTGCCAAAAGGACTTTGGTATTTTCATAGAAATCACAATGAATTTGTAGTTTGCTTTGTGCAGTATTGTCACATAAGAATCATCTTCTAATCCAAAAGCACTGAGTATCTTTACGTTTATGAAGGGTTTCTGGAATTTATTTCAGCAGTATTTTGTAATTTTTCATGTCTAATTCTTGCACCTTGATAAAAGTTCGTCTTGAAAACTTTATGATCGTTGGCTTTTTGTTGTTGCTCTTTGAGACAGGGCCTTATTCTTTGGCCCATGTGGGAACGTACTTGTGCAATCATAGCTCACTGCAGCTTCAAACACTTGGGCTTGAGCAATCCTCCCTGCTTGGCCTCCCAAAGTACTGGAATTACAGGTGTAAGCCACAACATTCAGCCTGTTTTGTTGTTGTTGTTGTTGTTTGTTTGTTTGTTTTTGGTTTCTGTTTTGAAAGTTGAAAAGGATAATTTGCTTTATAATCAATGAAAATATAGTACTTTGAATTGGCCAGAAGACATAATGCACAAGAACTCTAAGTTGTATAGTTGACTTATCAACCACCTGGGTAAAGTTCAATTACTTCTTAAAAATTTGTAGCTGTTAACCTTCCCAAATTGTCTTTAAATAAACTCCTTGAATTGTAGTAATAAAAAAATGAGATGACAAGACACATTAAAACAATACTGAAGTTTATCAAAGGACTTAAGGAATTTCAACTCATATCTCTCTTTTTCTTCCTTTCTTTTTTCTTTCTTTCTTTCTCTCTTTCTTTCTCTCTCTCTCCCTTCCTTCCTTCCTTCCTTCCTTCCTTCCTTCCTTCCTTCCTTCCTTCCTTCCTTCCTTCCTTCCTTTCCTTCTTTCTTTCTTTCTTTCTTTCTTTCTTTCTTTCTTTCTTTCTTTCTTTCTTTCTTTCTTTCTTTCTTTCTTTCTTTGTCTTTCAGACAGGGTCTCACTTTTTGTCAAGTGTGGACTACAATGAGCCATCATGGCTCATTGCAGCCTGCAGCTTCTCACTCCCGGGCTCCTTTGAATCTGTCTGCCTTAGCTTCCACTGCAATACCTGGCTAATTATTTTTCTTTTTCTTTCTTTTTTATTTTCTTGGAGACAATGGTTTGCCATGTTGCCTGGGCTCTTCTGAAACCTCTGGGCTCAAGAGATGTGCCTGCCTTGACTTCTCAAAGTGCTGAGATTACAGGCATCAATACAACATTTATTGTGTCAGGGTCAGTAAAAATAAATCAATGTTTTGGCTAAGTTATGAGCATACCTATAATGCAATTATTTGAATAACTCCAGCAATGCTATGGGCAGCTACAAACTGAAGAATTTTATTAACAAATAACTAAACACATAAAAACACTTAGCCCAATTGTTTAACTGAAAAACATGTTTATTAGTTCTAGTTTCCAGCATTTTCTAGATCATCATTGTTCATTTTAAAAGTCATATCCATAGGATAAAGCAAAACCACCTATGAATTGCCATATTTGTTTATTTCTCAGTTATGAAAATGTCCTTAATTTGTTGACATTGCAAACAAATTTCAACTCTGTTATGAAAAACTGAAGACAACCTTCATAGCAATTAATTTTATAGTTACATTGCATACAGGGAATGTACTGTCTGTGAAAAAATACAAACTCAACTACAAGTCTTAAACACTGAAAAGAGTTACCAGGTGATTATAATTTATTTTATTATATCAATCTATTGTATTGATACACAATCAATTGTATTTACATACAATCTAGAAAGTTTACAGCCGTCAGAAATTCTAGTGCAGTTTTATGTGAAATCAGAATTTAAAAATCCCTGTGGAGCTGTAGGTATAGTAAAATGTGTAGGTAAAATATGTGCATGCTCTTGACAGTGCTCATGAAGGGATGTCTCTCAAATTGACCTCAATGGTTTTCTTCTCAGCAAAATGGCCTGGGCCACTCAACTACTGTTTCATTATTGCTGATGTTTGTGCAGGATTTTTTCTAAAAATTTATGACTCAAAAGACATTATTTGACATCATGGCATTAGGGTTTTCAAAACCGCTAGAGATTTTCTTTTCTTCATCCATTATATTTTAAAGGAATTCGACGTTGATTTCTCAGGAACTTGAACAGTTTCTGGTTAGCCCCACAGTGATTCCAGCCAGGTCCCAATATAGTAGCACAGCCTCAACTCAAAGGCTGTCCCAGACCTCGGCTGCCTGATATCTGTGTCTTTCAGGGCAGTGGGAAATATTCCAGCTGCTTCTTCTTTTTTTTTTAGAAATAAAGTTGTCATCTTAATTTCATTTTTATAGGGTTTATTACTAGTGAATAGAAATAGATTTTGTGGCCAGGTGCAGTGGCTCATGTCTGTAATTTCAGCAATTTAGGAAGCCAAAGTGGACATACCATCTGAGGTCAGGAGTTCAAGACCAGCCTGACTGACACGGAGAAATCCAGTGTCCACTAGAAATACAAAATTAGCCGGGCATGGTGGGACATATCTGAATCCCAGCTACCCAGGGGGCTGAGGCAGGAGAATCACTTGAACACAGGAGGCTGAGGCAGGAGAATCGCTCGAACCCAGGAGACGGAGGTTGCGGTGACCCGAGATCGTGCCATTGCATTCCAGCCTGGGCAACAAGAGCAAAACGCCATCAAAAAGAAAAAAAAAAAAAAAGGTGTTTTTTGTGTTGATATTCTGTCCTGTTATTTTTCTTAATTTGTTTCCTAGATTTCATAATTTCTAGATGGTTCCTTATGGTTTTCTGTGTATGAGATCTGTGAATAGTTTTACTTTTCTCTTCCACATATGAATAGCTTTGTGTGTGTTTGCATATATATATGTAATTGTTCTTCTGGAACTTCTAGTACAGGGTTTAATACAGTTGAGCATCAATGCTGTGTTCCTCATCTTAAAGCTTTCATTCCCAACAATTTAGATGATGATTATTATCGGTTTTGCATAAAGATGTTTTATCATGGGAAAAAATTGAAATACAGTTTATTGGATTTTTAATTATTAAATGTGTTGACTGTCTTTAAGTACTTTTTATAAAAGTTGAGACAAACGTGGTGTATTTCAACATTTGATTTACATAATATGTTGAAAAGGGATGACGTTAGAATGGTAAAAAAAAAACAAAACTTGATTTTCTGAGAAAAGATCTTAAACATCGTGGTTTATAATGTCTTCACTTATTTGGTTAAAGATTATAATGTCTATAGTTAGCAGATATAGTAACATTTAGTTTTTTGTCCCAGTGATACCATTTGTTTAATTCAACACTAATTTGGGCTTAAAAAGAGATATGACTTCTTGTACTCTTATGGGTATAAGGGGCTAGAGGTTAGAGTCATACAGGATGTATTTAAAGTTTTTTAAGCATAATGGTGTAACCTTAAGGATAGAATAGAAACGGAGGATTGGGATAGGGTTTACAATTGCAGAAAAAGTTCAGGATTAGATTGAGGGTTAGGGCTGGGCTTGAAATAAGATTTAGTGTTGTGGTAGGATTAGGGTTCCAGTTAGGGTTAAGATTAGGTTTATGGGTTAGGGTTGAGTTTAGGGCTAGGGGTCAGAATCAGGGTTAGAGGTTAGGTTTGGGGTTGGGTTATGCTTAGGTTTAGGGTAAAAAGACAGGCTTCCAGTTAGAGGTTAGGAATCAGGGTCCTGGCCGGGGTTAGTGTTAGTATTGAGGTTTAGTGTGAGGGTAAGTGTTAGAGTATTTCAGTATTTGGGTTAGTGTTTAGCATTAGGATAGGGCTTAGGGTTACATGTAGGGTTAGAGTTCAGGGTTCTGGGTTAGGGTTTAGGGATATTGTTAATGATAGTGATCAACATTTATGGTTAGATGTTAGTGATAGTGTTGGGCATATGGTTGGGGTTTTTGATTTAAGTTTAGCATGACTGTTAAGGCTGAGTTTGTGTTGAGGTTGAGGTTAGTGGTCACAATTAGGGTAACAGTTAGGGTTCAGTTTAGAGTTTAGGGTTAGGGTTAGGGTTTAGTGTTAGGGTTTTGTTTAGTGTTAAGGTTAGGGGTTAGCATTTATTGTTAGTGTTAGTATTAAGGTTTTTGTAGAGTTAGGGGCTAAGATTAGGTTTAGGTTAAGGGTTTAGTTTTAATTAGGGTTACAGATTTTGCTTTAGGACTAGGGTTAGTGTTAAGGGTTAGGTTTTCTCATTTAGGGTTCAGGTTATGATTAGGTTCAGTGTTTAGGATAAGAGTTATTTTTAGGTTTGGTGCTAAGGTTAAGATTATGTTAGAATTATGTTAGTTTTACTCTTAGGATAAAGGTATTAGGGTTAGTGTTAGTGTGAGTTTTAGAGTTATGGGATGCAGTTAAAGCTACCTTCAGTGTTTTTGGGATTTGGGGATTTATAGTTAGAATTAGGGTTAGCTTTATGTGGTAGTGTAAGGGTTCCGATTAGAGTTTGGGTGAGGGTTAGGTTTAGGATTCAGGATGAGGGTTAAAATTAGGGCAAGTGTTATGCTTAGTGTTAGAGTTATAATTAAAATGTTTGGTTTATTGTTAAAATTTAGGATTAGGGTTTAGTGTTAGTTTGTGGTTTAACATTGGGTGCCTGGTTGTGGTTGAGTTAGGGTTAGGATGATGGTCAAAGCGTTTGGCTAAAGATTAGGCTGAGGGTTAGTGTTAGGCTTAGAGTAGGGCTTTTGATGAGGTGTTAGTGTTAGAGTTAGGGTTTAGGGTTTTGCTAAAGGTTAGGGCATTGTTTAGGGTTAGTGTTATAATTAGGTTTAGGATTTGGGCTTAGGATTCTCTGTTTAGTGTAAAGTAGGGTTTATGTTTATGTTTGGGGTTGGTGTTCATGTAGGGGTAGGGTTAAGTTGAGGGTAAAAGGGTTAGGATTTGTGGTAAGGTTAGGCTTAGTGTTAGGCTTACTGTTAGGGCGTACATTTGGGGTTGGTGTTAGTGTTGAAGTTCCGGTTAGGATTTGGGGTAGGGATTAGGAATAGAGTTTTCAGTTAGTGTTAGGGTTTAGGATTAGTGTTGGGTATTAGCATTTTAGTTAGGGTTACAGTTAGGGACTAAGGTTTAGTTTAGCATTTAGGGTTAGGGTTTTGGTTTATGGATACAGTTACAGGTTACAGTTAGAGTTTATGGTTTAGGATTAAGATTATAGTTAGGTTTTAGGCTTTAGGTTTAGAGTAATGATTTAGGCTTATTTTTATTAATGGGTTTAGAGTTAGGTTGGTTTTAATGTTAAAGTTCAGGTTTCATGCTTTTACAGTTAGGATTAGTGTTATTGTTAGGGTTATGTGTTGAGTTTGTGGTTAGGTGTAGTTTTTCAGTGTTTTATTGTTAACATTAGGATTACATTTAAAAATAAGGGGTTTGCTTTGGGTTATGTTTTCAAGGTTAGATTTTGGACTAAGTGTTAGGGTTAGTATTTAGGGGAAGAATTACATTTAGGTTATCAGATAGAGTAACTTTTATGTTTAGTGTTACAGGGTATGCGTTTAGTGTTTAGCATACAGCGTTTAGGTTACAGCGTTACAGGTTAAAATTCAGGGTTAGAGTTAGCTTTAGGATATAGAATTAGTGTTAGGGGTTAGTATTAGGGTTGGAGTTTAGTGGTTGTGGGTCTGTTGGTGTTACAGATAGGACACCGTGTTAGAATTAGGATTCAGATTAGAATTATTGTTTAATGTTATTTTTAGGGTTAGGGTAAGAGTAGATTAAGCTTTAGGGTTATAGTTATGGTGAGTGTTTAAATTTAGATTAAGGGGTTCAGGTTATGTTTATTAATATGATTACAGTTGAGGTTACAATTATTGGTTAGAATTAGTGTTAGGATGAGCATTAGGATACAGATTGCAGTAACACATTAGGGTTAGAGTTAATGTTAGTAGTCAGGCTTAGGGTCAGGGGTTAGGATTAGGTATAGGGTTAGGGTTGACCTAAAGATTAATGTTAGGATTAGGGTTTAGGTTTTATGTAACAGCTAGGTTTCACTGTCATGTAGGTGTAGGGTTAAGGTAGTAATAAGAGTTTTAGCATTCGGGTCAGGGGTTAGTATTAGACTTATTGTGAATGTTATGATCATGCTCAAAAAGCAGGTTTAGAAGTTAGAATTTAGGGTTAGATTTAGGGGTTGTTGTTAGTGTTAGGCTTAACATTAGCTTTTGAGGGTTAGAGATGGTTTTTTTGCTTACTGTTAGTGTTTTTGTCTTACGGTTAGTGTTTCAGGGTTAAGGTTTTAGGCTTAGAGCTTAAGTTCAGGTTTCTGTAATGTTTGCATTACACTTGGATTAGGGTTATTTTCAGGGTCAGGGTCAAATTCAGGTTTAGCTGTTAGATTTAGGATTTAGAGTTGGGATTTGTTTTAGGGTTTAGGTTTTGGTGAGTGGCTAGGCATAGGGTTGATGTTGGGGTCAAGTCTGTGGCTTAGAGTTGCTGTTAGTGTTAGGGATTCCTGCTTAGGATCGGGGTAGAGGCTGAGTTAAGGTTAACGTTATGATTAAGTTTAGGGTTACAGAAGGCACTGGGCAGCTGGCTAGTGTATTAAGTCATCACTCTTTTTTGTAGAAGGGAGGACTGAGCCTTTCTCCCAGAACTTTTCTGGGTCTAAGCTCCGGGCCATCTTAATGCTCATTGTGCAGCCTCATAGGTTAGGAGCCAAAGGAAGTTGGCTTCTGAGGCCACAGCTTTTCTAAATGTCAACCCAGAGCTAACCAAATCCACAGTAGCTTGTGTTTGAGAATGGCAGGTGTTTTGAGGTAGTCTCTGGAAGGCCCAAAGGAAGGGAAGTGGGAAAATGTGAAAGTAAAATGCTGCAGCTGCTGTGGAAAATAGTTTGGTGTTCTGCAAAAGCTAAATATAAAATTACCATAGGACCCACAACATCCACTCCAAGCTGTATATACAAAAAATGTAAAAGAGGTATTCAAAGAAAAACTTGTATACATATGTTCATAGCAGCATTCACAATAACTAAAATCTGGAAACACAACAAATAAATGTCCACCAGCAAAATGTAAGAAGCAAAATGTAGTATGCCCATAGAATGGCATAATATTCAGCTGTGAAGAGGATGACAACTCTAATGCTACAATGTGAGGAAACTTCAAAGCAATTTTGGCTCAAGAAGGTGAAGACAAAAGTCACATAGTGTATGATTTTATTTATGTAAATATTTAGAATAAGTAAATCCATAGAGAAAAAAGTGCAGATCACTTGTTGCTGGTGTCAGAAAGAGGACAGATTGGGTAGGAGCTTCTTAATAAGTAGGGTATTTCCTTTTGGAATGATGAAAATAATTTGGAACTAAGATGCGGTTGTTGCCCACAAATATGCATGTACTAAAGATCACTAAGGAATTCATTAACAAACAGTTAATTTTATATTATGAGAAGGAAATTGGCCTCACTAAAAAGAGAAAATTTCTTCCTCAGCATTCTCTCAGCAATGTGAGCTCTCTTTCCACAGAGTGCTTGTAGCATGGGGTTCTGGTCCATCCACAGCCCAGAACTTCCCGGGGCCTGGCCAGCCACATACTAGACATGAACTCCCGCCACCCTGTCCAGCAGCTCCTCGACCTGTTACCAGTGGAAGTTATCTGAGTTACTGGTGTCAAATCTATCATGGTCTGCAGTAACTTAAACTCTTACTTCCTCAGAAGAAAGAATTTGACTGAGGGGAATAAAGTAGCAAAGGAGACTGAGAAAAGTTTCCCAGCAGACATGGATGTTTATTTAAAAAGTTTTAGAGTAAGAAAATGGAGAGTGCCCTTGGGAGAGATCCAAGTGGTTGATTTGAACACATACCATATATATGACCTGCAAATATTTTGTCCTATGCTGTTGGTTCTCTTTCCACTATGCTGACAGTGTCCTTTAATGCACAAAAGTGTTTAGCTTTGATGAAGTTCAGTTGATCTATATTTTCTTATGTTTTGTGTTCATTCAGTGATATAGCCAAGAAATCATTTACAGATCCACAGCCAATAAGCACATGAAAAGATGTTCAAAATCACTAGCCACTTAATACATGAATATCTAAATGAGAATAAGATTACCACTTTATCTCCATTGGAATTTTTTATTTTATTTTTTAAGGAAAACTTTGAGAGTATGTGGAGAAATTGGAAACCTTGTACATTGCTGGTGAGATGGTGAAATGGTGGCAATGGTTGCACAATTTGAGCATAGTTAAATAGTTAATGCTTCCAAATTATACACTCAAAAATATTTGAAATGGTACATTTGTTTACATATGTTTTTCCAATTATCACTAAAGCTTCCTCAGATATCATCCTAAAATAGTTGCATGTGTCATGAAAGAAGATGCTCTTCTCCTATCATGAGTAGAAGCCTATTTATTTATTCATGCTGGTATACACACTCCTGACTCTTCCACATCCCCAGCATGATCTCATCAAACAGAGTGAGTCCCTTCTCATCTGGCTCATTTGTGCTCCTTTCCATTACTACATTCTCCTTTTCAACTCACTACCTGCCCACTAAAAACAACTGTAAATTACCTTGTCTGCTTACCATCTCTGTAAACATTTCTTCTCTGTAATGTAATAGAAACAAAATCATACAATATGTCATCTCCTCAGACTGGCTTTTATCACTTAGCTTCATGTGTGCCTGATTCATCCATGGCTTTGTGTGACTTCATAAATCACTCTTTTTCTTTTGATGAATAGGATTTCATTTTATGAATTTGCCTGGCTTGGTTAATATTGAAAGGCATCCTGATTCCTTCAAGTATTTTGCCATTGTCAAGAGAGCAGTTATACATAAATGCACGTGATTTTGGGTTAGATGTGACTTTCCAAATCAGTTGTCTAAATACCTAAGTGTGCAATTGTTAGCCTATATGATGAGACCATGATTGCCTTTGGAAAAACCTGCCAAACTGTGGCAGAAGAAGACAACCATATTTTAAAGTTGCTGTACCATTATGCATTCCATCGGCAATGAATGAGATTTCCTGTTGCAGTTCTGATTACATTTAAAAAGAAATTTAGATATAGTATAGCTGTTTAGTGCTCTCACTTTTATTTTAATTTGCCTTCCCTGAATGGAAGGTGTTGTTGAGCATTGTTTTGTTATCATTTGTTCATTAATCTATGATTGCTGCCAAAAAGCATACATGCGTTGTGCCACAGAAAACCAATTTTTAAAAAAAGTACTCTATGCTTTACCTGGTAAAAACTAATAAAATTATTCTAGTCCACGTAGTCGTTTATCTTGCTATTTTTTCTTATCTTATGGTGACTACAAGAAAAGAGTGAACTGTAGCTAATAAGAGAATGTGGTGTATTGTCGTGATTTTTCATTGTGTAAAAGTCCCATTCACTCAAGTGATTTCTTTACGGATTTCAAGGGAGCAAGAGGAACGTCTAGAGTACAAACTAGTCTCTGTTGGAATTGACAAAAAGCTCTGATCTCAGTTTCACTACATATCTTGCAATGCTGAATCATTGACAAAAATAAAAAAAATTAGAACTATGAAGGTTTTGGTTCTTAAATCTGCCCCTACAAAAGTAGGTCAAAATTTGAAATCACTTGTGTTTTGTCTGTTAGTTTTTTATCTTTCACAAAACATTCCACTGCATCAGAATCAAAGTTGAAGACTGAGATTCATTTAATAGTGTTTTACTAACTGTTGTTTCTTTTTGCGTTTGGATATCACAGGTAAAACGTCTGATTACTTCAACATTACACATTTTAAATAATAAAAGCCAGAAAGAATGACAGAGGAAATTAATCCCATGAATTTTTAATGACTTGCTATTTGGTTTTTACTTACTACTGTTACTGTGTTTTCTGTCTTGAGAATACCAAAATAGTAGTGCATTGTACCAAGCATTCTAAAATAACTGCCTAAAAGGGTAATGGAATCATTTTTTTTCTTTTCCTTTTTTTTTTTTTCAAGATGGAGTCTTCCTCTGTTCCCATAGCTGGAGTGCAATGACGTGATCTCGCCTCTGGTAACCTCAGCTTCCCGGATTCATGCAATTCTCCTCTCTTAGCTTCCTGAGGATCTGGGATTACAGGACTCAGCCACCACTGCCGGCTAACTTTTGTATTTTTGGTAGAGAGCTTGTTCATCATGTTGATCAGGGTGATCTCTAACACCTGACTTAAGGACATCCACCTGGCTCTACCTCTCAAAGTGCTGGGATTACAGGTATGAACCACCATGTCTGGCCATGCCAATTCTTTTATTTCTTTATGAAGACAACCGTAGGTTGAAAGCCATCTTTCCTAATACTTGTCAGTGCCTCAAGATTGTTAGGATAAAAGTAAAATTTCCAAACAAAGGATACTTGTTGGTATCCAGAATTTTAAGAAAAGTTGAGAAATAAAATATCCAGCTTCTGGCTCTTTCCCGGTGAGCACGCTCAATGTCTGGGGAATCCTTGGAACCTGGAGGAAGGGTAGAGCTGGGGTAGGTGGGGATGATCTTTGGAGCCACTGTCACTGTGGCAGCCACTGTTGCTCCTCAGGAAATGGCTTGGAGCCTCAGCCTTCAGAAGAAATAACAGGGGCTCAGCAAGCAGTATTTTGTGTGCCAGATTTTCCATCTTCGTATCTTTTTTGGTGCAGTATCTACTGAGGTCTCTATCATTAATTTGGTCATCTTATTTCTTTGTACATTTTAACTGAAAGTCACTTCTCAGATGTGTTACCTAAATTTTTCTCAGCCTGCACCTTGTTTTTTTGATTATCTTAACCTGAACATATTTTTTTTTCTTCTTTTTGTTTTTTTGCCTTTTTTGAGATGGAGTCACACACTGTCACCCAGTCTGGGTGCAAAGCCGTGATTTCAGCCCACTGCAACCTTTGTCTACTAGGTTGAAGGGATTCTTCTGCCTCAGTTTCCTGAGTAGCTTGGATTGCATGTGCCTGCCAACAAGCATAACTTTATTTATTTATTTTTTTGTATTTTTAATAGAGAGAGTGTGGCAGTCAGTTACTATGGGATGAAACAAAGGGGGTTGAATACAGAAATGAAGACAAAGACAAAAAATATTTGTTTTAAAAGAGGGGTCAGGGGGCTCATTTCTTCTAGTCAGCAAAGGCCCTGAGCTTCTACAGGCCTTCATATTTATTAGGCAGAATCAACAGGGAGGAAAGGCAATTGTTGGTCAGCTGCTTGATTTATCACAGGCTCACATAATTGCTTTCTTTGTACTACAGACTTCAGATGTTCCTATATATAACCACAAGAAATACTGCGCTTGGGGCATGACTGCCCTCAGTATTCCTTCTGGCACCAGACGTGGTGTGTCAGGTTATCAAAATGCTGCTTTCGTGAGAACAGTTTGCTCTCTGCTCATAGACCCTCCAGTCTTTACTGAGTTGGTCACAACCTTTATTCTTTTGGCCTCCAACATCTCCATTTTGTTTCTGCATTAACTGAGTACAGGTGATTGCAGGCTGTGCAGCTCTCAATTGCTGTTTGGTGGTCCAGCTGCTTTTACTGACAATGAGCATAAAACAGAGACATAATAACATTACTCCAATAATCACAAAAAAGATATTGAGGTGATGTTTGGAGGAGGTCCAAGGGTTAAGGCTCTCTACACCTTGCTGGAATTCTGTGCAAGTTTTCAGAGATGGCTGAAATACTTGAGTATGCTTATTCAAGTTAAGAATTGCACATGTACCCTAAAACTTAATGTATAATAAAAAAAAGAAAAAAAAAGAATTTTACTTTGTTAATCATTAATATCAAAAGTAACATTGTATGTGAAAGCCCCATGTAAATGGACCTTTACAGGTTTCTATGGATATTCACTTTGGTTTTATTCCAAATTAGTTACACAAATATGAGTATGCTTAAAATGACAATGCAATTGCTGCTGCAACTACAAGTTTGTTCTTCTTTTCCTATCCTCAGAACTGTAGTCTTTAACATTGTTGCTTCTGTGTGTATCTCAGTGTTAAGTTTATTTTTAAGCATCCATGCCCGGTCGGCTGTACACATCCAATTTTCTACATATTGAGCTGTCTGAATGGAGCTCTACATTGCTACTAAGGATGCCACAACAGAAATTATTAGTGTTCCTAAGGAGACTTTCACAATTATTTTCATGCCTAAGGCTCTACAAGCACAATGAGTAAGCTGAGTAAGAAAAAGATTTACAAAATGGAAACCAGAAGTGGCCACCCAAGGCTCAGGCAGATTTACAGGAATCCATAATCTGGGATTGCAACCTAAAATTACTAGGGTGGATATGCTATATGTTTGTACTGTGCTATGGTTAAGGGAATAATACAGTTGACAAGAATCACAAGTCAATTGGGCATCGTTTAACTGGAGTTAGTCCATTTTGCTGCTAGAAAAACATAAGTTTAAAAACACAAAATGTAAATTGAGTGGTAATATTTTCTACAAAGGTAACATTGCAACTGCATTCAGCACAATTACTATAATTAGATAGTGTTCGAACACAAATGCTGCCATTCATATAGTGGAGTGCTGCCTTCCCTATCGACTCTTGAATTGTACGTTTCTTTCCTTGATAATGTCATTGAGGCAAAGTTGAGCTAAAGCCTGTTCCAGGCCAAGCGAAACTTGCTGCAGATTGGGATTGAATCCCAGTGCAATGTAGTGAAGAGATGCTAACCAGTGTCAGCGAAGTTTATGACATGAGGTCGGAGTCTCATCTCTCCCATCTAAGTGACCACAGGGACCCAGAAAATAATGTCTCCCATTAGCATGAACTGTTGTTCTCTAGCTAGGGTGCCAAGACACTGGGTCCAATGAGGGGGGTAGGAATTATCAAAGGGAGCCCATTCTGTATAATTAATAGAATTTTGGGGATGGGGCTGTGAGTGGTTATTATCTACACCAGTAATGTTAATAAAGCTAAGGCCTAATAGGTACATAATTTTTCCATGGTAACTTAACCGTACTTGGGATTAATTTGCAAGGCCACTGCAGTTGAGTGATGTACCCTGGGTGATGCATAAAGGAAGTCCCTCCAATGGCACAGCATAATTGATAATCATTGTTCTGAGAGTCTAATTACTGTTTGTCAGGGGGTGTTTGGGGTCCTGGTGCCCATCCTCCATGATCATGATAGATATCAGGGGGAGTGTCACTCCATATTACACTCCATAATACTGGGGGATTGGAAATATATGCCCAATATGTTTTTGTCTCTGCACAAGGAAAACCTACTGGCCAGGATGTTACAGGTAGCATGGCCATAAACGTGAGGTCAGGGTTGTTTGCCTGACCCTGGTGCTCCAGCAGTTTCAACTGACTCATGGCTTGTAACGGAGGAGCCGGATCCATAGTTGGGAACCATGGCTCTTTCCACTCTCCCTTTACATGGTCGCAAACACATTGAGGGCACCCACACAGTTTATCCATCTTCTGTGAAAACACAAGCATACCTTCGTCCTTACATCAGTAAATCTACTGAGCCATTCCATCGTCCTTGGGGGGATTTTCATAATATCTTTGGGTATACTTTCCTTTTTCCCTATAACATTTACCAGTGTCATTCTGCCATAGTCTTACTATCTGTACCAGGAGACAAAAAATTTAAACGAAGTGAAAAAAAAAATTAAAGTAAAAGTAAATGTATTTTGTTTGAGGTGGTAACTGGTCTCCTGTTTCCCCTTTCTGTTTTTTTCAGCACGCGTTGTACTGTTCAATTTGCCTGCTCTATAATTCCTTGCCTTGGGGATTGTAAGGAATTCCTGTTTTATGAGTGATTGAACATAGCTGTAATAAATTTTAAAAAGCATGACTAACATAAGCGTGTCCATTGTCAGTTTTTAATTGCCTAGGAACCCCCATATGAGCACATGATGACAGACAATGTCATTGTAAATAACCAGCTGTTTGACCTGGTTTACATGTAGCATGCCGCATGTGAGAATAAGTGTCTATAGTCCCATGAACAAAGGCGAGCTTGCCAATGACAGCTTTGTGAGTAACATCCATCTGTCAGATTTCATTTGAAGCTAAGTCTCATGGGTTACAGCCTTCTATGGGTGTGACTCCAGTGACATGCTGGCAAGTAGGACGGGCTTGTACAGGCTGCAGCCTGGCTGTTAGGCAAATGAAACATACGAGTAAAGACAGAGTTTTGATGCAGTAATATAGGAGAAAGTTGAGCTTGCTGAAATGCAGAACAAATCAATTTATTGGCTCTATTATTACCTAGAAATAGTGGTGTAGGGAGTTGTGTGGGAGAGCAGATATGAGAGATATAAAAAGGAGCATGAGAGCAAACAGCTTGTTAAAGCCTTAGAAACAAGTTAAACATCTCTGGTGCTAGGGTGCTTTTAATAGTGGCAGTCCCAATATGACCAGCTACATTTACAACATAGGCTGAATCATAGAGAGTGTTAATAAGAGATGAACCAGTGAGCTCTAAAACCTGATTAAGTTCCATTAGTTCTGAGCGTTGAGCTGAAACTCTGGGTTTTTTTTATTGTAGGAGCATGGTTAGTACTATAAGTAGCTTTGTGACCTTTGGAAGAGCCATCAGTAAAATAGGTCTGGCTGCCTGAAATGGGCTTGTGATGAGGAATCACAGGGAAGATGAAAGGTTGAATTTTTAAAATTTCAAAATTTTGTCTGATGGATAAAGTTTATGTATTATTCCTACATAATCTGAAAGAGCAATTTGACACACAGTCAACAATTCCCATGATGCAACTATTGTTGGGAATCCAATATTTTTCCTCATACTTTTAGACTGGCTCTAAAAGGAGAACAGTAATTTTGTCTGGATCATATCTCTTAAGCATTTTTGATCTAACCCTACCCCTTGTTATAAATTGAGTAGTTAAAGAAAGATAAACTTGCAGAGATTTTACTATCTGATTGAATTTCAAAAGAAAGCCATTCTATCACAATTGCATATTTTTCTATGATCTGTCGTAAAAGTCCTTTTGGAGAATGGGGGATAGAAAGAACAAAGAGAACCAAAGGCTTTTGTGGCTGTGGCTGGGAGGCATGTGTTTACTGAAGAATCTGCACTACAAGGTGTAACTCAACTTCAGCCTCCTTAGTAAGTTGCTGGAGCAACGCGTTTGTCTCCTAAGCCCATTACTCCTAGTGAAGAATCTCCATGGATGATCTGAGTGTTTGAATTGATGAGTAGCAATGCCTAGGATTGGGCACAGCCAATTTATGTCTCCTAATAGTTGTTGGAAATCACTGAAGGTTTGTGATCTGTCCCTACAGAGGACTACTTTCTGAGGTCTAACATTTGTTTCAGTAACAATAGTGCCTAAGTATTGGTATGGGGAGGTTGTTTCTACCATTTGTTGAACTATTTTGAGATGTCCCCCTGTTTTGCTTCTCTCAATATTTGGTGTAATCACTCTTCCATTGGAGCAGCAAAAAGGATTTCATCCATATAATGAATGATGTAGGCAGTAGGAAATATATTATGAGGCTCCTTTAAGGACTGTCCTACAAAACGCTGAAATAGCGTAGGACCGATGAGCATGCTTTGGGGCAAAACTTCGCTTATCCTTCTCATGTAAGGGTGTAGTAAGGAAATAATCTTTAGGATCTACTACTATGAGAGGTGAGTCACTTGGAATGGCTGCCAGTAATGGCAGACCTTGCTGTAATGCACCTATTGGTTTAATCTGTGCATTAATAGCTCTCAGATCACGTAGAAATTTGCAGGCAAAATGGTCTGTTTTTATATACTAAAATTTTGCTGAAACTTTACACTTGTGTTCATGCTACTTAATATTTTAAATTGTCTGTGTGTGTATGTACATACACATCTATATACACATACACATATATGATATGTGTATATATACATACATCTATATACACATAAACATATATGATATGTGTATATATACATACATCTATGTACACATACCAGCGTGTATAGGTATACATACATAAACTGGGTATTATATGTGTTTGTATTACATTCATATATATGTACACACATTCATATGTATATGTGTGTATATATATACATATAAGTTTGTGTGTATACATACACATATATGTATATGTGTGTATATATATATAGTTGTGTGTATATACACATATACACATACACACACATACGTATGTGTGTGTATATCTGTATGTAATAACATATATGTAATACCCAGACTTTATGTATGTATATCTATACACTCTGGTATGTGTATATAGATGGTACGTGTATACGCATGTATATACATATACACATACACACACATATGTATGCGTATATATTACACATGTGCATATATATACAAACATTCACACACATATATAAGTGTGTGTATATATAAGTATATATGTATGCTCTGTCTATATATGTGTGTATATATACACATACACACATATGTGTGTATATTACATACACATACATATATAGACATATATGTGTGTGTATGTATATGTGTGTATATGAGTGTATATGTGTAATTCCTAATTACATGTATGTGTGTGTATATGTATATATATATATATATATATATATGTAAAATTCCGTCTTTGTCTCCTAAGTCCATTCAACCCAAAAAGTTCCAGGTACGTGGGGGAAGCCTAAGAAAGATTATGCGGTAGTTACAGTGAAGCAACAGTCTTTAATAGAGTTTGAGTCTTTATATTATCCCTGTTTTCCCATACTATGGTCCTAGCAAAACATTGACATCCTCATAAATAAGACGGATTGACTTTGAAACTTAACATTCTCTTCTTATTTAGATATTAATGTAGCTGGATGCAGAACGGTTGCCTCAAAAAATAAAAAAAAAAAAGATTCCATTCCTTTCCTTCTTTTATAAAAACATCAGCAATGAGGTTGTAATTTGTCAAGGGCAGCTTCTTTTTGACTGTTGAAAGTGGAGATTTTCTGCTTAGAGATGGGACATAGAGTCTTATAATTGTCATTGAGACATTGCAGGGGGAGAAAGTTGGAAACCAGACATTTTAGGCAAAGGGCTGACAAGATTCTATATAGAGAAAAATCCTATCTTAACAAGTGGCAATGTAGGATCTGAAATATTAGATGAAAACTCTGATTACAAACACTTTTCTGTCAAAAGTTAGAAAAGAAGGGTTAGGGCTTGATAAACGTTCCCTACACTATGCCTCTTAGATTAATAGGACAGTGAAAAAGGAGAAGAAAAAATGCAGAAGAAAGTATTCCCTCGGGGTAAGAAAACTTCTTTTACAGTGTTCTAAATGTCTATCGCTGGTTCCCAAAAAGGTTTTTACCAAGTTAAAAGTTAGACTAAAAACTCGAATTTCGTTTGTTTCCAAGACACCACCAAAACAGCAATATTTGAATAATATTCCTGATTACTAAATCACCAACTGAATTCACCCAATAAGAATATATTTCCTGGTTGCAACATTGCATAAAAAGAAGAAAATAAGAGACATGATTGCCATAAACGGAAAGGCAAGAAAATAAAATAGAAAATTCTGGAATTCCTGGTGCCATCACCCTGATGGACTGTCATTGACTGGCCTTAGTTCAGAAGGCTTTAGATAACACTGAGCTGTAGCCTTGGCCAGAAACTTTCAATTGTCTCAAGACCGATTGTAAGTCTCTGCATGCATAAGCTGCTTTGTGAAGGAAAGTGAGTTGGAACAGAGCCAAAGTTTTCATCAACTGAGGATGTTGGGGGATTGTCAAAGTTCTCTCTATCTGGCCTGTCACCTGAGTCTTATAAGGCTGGAAGTCATCCTTTTGATTTGAACTGGCTGACACTGGCTCAGTGTTGTTTGCTCTTGAGTACAAAAAGGAAAAATAAACTTAGGACAAAATCCTCAGAAATAAAAGTAAAGCAAAGAATTTGAAGAAGTGCTCCTATACTCCTACTGAGTATTCTAATATATTGCTTTCTCAGAACATGTAGCAAATATATATAAATTGAAAATGGGGCTTTGGTTTGTCTTCCACTTTTTTTTTTGGACTGGTTTTCTTCTTTGCCTGGCTATGTTAAACCTGCTATTTGTCTCTGAATCTCTCTGTTCCCTGTGTGGCTTCCTGTTGCTCAGCAGTACTTAAGATTTGCCTTAGGAGTGACATAACATGTGAGCATGCAAAATCAAAATTCGGGAACGATTTTGGAAAGCCTCTCTCTATTCATCCGGGTATCATAATACTTTTCTAGGTCCCAATCTATCTGTTTTAAGTCTTGTAATAAAAAGAGAATCAGGAATTTAGAGGCAACATGTTTTTTGGTCATTTTCTTTAGGGTTAGTGGTTTAATGGAAGGTTGGTTGGGAGAATTGAAGAATCTGAGGATGATAAAGTGACTACAGGAGTCCCTTGTCGGGGGACACAAGAAAAGGTGGAACATCTCGAAGTTTCTTCTGAGGGTTGCCTGGGGATTTGTTTCTCTGATGTTTTAGAATTGTTCACTATAGACAAGTCTGATGTGCTAAGTAGGCATGGTCAACATTACAATGTTTACAAACATCTGGGTTGTTTGCGGGACAAAGAAATCTGACATATATGGCACCTCAGACAATTTGCCTTCTCAATTGCAGAAAATATCTAGATGTTGGATAGTATTGAGAGAAAAAAGTTAAGTAGATAGGATGGATTCTTGCTACAACTACTTTAAGCAAAGAGACAGACTGAAATACCAGGCTTCATGCAGATTAAAAAAAAAATCCTGCACAAACCTGCAGTCCACTCATATAAAGGAACATAGCCTTATAAATAAACTCTTTTGTAATTACTTTTTTTGGCCTAAAACATGCCTACAGATAATCTGATAAAAGAAGAATAGTATGCATAAAAATGCTTCTCTTCCAGAAAATAGTCTCTATTTCTTTTACCCAGTGGTTTTCAGTGTGTTCCGATGCACACTTTTGCACATGTGGGCATGCCACTATACATATCAGTCTGCTACTTTGAAGTATCATCAGGCTTTCTTTTTCCTTCACTGTAATGAAGTCAGATTGATTACTTAACAGGGAAAAAATGACTGTTCACAGCACAGATAGGAGACAGATGTGTTTCTCACTATACGGCAGGTTCTGATGTTTTTATGAATTAAGAAAAGAGTGTGCTCACTAGTCTTGAAAAAGTACTAGTTGGCTTGACTCAGAAACTTGACCCAGGACTGAAAAGTAGCTGAAGTAAAAATTTATAGTGGCTCAGCTCACAGTAGAAAGCATATCCAGAAAAAAGAAGAAGAAGAAGAAGAAGAAGAAGCAGAAGAAGAAGAAGAAGAAGAAGAAGAAGAAGAAGAAGAAGAAGAAGAAGAAGAAGAAGAAGAAGAAGAGGAAGAGGAAGAAGAAGAAGAAGAAGAAGAAGAAGAAGAAGAAGAAGAAGAAGAAGAAGAAGAAGAAGAAGAAGAAAAGTGCTCACTGAAGCACACTGAAGCTCCCTGTGTAAAAGGAATAGAAACTATTTTCTGGAAGTATGTGCATTATTTAAGAAGAAAAATATTTTTATGCAGAATATTCTTCTTTTATCAGATTATCTGTTGGCATGTTTTAGGTAACAAAAAAGTGCAAAAAATATTTGTTTGTTAGGCTTTGTTCCTTTATATGAGTGGGCTGCAGGTTTGTTCAGGTTTTTTTAAAAATCTGCCTGCAGCCTGGTATTTTAGCCTGTTTCTTTGTTCAAAGTAGTTTTAGCAAGAATCCATCCTATGTACCTAAATTTTCTCTCTCAATTCTATCCAACATCTAGATATTTTCTCTAAGTGGGAAGGTAAATTATCTGAGGTATTTTCTTTGTCCTGCAAACAACCCAGATATTTGTAAACATTGTAATGTTGACCATGCCTTCTTAGCATATCAGACTTGTCTATAGTGAACAATTCTCAAAAGTCAGAGAAACAAACCTCCAGGAAACCCTCAGAAGAAACTTCCAGATGTTCCAGCTTCTCCTGTGTCCCCCATCCACAGACTCCTCTAGTCACTTTATCATCCTTTTCTTCTTCATTTCTCCCAAGCAACCCTCCATTAAATTGTTACCCCTAAAGAAAATGCCCAATAAACACGGTGCATCTAAATTACTGGTTCTCTTTTTATTATAAGACTTCAAACAGATAGATTGGGACCTAGAAAAGTATTCTGATAACTCTGATGAATACAGACAGGCTTTCCAAAATGTTACCCAAGTGTTTGGTTTTACATGGCAACATGTTATGTCATTCCTAAGCCAAATGTTAAGTACTGCTGAGCAACAGGAAGCCGCACAGGCAACAGAGAGTTTCAGAGACAAATAGCATGTTTAATATAGCCAGGCAAAGAAGAAAACCGGACCAAAAAAAAAATGAGGGGAAAAGAGACAGAAGCCCCATTTCCAATAAGAAGGGAGACATTGCCCCTTAAAAAACATAACTAAAGGCCTACTGATTTTATGGATGAGTGGAAACAAAAAGAGTTTCTAATGTGTGTGTTAAAAAGCTTCCAAGAAACTGGAATCAAAGCTCTTAATTAATCAAAACTGGCCATATTGAAATAAAAACCAAATCAAAATATTTCAGCCTTAATGAAAGGCTGAGAGAGGATTCTGTGGATTTTTTGAAACAATCTTCTCTATCTCCTGGTTTAAATAAAATACAGGTAATCTTGTTAGGCAAGTTTATTACTCAAACTTTAAATCAGAAGATAACTACAAAAGCAGACTATGGTCCCAGATACCACAGTAGAAAAATTGTGGGTGGCATTCTTGGTCTTTTACAGCAGGGCCCACAAAGAGGCACAGGAAAGGCAGAAAAAGCAAGAGATAGACAGAGGCATTAGTGACGGAATTACAGGTCTACAAAATCCAGGAGTTTTGAGCTGGACCTTCTAACTGCTGAAAGTTTGGCAAGCTCCAGGACTCTTCAGGAAGAACAGCAGAGAAAAGAAAACAATGCCTCCTCAACTCTGTCCAGCCAGTGGTGGCGACCACTGGAAGGTGGAATGCCTGCAGAGACATAGTTTGCATTACAGGGCCCGATTTTATATAATCAAGTAAGACTTATGCATCCCAGGGCTCAATTCAGGCTTCAATTGTAGTCTCACCAATTCACCACATGTAGCAAATTCTCACTGTGTGACATCACAAAGAGTTATTTATCTGGGGTCCAAAAACTTGAGGAACGTGCACACAAAGTGAAGTTAGCACTGAAGTTTAAGAAGGAAATTAAAATGGCTCTCCACGGTGGAAACCCAATTTGGTTGTCCAGTGTCACCCTGGTGTTTGGGGTCCTCATGTACTGGGAGATGGAAGAATGTGATGATTGATCTCGGAAAAAGCATTACTCAGCTTGGCTTTGGACTTTTGCTTGGGACAAAACAAGTGCTGATGTGAAAGCTTGGCTCACGACCTCTACCCATGACTAATCAGAGGCTGATGTGATGATTCATACCACTTCAGGTTATATTCCAAAGCATGTCCAGAAAAGTGCCCACTAAAATTTATTGTCGCCCACCGTGTACTTTCCTCACCGAAAAAAAAGCCACTAATTTTGGAAGTCCATTGCTTATACAAAAGACAAGGGTGTTTTCTTGTTGTTCTTGTTTTTCAATCAGTCTCTTTGTGAGCATATATTTGTGCACAAAGAACAAAGTTCTGTCTATGTTGGACTGCGTTTCTTCATGTGAGTGGGCTGAAGGTTTGTGTGAGTTTACTAATATGTGTCTGTAGCCTATTTTTCAGTAAGCTGGATCTTTGTTCCTAGAAGTTATACCAAGGGCCCCCCCCAACTATCTAACTTTTCTCTGCTGTTAGGGAGAGACCAACCCTACTACCTAACTGCTGTTAGACAGAATTGATCTTTCTAGCTACCTCCTGCTAGGGAGAGGGGTTGTGCAATGAAACGCAACAGCTGGAGCTCTGCCTGAGGTCAGGATAAGGTTTCACAGAAACACGGTGTTTTCATAAGTGGTTTCATTTCCAGTACCATTTGGAATTTGATTTCCTCTATGTAAGAAGAAAAAAATTGGGTTATAAAAATATGTGTTTTTAAATGAGATGAGCTGAGGCAATAAACAGCTTAAAAATTCTGAGGCTGCTGACATGCCCCGAAAACTGAGGGCTATAATTATGCCAGAGAATTGTAGATGTATAGGGCTTGGCTTTGCTTAGCGTCCTTAGTCTTATCCCCACAAAGACAAACACCCCTTAACTATGAGTCCACACTATACTTTCATGACCTGGCACGATTTGTAGAATAAATTGCCCAGAAGAAAATATTGTTACATACTTTAAAATGTTAACCTTTTTTATGTTTTCTACTTAGCTGTAGCTGGAGATTTCTGACTGGCTCACAGAAATTAACAGGGCTAGTTTAAACTACAGGCAAATTCTAAAGACAACTAATGAGACTAGAAGACAATGGCCAATGTAAGATTTGAAGCAAATTTTTCTATTTTCCTTGTTCATTTCTGTAAAAAACAAATATAATAGGCCTGGGTTGACAGCAAAATGGTCTATAATTTAATAGTTAAAATAACTATTGGCATAAACTGTGGGCCAAATAATTGCTCTTAAATAGGCTTTGTACACTGGTTTTGATGAAACTTTTCTTCATGAGGAACCTCTGATAAAACCTCTTAAAACCAAGCACAACCATGGGTTTTACTTCCAAATACTGATGTGTTGCAGGAAATTAGGGACCCCAAGCAGAGGGACCTGCTGAAGCTGTGGTAGAAGAACATAAATTGTGAGGATTTCATGGACATTCACTAGTTCCCCAGATTAATACTCTCATAATTTCCTATGCCTGTCTTTACTTTGATCTCTTAATCCGATCATCTTCGTAAGCTGAGGATGTATGTCACCTCAGGACCCTGTGATGATTGTGTTAACTGCACAAATTGTTTGTAAAGCATGTATGTTTGAACAATATGAAATCTGGGCACTTTGAAAAAGGAACAGGATAACAGTGATGTTCAGGGAACATTGGAGATAACCATTAGGTCTGACTGATTGGGAGCTGGGCAGGACAGAACCATATTTGTCTTACTGCCAAAAACAGGTAAGATAAATATCACTGAATTCTTTCCCCAGTAAGGAATATTAGTAATTAACAGCCCTGGTAAAAGAATGCATTCCCAGGAGGAGGCCTCTAAAATGGCCGCTCTAGGGGTGTCTGCCTTATGCAGTTGCAGGTAAGGGATGAAACACACCCTGGCCTCCTGCAGCAACCCCAGGATTGCTAGGATTAGGAAATTCCAGCCTGGAGAATTCTAGCAAGATCAGTTCTCTGCTCTGGAACCCTGTTAAGATGTTTATCATGACAATGCATGCACAGCAGGACATGGAACTTCATTAGCAATTCTAGGTTCACCCTGATGTTGTGATTTTGCTGTGACCTTTCTGCCTTGTGATCTTTCATTGCCCTCTGAAGCATGTGCTCTCTGTCTCCCACACCCTATTTGTACACTCCCTCCCCTTTGAAAATTGCTAATAAAACTTGCTGGTTTTTGGCTTAGGGGGCATCACGGAACCTGCTGACATGTAATGTCTCTGCCAGACACACCGCTTTAAAATTTCTTTCTTTTTTTTCTAACCTATCCTTTTATTTCTCAGACTGGCTGACACTTATGGAAAATAGAAAAGAACTGAGGTTGAAATATCGGGGGTTGGTTCCCTAATACCTATGAGTTGGTTAAACTTTTTCCTTCTTCAGGTCCAAGCAAATGGGATTTCTGGGCATGTTAAAAAATGACCTTCTTTGATATTTGGGGTTTTGTAAAGACTGTTGCAGGGTCTAAAATGGCCTTTGTTTTATAGCTTATTTATAATGACTTCTAGCCCTTTTCTACCTTCTGGTTTGGGAAATAATGCCTCTGGTCAGAAAAAAAAATAGTGCAATCCTTAATGTAAATACAGATACATACAGTGGTTGTAGCCCAGCAACATTTCTCTGGACATCCCATGCTTCTTAGTTAATATTAGTTTCCACTTAGTGGAGACAAAGAGTTTATCCTGCAGCCATTCATATGGAGGCTTCTATATAGGCCAAAATATCTCTACCTAGTAATAAAGTGGGACTTTCAGGAATTATTAAATTGGTATGGCTAAATAGAAGGTCGTTTCAACTATAACTAATGGGCTGAGAAAATATTCCATAAAGGACTTTTGCTGACACATCCATCATTGTCACATTATGGGAGGAGAGAAAGCCTAGATTGAAAAGCAGAACAAAGACACCCACTCCAGTTTTGAGAAGGAAGTCTACTTTCCTCCCTTCCACCTTCAGAATCACCCAAGGATTTTGAAGAGTTTGGAACCCGAAGACTATGGCAGCTGTTAGAGCTGGGGAATTGATCTCCAGGAACTCTCAGTCTTGCTGGACCATTTGTGAGACTGGTCCTGGACTTAGTGGTGCATGCCTCATTAATCAGCACACCCTTCAGTGGTCACCACCACTGGTTGGAGAGTGTTGAGGTGGCTTTCTATTGTTTTCTCAGCATTTCTTGGGAAAGTGTCCTGTCTTGCCACACTGATAACAGTTAGCAGGTGCCACTCAGGGACTTGGATTTTTACAAAACTGTATTGCATTAGCTAGAGTCTCTGTTCTTCTTTTGTCTTTACTCTTCTTCTTTTGTGCCTCCTCATGTTTCCTATTGTAAAATCTGAAGTACCCACATTCAGGAGGCTCTTTACAGTGTTACTGAGATAAGAAAGCTAGCTTGAGTTAGGGAGGCAGCAAGGAAAGTGTCCCTGGAAAACCACTGTTCTGCAGGTTCATTTCTCATTTACACGTAACACATAAGCAGCCTTAAAAAAAATCAGTCTGCAGACACCAACAAGATAACTAACACAGAGGGTTGTATCTCAAGATCCGTATTGTCACAGACAGAAGAATCTTCAGTCCATTCAGAGAAAAGTCTTGTGCAAACTCTGGCTCATTGTGATAAGAGAACCAGCCATGGCTCAAAAATACCCTTGTATTTGTATAATCGGTTGGCTCCCAGGAAGTAGTTTCTTGTCCATTTTTTTTGGCATAAACACAGTGGGTCCTGGTGGCTTCTGGTTGGCACATTTGTTTCCTTTTGGACTGTGAGCCCAGCCTTTATAAATTACTGTTTTAGTTCCTGATTAAGCCTGGGCCAAATTTTTGAGCCAAGCTTTTACGTCAGCTCCTGATAGGTCATGGGATGAGCTGAGCAGCAGCTATAAATTATGACTACACCTCCTGGTTATTTCTAGGCAGATTTCTTGGGTTAAGCTTTTGAATTATTCTCAGGCCAAGACCCTGAGCCAAGTTAAATTGCATGGTCTTCAAAGCAGCCCATTGACTAAAAACACTTCTTTCTCTTGCTAGTTTGTAATAACCCTGAACCCCAACCTCATAGTGGGAAACACATTTGAGTCCTTCTTTTGATTGGCAGAGAGCTTTCTTCTTGTGCTTTTTTTTCTTTAATCTCAACTTTGTTTCTCAGCTTCTTTTTTTTTTATTAAAGGAAAGATCTTTGGGTATAATTACAGACAAAGGGATACTCTTACATCTTGGTGCATTGGTGAGACTGCAACATATATTGGTGCATTGGTGAGACTATACGTATGTTTCTGCATGGGCTGTGAAGGAAACAATTCATCAGAATGGTAAAAATAGACTTTAAACTTCCAAATTCATTTCAAAAATGTCTTGTTTATTTCAAGACTTTTTTCATAAAGAGCCTGGCAGTCACATGAGATCTAGAGGAGATCCCAGGGACACTAAAAGTTTCAGCTTGAGGCTACATCTCAGTGTTATCTGATTATCGTTAGACTAATTCTGGTCTGTGACAACTCATCAGGCCATTAACACAAGGACTTCGCATTTTTATCTATTGAATTTAAAATTTTTCTTTTCACAGCTATAATGTCTTTCATATTTTTTTCTATGCAGCGTTGTGGGCATTTTTACAGCCTCGGTATACTAGGTATACAGGTTTGCTTAACACAGTTACTCCTTGTCTCAGTAATTAGTAGTGTAATTTAAAAAGGTTTGTTTTTGTGATTTCTGTGAAACAAGGGGAATTCAAGATTTCACTATAAATTGTTACCTATAAAAGGGCCTTTTTGTCCCTCACTAACAGATAATCGTGGCACTGTATGGGAGGGATTTGACTGCAAGTAAATACTCTTTCCTTTATGTGGAATTTTTTACAAAGATATTATTTTCCTTCACATAAAAGTTACAAGAGACAAGTTAATTTTTGCCTGTTGGGGGGCATTTAGTGGAGACAACCTATCTAACCCAAAATCTCTCTTTCTAACTTTTGAATAAAGAGAATTTTGTGTCAGAAATTTTAACCTAGCCTTTCTAACCTTACATCACTCCCTAGTGAAATAAGATTTCTTTTCTACCTGGAGCCTTGTGAATCCATTGTCCAAAACTTACAGCTTTGAAATTCTTTCCCCATTTACATTCTGCCATCAGTGATTAGCCCACATATCCTATCTTTAAACAGGCAGCCTCCACTATTAATTATTGGGAGAAAAACAATGTTAAAGAGCAGATTTTAGCCTCTTTGCTTTCACCATCTAATGAAGGGCCATTCAGCCATTCAGTTTCTACAGTTTTAAGCCACCTGTTCTGCATTGCAATAATATTGGATTTAAAATGTTTGAAAGTCAATCTGTCTCATTCTCTGAGATTCTGATGTTTCACTGGGAACATAGTTACCAAAGCCAAAGTTAGTATGAAGACATTTCCTCTATTAAAATGTCTAGAACAAATTTTACTACTACATAACATTTGCAAGGCCTCTGGGGTAACTTTCAAGCCTTTGGGGTTCAGTGGGTCTAGGACAAAAGGAGGGCAGAAAGCTACAGCTTTGCACAGGTGAGTGTGGCTAGTGCTTCTGACTAGCTCCTCCAGATATATGTGTAAAAGCTATGCTTGCATTTCTGAGCAGCACCTATTACAGTTTTGGGGGCACAGATGAGACAAAGGAAAAAGATGAAAAAGGATACTGTAACACTTTCTATTTATCCTGGGTAACACCAAAAGGAGGAAGTCATCTGAATGACACCTTGTTTACCCTCTGTCTCTAGATGGCAACAAAACATCTGTAGACTGCACTCCCCTTGAGTGCACTTGGAAGCACTGGGACTCCATTGACCTTGAGTCTCTAAATTTATAAACAATAATAATGATATTCAACTAGCAACAAGGTGGCCATGTGGCCATGTTCCTGACAGGAGGACAGGCCTTCCCAAAGAAGCATAATTTCAATAATATCTAACAGCTAGGTCCTTTTGCTCTTCAAAAAAACCCTAGATTTTGTAAACATTGTAAAATTACCCCTGTGCCTTTGGGAACCATACAAGGTAAGTCTACAATACATAATTTTCCAAAGTCAAAGAGAGAAATCTCTAGAGAACTGTCAAATGCAATTTCTGAGTGCCCTATCTGACTCCTTTAACTGGGACTCAGAATAGTTGTATAAAAACACCTCTTGTTGTGCAAGCCCAGGAAACTTCCAACTTCACTGGTGCCCCTATAACAAATGCACAATGAATATGGTGCTACTAAGGTTTAAATTTCCTTCTCATTACAGTAAACTTATATACATAAAGCTGGACTTAAGACAGTTCCCTGATGAACCTGATAGACATGCACAGGCTTTCCAACATTTAAATCAGCTGTTTCCTCTTATGTGCAGAAATGCAGTGCAACTTTTAAGCCACATTTCAACTACTGCGGAAAAACAGGCAGCAGTACAGACAGCAAAGGAATTTGAAGATGAACAACTGACATCCTATAGTCAGTCAAAAAATAAACAGAAGCGAAAGATGAAAATGGATGAGTAAAGAAGACAGAATTACTATTTCCAATAGAAAGGAAAACAGTGCTGTTTGAAAACCCCAAATGAAGCCTTGGTAAACCTACAGATGAATAGAAATGAAAAACACTTTCTACTGTGCATATTATCAGGCTTCGAAAGAACCAGAACAAGACTTCTTAATTACTCTGAACTGTTCTTGTTGAAATCACAAACTAGAAAAAAACTCACAGATTCTTTGGAATGGCTGAGAGAAGCTTTAGCAATACATGTGTCTCCATCTCCTAATTCAATTAAGGGATACACAATTTTAAAATATTACTTTATTTCTCAGCCATCCTCTAATATCAGAACAAAACTACAGAAGCAGGCTGTGGGATCAGATAGCACTTTGAAAGACTTTCTGGGGTGGCTTTTATCTTTTAAAACAAGAACTGGGGAGAGGAGACCTAGAAAGAAGAGGGGAGTCGCAAGAGAATGAAAGAGGCATTACTGGCCTCTTCACAGGCCTACAAGAGCCGGAATCTCCAAGAGGCACCTGCTGATTTCTACTAGTGTGACAAGCTAGGACACTTTCAAATAAATTGCTCAGGCAGAAAAAGAATATATCTCAACTTTGTCCAGCCTGTGGGGGAGACCAGTGAAAGTAGAAGTGTTCCCAGAGCCATAGGTCACCAGGTCCAGTGTGTATTTCCCAGATTGTTCAGCAGGAATAATGGCTCCCCAGCTCTACAAGCCATTGTGATCTACAGGATTCAAGTAATTCTGGAGGTAAAATGGAAATTAAACAACAACAACAACAACAACAACAACAACAACAACAACATTTTTCTAAATTCTAGAGCCTGTTTCTCTCTTCTTCTCTCCAATCCAGGGTTCTCCTCCTCCAATAGTGAAGAGAGTTAGCTAGCTTGCCTTCTATAGACAGAAAGAGAAGTGTCTCCAGAAATTTCTCAGCCCACTGATCAGTGCTTCATTTCCACATAAGATACAAATCAGTCTGGAAAGAAACATTCAAGCAGCAGGCACCAATAAATGAACTAGAACAGAAAGTTGTGTCTGAAGACATGACTGCAGTTGCACAAATAAAAGAACCTCCAGCTCACTCAGAAACTTGCAGAAACTTCAAGATTACTCAAATGTGAAAACAAGGCCTGAAATAGAAATGCATTTGTCCATTTTATAATCAGTGGACATCCAGAAATATTTCTTTTCCTTTGGTGAACATAAAGAGAGTGGGAGAGTGGGAGCAAGTGCCTTCCAGGGAACAATTTTCTTTTCTTCTTGGATTGTGACCCCCACCTCTGTGAATCGTTACTTCAGCCTCAGATTAGTTCTGGATAAAATCCTAGGCCACAGGTTCACTTCAGCTTCTGAAAGGTTGTCTAAACTGAGTATCCCCTATGAATATTCACTTTAGCCACTAAGTACTGGGCCAAGGTCTCAGGCTAAGCTTTCTGATTGGGCTGGGATCTAAGGCCCCAGGTCGAACTACGTCACACATTTTTTAAGACAGCCCACAGACGAAGTGCATTTCTTACCATTCACAACACACAGAAACCCTAAATCCAAGTTTCACATTGGTTAACCCATTTTGACCACATCACTGCTGGCATCGAGCTTTTTTATTTCACTTACTAAACTTTCTCTTCAACCTTAGTGCTCTTTAGCCTTCTTAAAATGTGTCTGCTATCTTTATTCTCCTAAGACATAGAAAAGAAACCCCCAGTATTACCTTAGATAAGTAGAGACTGTTATGTGTTTGTGTACTGGTGAGATAACAATAATAGCAAGATTGTGATGGGCTTCCTGGGAATGCGCTAATGCTCTGCTAAACTATCTGACAAAAATTAAAAATAAAAAGACTATTGGGTCTCAACATCTAAAGCTCAGCTCTCTCAGACTTCAGTACAGTAGCTGGATCTGGTCTTATCAGAAGAGACCAATGTACAAGGTCATGAAACAATTCAGCCCATTTTTCTTAACAGTTAAGAATATTCTTGGGCAGTACTTGATTTTTCAGATGGCAGGTACCTCAGTACAGAGAATTAGCTCGTCTTTTATACCACCTCATAGAAGAAACTAAAGCAGATAAAACTCATGTTTAACTTAATAACCTAGTGCTCAAAAAAATTTAACCAGTTAAACAAACCTTACTTAAAGCAGAAGCCGTCAGTTTTTTCATAGTAAAGGCACTTAATCTCCATGTATCAGAAATAGAGAAAGCAGACGTTGAAATTACAGATGAGGCTCGAGGTCCAGATCAACATCCAGTGGTTTACCTAAGGAAGAAATTTAGCTTGGTTTCTAAAAAAAAAATGGGCATCTTACCACTGAGCAGCTGCATCAGTGATATTGTTGGTGCCAGAAACCATCAAGTTAACCATGAAAATGACATATCTGTTTCTACACCACATAGCATAGCAGTACTGTGTTTCCTTAAAAAAGTCTCTTGCGAACTGACAGTCACCTCCTTAAATATCAAGCTTTGCTACTGGAGGGATCTGCAGCCCATTTGAAAGCCTGTACTTGCCTGAATCCAGCAGCTTTCTATCAGGGGAAAGTTGAGCTGTTGAACCTGATTGTGAACATATAGTGGTGTAAACCGGTGAAATAAATAATAGACACTTCTCTTGATATTCTCTGTAAAGTTAAATTAATGAAAACACTCTTAGAAAGCAATTGGATTAATTAAAAATGGAGATTTATGCTATACATGTATTCAAGACGTTCATGATTTTCTCCTCATAAACCTTGTTTCCTTGAAAATGTTTTTTCTTTCAGTCGACTAAGTTACCTTTCTCCACTCTATCTTGACACTTTTGGTGAATGCATAAAAGGTTCTTGGATAAAAGCTGATGGTCAGGGACATCTTGAGGCTAACAGAAGAGACACCACCGACCGTCTTTTATGAGAAATCTGCATTTCTTATGTGGCTCTTGGAATTAGAAGTGAATAATACCTCTGAAAATGAAAGGCTGTCTCTTCCAGCTCTGCTTTTTTTTTTTTTTTTTTGAGGCGTGGTCTCACTCTGTCACCAGGCTGGAGTGCAGCAGTACACCCTTGAATCATTGCAACCTCTGCCTCCTGGGTTCAAACGGCTCTCCTTTCCTTAGCCCCCAATTAGATGAGACTAAAAGTGCACACAAACATGCCCAGCTAATTTCTGTATTTTTAGTAGAGATGGGGTTTCACCATTTTGGCCATGATCTCTTGACTTCTTGATCCCCAAACATGGGCCCCCCAAAGTGCTGGGATTACAGGTGTGAGTCACCATGCCCAGCATCAGTGAGACTTTTTTTATTAGGCCCTGGAAACTATTCATAGCCCATTTCTTAAAGGGCCACAGCAAGAGGTCAATAATCCAATTGGAAAATTAGTAAAATAAAATTTTATGACTCCTGGAGCTTCTGTTTTCTCTGTGTTTACATATGTGTTATGTATATATTTTAAAAATCTAATTAATTAACTTAGTGAAGAATAGGTAGTTGAGCTAAATATTTTGCTTCCAAAGAAATGAAGGCTGTTGTACTTCTCAGTTCATGTGACTTTAACTTATGAAAAACGAAAGCCACCAAAGGCCTGAAGATGTATAAAAATAACCACTCCTTTAACTATGCTGTAATAAATCATACTTTACCTGCACCCAGCCTGTAATTTTATAAACTCACCAGGTTTTATAGTCAAGTTATTAATTGTTAAAAGATATTACTATAATGTGTAATTGAGAATACTGTATATAAATTTAATTGCCAGGTGTGGTAGAAGAGTAAAATGTGTTTGTAGTGAGAATAAATTATAGAAAGGCATGGAAATGTACATTTTGCCTAGAGTTAAAGAATTTTCTTTAATTAACTAAAATAAAGCTGTTTACACAAATTGTGAAAAATACTGCAAAAAAATTAATCTTGCAAAAGAAAACCCTGTGAACCTACTAACTAGATTGAAAAGGGTATTATGTTTATTTCTGCCATTAAGCATTGAAGTGAAAACACAACAAAAATTTCTTGAAACATTAATCTTCTCTTTAGCAAATTTGTAAAAGTTTGTTAAAATGTTGTAATAAGTTTGTGAAAATCTCACTTCTTTGTCAAACTTTCTAAGGTTAAAATAATTTTACATAAGGTTTCATTAAGCTTAGGGTTAACATTAGGAGACAACTACAAGGGGAAAATTTGTCCTTCTGAAAGAGATTATCATGTAATATTGAAGGCTGATAAAAGTGTTTCTGCCCTTTCAAACATTTCTACCAACTGTATTTTGGCAAAACAAATGATTTATGGAAATCTGGAATTGGATTTCATAACATTAAGTGTCTTAATCCTCTAAAATATTTGGCAGGCTTCCCAGAATAAAATTTTAACTTCAAGGATGTATTTTCTGAACCCTATATTTTGGATGCCTCAGAGAGCCCCTGGGGCATAAAAGAAAAAGTTAAACAGGATTATAAAGCACATTTAAATACATGTGATTTTGATGGTAATATTTTATTTTTTTCAGAATATATTTTAGTGGGTAACATTAACACAGGGCTCAAAACCACATGAGGTTTTTAAGGTTCTTAATATCTGAATACGTGCTACAATTTTTATTTAAAGTTATTATGTTAAGCTATTGTAAACCACGGAAGTAACCAAATGTCTTTGCCTATGCTGTTTCTAACCACACTAGACATTTTGTCATTTACAGACATTTAATCTTCATCAAGAATAACGACTTATAATTAGCTGTAGAACTGTACCAGCTGTTCTCAACTGTAGGTTTTTTTATAACAGGAAAATGTACAGAACTTAGGAATAGCTAAAATGCTTATAAATGTCAAGCAGGACAAATGTTAAAATAGACTAAACTAACAGAAGAATGAAACAATCTCTTTATCTTTATTTTAGAACATTTCTAATTCTTGTTTTGTTTTTTAAAGTCAAGCGCACTTTCTTTTAAAGTAGCTACAGCTTTTAACACTGTCAATTGGTATACTCCTGTTAGCAAAACTTGAAACATGCTTTTTTCCTCTGTGCCTAGTTCCTCTAAAATTCGGAAAGTATGTGTGATTATTCTTAACTTACAACAATATAATTGTTTTACTCAGTGCAACAAAAATGTATTTTCATTTGCAACATAACCCAATAGAATAAGCTGGTTGATTTCCAAAGGCTTTGACTGGAAGAGTGTGCCTTCTTTAATGACTTACGTCTGACTTCTAGAACCAATAAAAGCCCCCTAAGAAACGCAGCCTTATACTTTGTTTACACAGTCCCAATACAGGTTTTCTAATCTGCGGTAAGAGGAAAAAAAAAAAAGCCACTTTCTATCAGGCCTAGGAACCACATGCACTTGGAATCTCAAAAAAATAGAGGAGTTTATCCAAATAACATGTATCTAAGGGTCAAACCTATAGTTGGACTCAGCTTTATAATGTCCTATTTAAGATTCCTTGTAGAATAGAGATTCATAAAAGCCCATGAGGAAAGCACATGTAAAGGTATTTCCCACAGCACTGTACAAAAATATTCTGGCTAAGTGTAGGACAAGTCTGTTTTGCCAACAACCAACTTTTGTCATAATTCGTTCTTAACAAAAATTAGGACTAAAAAAAAGATAGATGTCTCACAGCCTATCACACCTCTATCACTAACTTCTCATCTCATATGTTGTTTTTAAGATGTTTGTACAATATTAATTAACCTTTTTTTTTTTTTTTTTTTCTGTGAACCAACTGGTGAGGTCCAGCTACCGTTCTTGGAAAACAGAAAGATATGAGTAACAGATAAATCTAGAACAATATTCTAATTCTGGGAACTCATTCCACAAATATTTGCAGGTCATAAAAGAAAATAGGGTTTCTGTAACAGAATTTTTGTTTCAAAGGATCAAATCAAGAAAGCTAAATAAATCCAAGTCTCATGTAACAAAATCTTAACAGGTGTAAATGTAGCCACAGTTACACGGGCACGTCAGCAGCCTTGAAGTATTTCAGCTGTTCTTACTCTCCTTGTCTAGTTGTGATATGCTTTTTCTAATAATCCAAACTGGTTTTCTTTTTGTGCCTAAAGTCTATCACACTTTAAAATGTAATGCAAATAAAACCATGCATTAACAGGCCTTTCTTCTACAAACACTTAAACCAACCCTCAGTAGATCCTACATACTGTTTTCTACACAACACTCTTCTCCAGCAGAAAGTATCCAGAAAGACCAATGCCCAATCTCCTAAGAGAAGTTAGAGTTTTCATTTCTGAGGGAGGACAAAGACAACTTAGCCAGCTTTTCCCATGTAAACAGCAAGGAATGGGTTCCTGGAAGACCTCCAGTAAACAAGTAAGGGCCTGATTCCAACATAACATAATAACCAGACCAAAAAAAAACGTGTGTGTACCAGTAAGAGATTTAACACAGAAGGTTGTGCCTGACAGCACAGATAACAGAACCTTCAGTCCATTCAGATAAAATCTTGTACAAACCTCCCACTGATTCAGATGGGGAACCAATGCCTGGCATAGGCTTGTTGTTTTCTGTATACTCAGAGGGCTTTCAGAAAATAAAGTTGTTTTTTGTTTTGTTTTGTTTTGTTTTTTGTGGGCATAAACGCAGTGCGATCTAGCGGGTATTGGATGAAATATTTATTTTTGTATTTCACTGGTTGCTCAACCCATATGAATCATCACTTCAGTCCCTGATTGGTCCTGAGCCAGCATCCCAGAACAAGCTTTTACTTTAGGTCCTGTACCAAGCTAAGCAGTCTTTGCAAATTACCACCTCAGACTGCTCCCAGGCAAAGTGCCTGGGCTAAGCTGTCTAATAGGTCCTGGGCCAGGGCAAAGCTAAGTCACCCATTCTCCAAGACAGCTTGCAAACTAAGTATATATCTTTATTTTTTAGGCCATAAAAACCTTAAACCCCAGTGGACAACTTATTCAAGCTTCTATCTCTGCTGGCAGAGAGCTGCTTTTGCCACTTATTTAAACTTTTGCTCCAAACAGTTTCCTTTGTCTACAGTCCTTAATCTTCTTAAATGTAAAAAAAAGACTCTTAGTGTAATCTCAAATGAAAGAAAGGCTGTTATGTCTTGGTGCATTGTTAAAAGAACAATATTATCTGAACCTATGACACATTTTTGCAGTTTTCTTTTGATGTCAGGGTCTGCTTGAGTAATAAACTTTTCTCTTAAGATTAACTTTATCTTAACCCAATAGGGAGATAGGAACATGTGTTTCACTAAAGCCTCTCTCAGGATTTTAAAAAAGGCTCTATAATTTTTCTGTGATTTTAACCTATTATGAATAGTTTAGAGTAATTATGAAGTTTTGTCCTGTTCACTTATAAGCCTTCCAGTAGGCTCACTAATTTTTTTTTCACTCCTCTATAGGACCAATAAGATTCCAATCGAGTTTTCAGCACTCCGTCCTTTCCTATTACGAATAAGAATTCTGTTATCAGTTCAACTTTTTTTATTCCTTTTCACCCTCCCTTTTTCAAGATTTTATAAAAGACATGTGGTTCATCCATGGATAACTCTGCTCTCTGTAAAGCTGCCTGCTTTAGGGCAACAGTTAGGGGTTGGTTTAGCAGTAATGTATCATCTATTCAGGTATGATTGAACATTTGAGTTAGATTTTGAAATATCTCTGTATATCCACCAGGGTCATCAGAGGACATTTGCTTATCTTTTTCATTTTTTTTTGTCTAAGTCCTTGCAATGAGAAGAAAACTTCTGCTATACTAGTATCACATCTATGGAGTATTTTCTACAGGGGCAACAGTGAGTTTTGGTTTTCCTTAGTGGCACAACAAGACAAGATGATGAAATGGCTATTGGAACTTCTAAATGAGGGTGGCAGGTGTGACATTTAGAAGATAAATTTGAGTGTTCCTCAGGGGCTTGTCTCTGACTTTAATGAATTATCTCTTGAAACTTGCCTGTTATGACTGCCAAGAGGGCAGAGTCATTTTTACAATACTTAGAAAGATCTGGGTTGTCTCCCCAGTCAAAGTAAGGTTGTCCAAAAAAGAAAAAAAAAATCATACTCTTTTCTTTGCCATCTGAAGAAAAGATATACCTGTTGAATAGTACTAAAGCGAACACTTCCCTCAGAAAGCTAGGCATGTCTGTCCTGGAGCTGGTAGGGCTGTCATGCCCTTGAGCAATAAATACATAAATAAGCCACTTTCATTTTTCAGAGTCTCACAGTCAATGAAATTTCTGTGTTTCAGAATGTAATCTAGAGAGGTGCGTACTGCAGACAGTTTGTGAAGTTTCTAAAGAAATATATAAAAAAAATTCCTATTCTCTTTTTCCCCCTTTTGAAATAGCCCTGACTGAATAAAAAGATAGGATATTCCTTGTTTTTGAATTCCTCTTGTCTTTTCTGAGTCTGGTGACTGACATAGGTGTCCCCCATGGATGGAAGCTAAACCTTCACCCACAGTTCTAGAGGATCTAGACAGCAGGACAAGTAACATTTTCCTGCAGAGGCTTTAGCTCTCTACTGGTGACTCTTTGTTGATTTCTTAAGCCTACTCAACCCAGAAGATACCCAGAGTAACTTGGGAGCCTAAAAAAAAGATTATATAGTCATTGGATTCTAGCAAGACACTTGTATAGAGTAAGAATTTTAATACTATTTGTGGCTTCCCTTGCTATGGCCTAGAAAAAATACTGAAATTGCAGGAAATAAGATAGATTGAGTTGAAACATAAAATTCTCCGTTAGTTTAAATGTCAGTGCTGCTGGAGGAAGAAGGTGTGCCTCAAAGCAAGTAAAGCTTGTATGGCTGGCTTTCATAAGACAGCACTTAGCTAAAATATGTCTCTCAAAGACACCTTCTTTCTGATTATTGAAAGTGGAAATTTTCTGTTTACTGATAGGGCACAGAGTTAGAGAGATATAACAGAGAGAGGAATTAAAATCCAAGGGTTTTGTGCAAAGTACTGACAAGGCTTCCCCAAGAGAAAAACCTCATTTTACTAGGTTGCATTTTAAGATCTCAGATATTCCATGAAAATGCTGAATTCCAGGTTTATATAGTCAAAACTGAGAAAAGGAAGGTTAACGCTCCATCGCCTGTCCCCACAGTATGTGTCTCTGCAGAAAAAAGAAGATGTGTCTCACAAAGAAACTGTTTAGATATATATGGCTGTGCTGAGCTTTTTAAAGAGAAATCACCCGCCAAACAGGGAAAATTTATTTGAATGTATGCCATTCCCTACAGTGTCATGAATGTCTATCATCGGCGGACAAAAAGACCCTTATCAAATAAAAATTTTTAGACCACAATTTTGAATTCTTCCTCTTTTGAAAGAAAAAAAAACACAAAATAGCAACTCTTTGAATTATATTTCTACTGACTGACTTTTACCAGTAAGCTTGTATCTCCAGGTCTCAACATGGCATACAAAGAAGAAATAGGAGGGACATTAGCCACACAATGACAAAAAACAAATAAATAAAATGCCACAGAAAAGCCTGGAAATTTTGGTGGCAACACTCTGATGGGCTGTCAGAAACTGGAGTTAGTTTTGAGGCCTTCACGTAACACTGTGGTATAGCCTTAACCAGAAATCTTCAATTAACTTAGATATCCTTTCAGTCCTATGTGACAGCTGGATCCTCTCTGAAAGAAAACAGTTGGAACAGAGGCAACACTTTCAACAGCGGAGGGTGAAAGGAGACTGCCAATGTGTCTCCCAGAATCCCTTTCTCCTAAGCTTTGTAAGAATGGCAGGCAATCCATCGGATTTTACCTGGCACTGGTCCAGAGCTTTGTTTGCTCTTCAGACATTAAAAAAAAAGAAAAAAACAAATAACAAAAACAAACAAACAAAAACTGAGAACAAGCTGCAGATATGAAAGCAAATAGAGGACAAGCTGAAGATATGAATGTAAATAGTTTGGAATGGCACCCCTACTCACTTTTTTTTTCTAATGGATTCTCTGTCACTTAAACTGGAGTCCAGTTGCATGATCTTGGCTAACTGCAAGCTCCATTTCCCGGGTTTATGCCATTCTCCTGCCTTAGCCTACCAAGCAACTGTCACTAAAGGTGCCCACCACCACACCCTGCTAATTTTTTGTATTTTTGGTAGACTTCATGAGGGCTTCACCATGTTAGCCAGGATGATCTCCATCTTGATCTCCTCCTGATCTTCCCACATTGGCCACCCAAAGTGCTGCGATAACAGTCATGAGCCACCATGCCCAGCCCCTACTGACCTTTTTAATTAAGGCCTTTCCAAGTCCATGAACCAAAAACAAACCTTGCTGTCCCCCAGTGAACCACAATGTATCAGTCTCTCATTTTTAGGTGACACACAGATCTTTTTAATTTCAAGAAAATTAAAAATTAGGAATGCAAAAGGTGAGATGATAGTAAATGTTTAATATGTTAACTTCTGGTGGAGTAGAGTCAGTTGCCCACTTTGAGAAAGAGTCTCATATTTTTATGGACTCAGAAGGAAGAAAAGGTACTAACTAGTTTTGAAGAAAGCACTTCTCATCTTTTCTGGGTCCTTGTGCCTGGAACTATTAATGGCGGATGTAATGACTCAGCTTGGCTCAGGAACTTGGCCCTGAGCCACACAAGAGCTAAAGGGAAAGCATGGCCCAGGACCTTGGCCTGGGACCAGAGTCTTAAATGATAATTTACAGAAATTTGGCTCGGAGTCTGAAGTATGTTTAGTAATATAAGGTACCCTTTGTAACACATTGGAGTCCAATATGTACAAGTTCTAAAAAAGAGAGAGACTATTTCCTGGAAGCACTCTGGTTACACAAAAGACACAACATTTTAATGCGGGGTCTTGTTTTTTTTTTTTTTTTTTTTTATCTGAGTAGCTGTGGGCATGTCTTAAGCACACACACACAAAAAGTTGGGCTTTTTTAAAAAAATTATTTGCTTGTGCCACAGGATTGTGCAGGATTCTTAAATTTGTGTCTGCAGCCTGATATTTCAGGCTGTTTCTCTGCTTGCAGAAATTTTACCAATAATCCACCACAACTATGTAGCTTTTCTTTGTCAATACTATTGAAAACCTAGATAGTTTCTGAGAGTCAAAGGCACATTGTTTGAAGTTCCCTATGTGCAAGGCTTTTTGCCCTGTGAAACCACCCACATCTTTGTAAATACTGTAAAATTGTTCCTGCTTTCTTAGCAGTCATATCAGAAAAGCCCACAAGAAACAACTCCCAAACGTCAGAGAAACATTCTCCCTGGAAACACTCAAAACCACATTTGTTACCACAGGTTTTCTCATCTTCTTGATGCAGAGAACCTTTTAGTCACATCATCATCAGCTTTTCCAGTTTTTACATCCAACCCTCCACGTTCCTTACTACCCCTATAGGAAATGCCCAATGAATGAGGTGCCAGTAAAGTGCAAGTTTCTTTTTCATTACAGTACCTTAAACAAATAAAGTAAGACCTGGGGAAGTTTTCTGATACATCAATAAATATATAGAGCCTTTCTAATATCTAGCCCTTTTTTTGGTCTTAAATGGGAAGATGTTACCTTATTGCTGAGCCAAAATCTTACTGCTTCTGACAAATAGCCCTACAGTCAACAGAAAGATGCTGGGCCAAGACGCATTTCTTCTATAGCATGTCATAGTAAATAAAAAGCAGTCAAAGAGAGAAAGAGTGAAGAAAAGACAAGATGCTAATTTCCAGTAGAAAGAGAGACAGAGCCCTTTGAAAACCCTAATTTAAGTCATAGTGATCCCATAGATAAGAAAAAAAAAAAAAAAAAAGAAAAAAGGAAAAAGAAAGCAGGACATTGGCCCTTTAGATACCCCAGCTCTAAACCTTTCCCATGCCAGGGCTAGGATGACGTCCTTGGGCCTTTGCATTTTCTGGCATTTCTTCTTTTGTGGATGCCACTGCATTCTTCAGTGCCTGCAGAAGAGAAAGCTTGTGGTATGCCTGATTCACCTAAAGATTTGCAGGGAGCTGTCACCTGTACCAGCACCTGACCTGCTTACCTCATCACAGATAACAGGCAAAGCTGTGTGCAGTGGCTGGACTGAACCAACACTCACTCATGCATCTGCCTCCAGTCTGTGCCTGGTGCATCCATAGCAAAATGAAACCTAAGCCCATAGTTTGAGCTGAGTGCAGCCTGTAAGATGGGTTTGTAAAATTAGAAAAGCAGGCTCAAGGGAACCTTGCACAAAGGTGCCATCATCCACAGAGGTTCTTGGCTGGTGAAGTGACACCCTAGAGATCTTGTGACAAAGATGACATTCATCACCAGTGGCCAGTGGATTATTCAATTATGTCTATGTAATGGAGCCTCGATAAAAACCAACAAGACAGGATTCATAGAGCTTTTGCATAACTGAGCACATACAGTGTTCTAGAAAATTGTGTGCTCATAAAAAGAGACACTGATAATTGTAAAGGTCATACAAAGTGTAGCGGTGTTTGCTTTGAAAGAAGTTTCTGCCTTTAATAATGTGTCCAGAATTTTAACTTATTAACTAGAACATACACTAAAGTAACCTAAATCTGCACATTCCACACATTAGAACCTGGATATTTCCACCAAAATCATTCCATAATTCACTAATGTGGTGTAACAAGTTTTACTTTAGAGCGATAAAGTTTTCTTTTGTTAACTGGGTAAGAACTAGACATTTATAAAGGAAAAGAAAATCAAGCGATATCTCACCACCAATTCTAGTCATGTGTTCAGTTTAGGAGAATGATCGTCAGTGGATTTTGAGCCATAAGTATTTATGCTAAAAGATAAGTCTCTTATAATTGTGTGTCTCTGAAGCGTTTGTGCCACTATAAAGTCAAGGGCACCATCTCTGATCATTCTGTGTCTTTCTGGGAGGGAAGGCTGCTTTATATCCCAACAGAGGTATTCTAGGATATAAAAATAAGAAAAAATCAACATTATTACAGGATTCTCTGTCACAAACATCTAATAAAACACAACTCTGGTCTTATATATAGTAGTAGCCATAGATACATATTAGAGCTTGCAAGAAGAGTCTGTTTTTATATTTGGGCTTAGGTGTGCATAAAATAATCACATTTGGGCAAAGAGGCTGTTTTGTTACTCCTTGTAAAGCTACAGTGCTTAAAAATGATGTGATAATTTAAATACATAGCTTGGACATTTCCAGTTCTGTTTCCAAGCCTTAGCTATGGGTGAAATTGTTTTGGGCTATGAAGATGGATTAGGGCATCTTGCAACTCATGATGCATTTGTTGCCCCTTAGTTCTTGTGTCCTGAGCAGACAGACTGACAATTAAAACTCATCAATTTTATTTTCAACATACTTTAACATGGATTCTATCCCTTGGGCTGAGCTCCAGATCTTCCTCAGCACCTCACACTCTCTCTCATTGGCCTGTTCCAACTCCAACTTAATATTACAGCGAACGAGGGCCTTACATTCTTCCAGTACAATTGGATTGTATGAGGCAAGCTCCTTAATTTGAATCATAACCTCTTGGGTGAAAGTTCCAGTCAAAAATACCTGAGAGACCAGGCCTTTGGCGCATGCCTCCCTTGCTGTCAGCTTTCGCCCAGCAATTAACATTTCATTGGCAGATGCTTTACCCATCATTTTGGGGAATGTAATAGAAGAACAGCCATCTGGACTCTGTCCAAAGGTCGTATAAGGGGTTTGGAACCAAGCCTTTTCATTAGCCCACACGAGATCACAAAGAGGCAGGATGGATGCACCTAGTCCAATCGCAGGGCCATTGACTGATACAACAATAGGCTTTTTAAATTGAATAAAAGTATTCACAAAGTTCTTGATGGTGTCCACCATTTCAAGGCTTGCTGTGTTTCTGTTATTCCTTAAGTGCTTCACAAAGTACCCAAAATCAAGACCGCAGCAAAAGACACTTCCAGCTGCACTGAACAGCACGAGCTTGCTGTCATCTGCAGCAGCGCTATTCAGAGCATTAACTATTTCTTTAATTACTTCTGTATTCAGTGCATTTTTTTCTGTCGATCTAGTTGATAGCACTATCTGGGTGAATCCATCCTCTTTCTTCACTACAATGTCTCTGTATGTGCTGGCACTTTCTGTTAGCCTTATGGTGAAGTGCATCTTCTTGATAAAAGGCTGGTCTCTGCTGTCATCAGTAATATTTCTTTGCCCACCTTTCACTCTTGGAACTGAGGTATGCATGTCTGTTGTCCCATTGGCTGCTAATGGGTCTATTAATACCACTATACCCTTTCGGGTAGCTGAACCTGTGGCCATAGAAGCAGTAACTGAGCCAGACATCTGCGACATTAGTGGGTGTATCTGAGTCTTGTTCTGTATTCCAGTCTGTTCTGCACCAGGACGTGACAAAGGGTCCCGGAGGAGTTTCCCTTCTGTCACCTTGAAGACCACCGTGTCCTGCTGATCTGCTGCAATAGGGTCCAGTTTCTCAAGTTTCTGAAAGCCACTCACAGTTTTGTGGTCAAAGGGGCTGTCAGGTGCAAGGGTCTCAATAGTTGAATTTATTATCTCCATATTCTTTGTGTCGGAGAGAATTGAAGCTGCCTTTCTCCTAACGTTCTTGCTGGCAGCAAATAACTTGCGGTTTTTGGACCTGTGGTGTTTATCAGTCACTGGCGTTTTAGGAGAGTTCTTAGAATAGTTTGCTTTTGTAGATCTGGAAGTTCTTCTTCTGGCATTGTTTGAAAAAATTCTACTGGTTGTAGTCCATGTCAGTTTTTTCTGTTTTTCAGTCTGTCGTCTATTAAAATCATGTACACATTTTTCACAGTTCATGAGGTGCTGCTCTGGTTCCCAAGTGTCATCCTGTTTGTCATAACCTTTCCACCGAACCAAATACTGTGTATTCCCATTTTTATCCTGTCTTTTGTCAACAATAGCTTCAACCTCAAACTCCTGGGAAGCCATGAGGAAAGACACGGGATTGGAACAGTTGCTGTGCCACCTTTGTTTCAGTTGCGTCTCCACATAGACACTTCTTTCTGCCTCCAGCTCTTCACCAGGTTCTGTGTATGGATGAACCTCTTCTATTTTGTCACCACTGGTGTAGTGAAAATTGTGCGAAATAGCAGCTATGCCATGTGCCTGAACCTCTCCATACTTACTGCCTGGTGGGACAGCTTGGGCTTTGTCTCATGGTGCATGACAACTTGCTCAGTAGCCTCAGGTGAGAGTAGCTAAATCCACAGCCCCAACCCTCTGGTGTAGTACAGAAAGCTTTCTTCCTGCCTGTTACTCTTTTGTGTTTCTTTGTTTAATTGTGGTTGCTATGACGATTATATGGAACATTCTAATGTTATAACATTTTTAAAGTTACACTAGCTTACCTTCAGTAACATACAAAGCCTTTACTCCTGTATAATGTACCTCCATTATTTCACTTACTGAGTTCTCAAAATTATACCTTTATTGATTTTATGTCAAAAACACAAATTAGTGGTAGTTTTTTTATTAAATATATTTGTGTTTTAAGTTATGTGGAGAACAAATTGTGGAGGTGCACATTGTTAATTGTTCGTTTTGTTTTGTTTTGTTTTGTTTTGTTTTGAGATGGAGTCTCGCCCTGTCAATGAGGCTGGAGTGCAGTAGTGAGATCTTGGCTCACTACAAGCTCCACCTCCCGGATTCATGCCATTCTCCTGTCTCAGCCTCCCGAGTAGCTGAGACTACAGGCACCTGCCACCTGGCCCTACGAATTTGTTGTATTTTTAGTAGAGACGGGGTTTCACCATGTTAGCCAGGATTGTCTCGATCTCCTGACCTCGTGATCCAAGCACCTCAGCCTCCCAAAATGCTGGGATTACAGGTGTGAGCCACTGAGCCCAGCCAAATTTTTTATCTTACATATTTGTTCATGTATTTATCTTTACCTTAATCTTTGTTTGTTCATACTGCTTTTGAGTATCTGTCCATTCTACCCTGAAGTACTCCATAAGACATTTCTTAAAGGGTAGTCTACTTGTAAAAGGTGCCAGTTTTTATATGGGAATGTCATAATTTGTCCCTCACCTTTGATGGACAGTTTGGTGGATCATAATGTTTAGGCTTGACAGTTTTTTCTGACATCACTTGGAATATATGAGGCTACTGCTTTCTATCTCAGTTTTCAGATAAGAAATCTACTGCTTTTCGGTGGTTATTCAGATAAGTGATCCACTGGTTATTTTTAGGGTCCCTTTTACATGACTAGCTACTTCCCCTGCTTCCCTTGAAAATCCTCAAGGTTCTCTTTGTATTTATTTTAGACAGTTTAATTATCAGGTAAGTTTGAGTTTGTTTCTTTGAGTTTTTGTTACTTGGAGTCTGTTGAGCTCCTTGGGTGCTTACTTATTGTCTTAAATTGTTGCATTCTTTATGACTATGTTGTTAAATAGTATCCATGAGTTTTTGTCTCTTCCTTGGAACTTCCAAAATGCATATGTATGGCTGCTTGATGGTGTCCCTCAGGTTTCTAGGCTGTATAAATCTGCCTTGCCCCTTTTCAGACTCCATTGGTGACCACTATATGGTTGACTGACCCGAAGGGTGTGTATCACAGTGTGGGGACAGTGTGTCAGTTGGTCTCGCAAGGCTGATGCATCCCAGAGCTCAATTCCCAGACTTCAATCATTGCAGTCTCATTAGTGCACTACGACCTAGAAAACTCTAATTGTGAGATATCACACAGAGTTCTTTGTCTCATGGCCAAGAAAATTAAGGAGGATGGATGCAAAAAGGTTGAATCAAAACTTTTATAAGTGAAAGTAAAAAACTCTTCACAGTGGGGGTGGAATGTGAGTGGTTTACCTACTATGAGGCTGTGCTTTACAGTTTCTAAGGACAGAGAAGTAAAGAAATGTGGTTAGTGTTCTTGGAGTAGGTGTCATTTGGCTTGGCCCTGAAACTTGGCCTTGGATTCATCTGGAGCTGAAGTGATGATTTGTAGAAGCTACAAGGCTCAGCCTTGGAACTTGGCCCTGGACCAAGAAGGAGCTGAAGTGACAGCTTGGCCTGAGACCTTGGCCTGGGATCAATCAAGGGATGAAGTAATGTCTCATGGCCACAATAATTAAGGAGGCTGGATGATGCAAAGTTCAAGTAGGAACTAAAGTAACACAACAGCCATCTGGACTCTGTCCAGATGTCATATAAGGGGTTTGAAACCAAGGCTTTTCATTAGCTCAGAAGAAATCACAAAGAGGCAGTGTGGATGCACCTATTCCGAAGGATGGGCCACTGACTGATACAAAAACAGGCTTTTAAAATTGATTGAAAGTATTCACAAAGTTCTTGATGGTGTTCACCATCTCAAGGCTTGTTCTGTTTCTGTCCTTCCTTAAATACTTCAGAAAGTACCCCAAATCGAGACCACAGCAAAAGACACTTCCAGCTGCACTGAACAGCACAAGCTTGCTGCCACCCACAGCAGCCCTATTCAGAGCATTAACCATTGCTTTAATTACTTCTATATTCAGTACATTTTTTATGTTGATCTAGTTTATAGGCACATCTGGGTGAATCTGTCCTCTTTCTTCACTGCAATATCTCTGTATGTGCTGGCACTTTCTGCTAGGCCTATGATGAGGTACATCTTCTGGATAAAAAGCTGGTCTCTGCCACCGTCAGTAACATTTCTTTGCCCAACTTTCACTCTTGCAACTAATGTATGCACATCTGTTTTTCCATTGGCTGCCGATTGGCCCATTAATACCACTATACCTTTTTTGGTAGCTGAGTCTGCAGCCATGGAAGCCGTAACTGAGCCAGACCTCTGAGAAAATAGTGGGTGAATCTGGGTCTTGCTCTCTATTCCACAATGTCCTGCCCTGGGATCTGATAAAGCCCTGATGATCTTCCCTTCCTCCTCCTTGAAGACCACTGTATCCTGCTGATCTGCTGCAATAGGGTCCAGATTCTAGAGTTCCTGAATGCCACTCACTGTGTTCTTGTTGTTAAAAGGGTTGTAAGGGGCAAGTGTCTTTCTTGATAGTTGAACACAGTAGCTCCATATTCTTTGGGTCGGACAGAGGTGACCCTGGATTACTGCTAACATTCTGGCTGGCAGAACATAACTGGCTGCTTTTGAATTTGTGGTGTTGGCCAGACACTAGCGTTTTAGGAGTATTCTTAGAAAAGTTGGGCTTGGTAGATGTAGAAGTTCATCTTCTGGTATTGTTTGAAAAAGTTCTAGTTGTTCTGGTCCATGCCACTTTTTTACTTTTTCTGTTTTTCAGTCTGTCATCTGTTAAAGTAATATATATATTTTTGACCGGTGCTGCTCTGGTTCCCAAGTGTCATACCGTTTCTTCTTAACCTTTGCAACACCAAAAATTTTTGTTGTTGTTGTTGTTGTTTTGTTTTGTTTTTTTTTTTAGACAAAGTCTTGAGCTATCACCCAGGCAGGAGTACAGTGGCACAATTGCACAATCTCGGCTCACTGCAACCTCCACCTCCTGGGTTCATGCGATTCTCCTGCCTCAGCCTCCCGGGTAGCTGAGATTAGAGGGGCCTGCCACCACGCCTGGCTAACTTTATGATTTTTAGTAGAAAGAGGTTTTCACTGTATTAGCCAGAATGGTCTCCATCTCCTGAACTCGTAATCTGCCCGCCTCAGCCTTGCAAAGTGCTGGGATTACAGGCATGAGCCACTGTGCCTGGCCTCTGTCTTTCCATTTTTGTCTCGTCTTTTGTCAACAATAGTTTCAACCTCAAACTCCTGGAAAGCCAGGAAGAAAGACACAGGATTGAAGTAGTTGCTGTGCCAAATTTGTTTCATTTGCATCTCCACATAGCCACTTCTTTCTGCCTCCAGTTCTTTACCAGGTTCTGCGTATGGATGAGCCTATTCTATTTCATCACCACTGACGTAGTGAAAATTGTTTGAAATAGCAGCTATGCTATGGGCTTTAGGCTCTCCACAATTATGCCCTGGTGGGACAGCTTGGGCTTTGTCTCATGGTGCATGATAGCTGGCTTAGTAGCCTCAAGTGAGAGTAGCTAAATCCACATCTCTTACTCTCTGGTGTAGTACAGAAAGCTTTCTACCTGTCTGTTACTCTTTTTCTTTTTTAATTGTCATTGATACTGTGATTACATTGAATATTCTAAAGGTATTCCACTTTTAAAGTTATACTAGCTGACTTTCAATAACACACAAATCCCTTAACCCTGTATAACTGCACCCCCATGATTTCCTTATTGAGTTCTCAAAATCATACCTTTATGCACTGTATGTCAAAAACGCAACTTAGTGATAGTATTTTTATTAAATATATTTGTGTTTTAAATTGCATGGGAAACACATTGTGGAGGTGTACACTGTTATTCTTTATGTTTTATAATAGCTTATATATTTATCTTTACCTTAATATATATCCATTCATACTGCTCCTTATTATCTGTTCATTTTACCATGAAGTATCCCATAAGGCATTTTTTAAAAAGATAGTCTACTGGTAAAATGTCCCAGCTTTTATCTGGAAATGTCATAATTTCTCCCTCACTTATAAGGGACAATGTTTTGAACATAAGATTTCTGTTCAAAAGTTTTTTCTCACATCATTTGGAATATGTTAATCTATTGCTTTCTGTCCTCTGAGTTTTCAGATAAGGTATCTGCTGATTATTTTTGAGGGTTACTAGCCAGTAACATAACTAGCCACTTCTTTTGTTGCTTTCAGGATTTTCTCTGTCTTTCTTTTGATGAGTTTAATTATCATATAATTTAAGTTTGTTTATTTGAGTTTCTCTTACTTGGAGTTTGTTGCCTTTGACATTCTTTAACATTATTGTTTCTAAATAGTCTTCCTGATTCTTTTTCTCATCCTTTGAACTTCCAGTATGCGTAATATGTCTGCTTGATAGTGTTCCACGACATTTTAGGCTTTATTCCCATTGCTTTATACTTTTTCTTTCATTTCCTAACTTAATTATGTCAACACCCTTTCTTTGGTTTGCTGATAGTTTGTTCTTCCCCCAGCTCAAGTCTGCTTTTAAATATCTGTAGTGAATATTTTTTTCTTTTTATCCCTAGACTTTTTTAGGTTTCAAAATAGTTTTACTTTTTTATTAATTTTTGTTCATAATTTTTTGTGGTTCTTTTTTTTCTTCTATTAGCTTACTCTGAAACTTAATTTTAAATATTATGTTTCTGTAAGACCACCATTTGGGCTGTCTAAAAAAAGTTTCAGACCATAATTTTTTTTTACGTCTTAAAATGAGCCATACTTCTCTGTTTCACTGTGTGGTTTATCTCTAGACTTTTTTAGGTTTTAAAATAATTTTACTCTTTTGATTAATAATTTTTGTCTGTAATTGTTTGTGCTTCTTTTGTTCATTCTATTAGCTTATTATGTAGCTTAATTGTAAATATTATATTTTAGTAAGGCTGCCATTTGGGCTGTCAAAAAAAAGCTTATTTTTTCGTAATTATTTTGTAGTTGTTATTAAAATGAGCCATACTTCTCTATTTCACTCTGTAGTTTGTGATTTTGCTGGTGCTGAAAAAGAGCATTTAAATTTTAAAGTGCTGTAACTTTGAACATAAGATTTTCTACTTCTATGGTTTGGTAGAGTTTTGTTTACTCATTATATAGGCTCTTACTCTCCTGTAAATCAGCTGTATTGAGCTTTGTCTTGGGTCTCTTTTGAGGCCCATTGTTTTGGGGCACATATCGTTAAAACCACAATTCATTATATATATATATGTGTGTGTGTGTGTGTGTGTGTGTGTGTGTGTGTATATGATTAATTTTGAATGTTTTAGTCTACAAACATCTTAAGAGAAAAAGAAGAACAATCAAGAAAAAATATTTTCGCTTTTTAAATCTACTGAAAGTTGGTTGCACAGAGGGACAAAGAGCCTGCATAATATTTGGGGAATATAACAATGACGATTCACCTCTGTCGGGACCTCCATAAGCAGAAGCAGCAATCGGCAAATGAGTCCCCCTGAGATTTGGAGGACAGGGTCCTTTTTGTTTGCCATGGCTCTTGTAAGCTGCTCCAGAAATATTTGCAAAGCAGCATCCCACATTGGTGGTTATTAAGGAATAAGTAGCTGCTGTTGATCTGTGCTACAAAATTGATAAAATCTTTTTTTGGAAGCTGTAAACCTTCAGGTAGACTCGGAATTCTATAGTAATTGCATCATACTAATCCTGCCACTGCACCCATTGTATAGTTGAAGGGACGGATATACAGTGATCCCTTGTACATTGCAGAACTTTCCCAGAATCTAGTATTATTTTACTTCGACCTATTTGTCTTTGCACCTAAAGTATGCCTTGCATAGAAGTCACAAAAGTGACTCCTTCGTTTAAGGGTACACTTGCAACAATGTGTGCCTTTTTAAGCAAGAGCTCACATTTACAGTTCTTACAAGTAAAATATTACATACTCTGACATGGACTTACATGTTTTCCATATGCTCTTTCTCTTGCTTGATCCTCAATTTCTTTTTTGCTCATTTAAAAAATCTGGATAATTTTTAAAAACTGCTGTTGTATTTTTCATATTACAATTAGGTGTACTTGGGATTTCAACTATTATTGAAAACTTAAAATATCCTACTATGAAGAATACTAACTTGTATGAATAATTTAATGTTTAAGGTCAGCAGTATAAAAATATGCTGCTCTTGTAGTTTTCCATCCTTCTCAATTTATATTACTTTCTCTGATTTTATCTGTGCACACAGATTGTTCATTAGCAGTTAAGTTTGCCAGGGTTGAAAGAGCAATAGCATTTTGTTATAGAGAAGTTTAAGTCACAATTTCCTTTAGCTTTTCCTTATCTATATATGTTTTCTTAGTTTCATTTTACCAGTTATATATTTCAGGTTTGATAGCATTTTTCTTAAAACTTGGATATCCCACCACCTTCTGACTCCATGGATTCAGCTGAACAATCATGTGTTAATTTTAATCGAGACCTTCTTGTACATAGAAAGTTGCTATTCCCTTTCTGCTTTTACAATTTTCTTTGTATTGGCTCTTGATTGCCTGTAATGTTTTCTGATGTGGCTATCATTGACTATATTGTGGTTGAAGATTTTTGTCCTCTTTCATCTTTCAGATTGTGATTTTTAAGTTCAGGAAATGTTTAGTCATTTTTGCCTTAAAAATTTTTGGCCTCTGTTTTTCTTCATTTATAAGATGCTCATAATGCATGTACCAGTATAACGCATGGTGTTCTATTTACTCTTCAGTTTTTTTTTTTTTTTCACTTTCTTTAAATTGTACTTCTCAGACTGGGTTATTTCAGTTTTTATTCCTTCAGACTGACTGAATATTTACTTGCTTAAATCTACTGTTAAATCCCTTTAATATCTTCAGTAGTTTTCCCATTTTTATGGGTTCTTTTATAATTTGTCTCACTGACGCTCTCAGGTTATTCTTTCATCATTTGTCCGTCATTTCTCTTTAGCCCTACTTAAAACTGTTGTTTTAAGTTCTTTGTCTATAAAATTTGGGACACATTTAATTCCTGCATTTAGTTTACATTGTTCAAAACTTTCTGTTTGTTTTTGTGTTTTTGGTTTTCAGAAAACTATATTTGAAATGCCATAATGTGCTAACACTGAATGTTACCTCTGTATTTGAAATGTCATAACGTGCTAACTCTGAATGCTTTTTGGTATTTCTGAAATGCAACGTGTTAGTTATTAAAAGCTCAGCTTACATTCCATTAGCACTTTGAATAAGAGCAATATGAAAACTATCACCTTTAAATACAGGGTATGTATTAACACTCTCCTTTAACTCTCAGGGGGGTTGTTTCTAATTCTTTCCTAACATTCACTTTCTTCTGACTCTGAAGCTATAGATAAACTTGAGGGTTAAAGTATATTGTTTTACATGTTTTTTAGAATGTTCCTGTCATAAGCATATGCATGATTTTCTAAGTGCTTCAATGTATTAAACTGCTTTTGAATATTCAGATTTTTGCAAATACAAATCTCTCCAACTTTTGCTCCTGTTTATCCTTTGCCTAGTGTAAAAGATAACTGTATTTTTTGTATTCAGCAACTTAAATGTTTGTGACCAATTCCTGGCATTTCCAACCAAGAGTGACTTCTGAGTTAGGCAAAGGAGAAATAAATGTTTATTTTATCAAATTTTCATATGTCCTCTGGAAAGACTGGAAAAAAAAACACAGTAATTTAGCACATAAGGGTTTCTTTCCTTTTTTGAGAAGCAGGAATCAGGTCCTCATTTTGACAATGTGGATTTCAATTCTGAAGGCTTCATATGTGCCTAGGAGGTGATATGACAATCCTTAAAGAAAAAAAAAAAAAACTTTACCATTTTGTAATTGTCTTTCTGGATTAAATGTTTACTTGGTTTATATAAACTATTGATTTTCAGGGTCCAGACTGTTTTTGATGGTTTGAAACTTTTTTTTTTTTTTTTGGAATGGTTTGAAACTGCCATCCCTGCCGTTTTACTTTTATTTTTATCTATGAAGCACTGAGTGTTTTCTAATTTCAGAGTTTATTGTTATTTATGAGGTTTATGTTTTGTCTCTTGTTTAAAATACTTAAAGTGAATGTTACATTTCCAATTTGCAATCCCAGGTGTTAGGTTTTTGTTTTAGTGGTCATGTTATAAAGTTTTTGTTTTTTTATTAAGTGAAATTATCAATTTTGTATAAAATGCATGAGGTAAGATTCTCTGTTATAAAGTACATTTTGGTTTTTGTAAAACAAACATACAATAAGTGGCTTACAAAGTGACTTTCAAATAATTATCTAAAGAAAATAATAAGAAAATAATGTAAGCATGCAGCAAGTTCAATAAGTACAATGATTCCTGGTGGAAGGCTGTATAAATTGTTTTTAAAAAGCCAGCTACCTGTGGCTGCAGCAGGCTGTAGAAGGGGGAAAATTATAGAGGATGAGCTCATAGAGGTAACAGACAGTCCATGTGATTTTCTAGGGTTTTTATAGGTCTTCAGATTTTACTTTAGACTTCACCCTAACCCTGGTTTGTGACTCAAAGTAGAATTGGTAAGGTTGTTACTAGCATCTATTGCTGAGAGGTTAGAAATGCTGCTAAATGTCCTAAAATATTGAGTCTCAGGCACCTTCGAGAAGTTAACAGTGTTGAAACATCTCTCGAGAAAATTATTTTTAAAAGCTCACATTTAGAACTCTTTGATGTTATATTTTGAAGATTTCTTAACTCCAAGTTTGGTTTCCGTATAGCAGAAGGATTTGAAAAAGTGTACATAAGTTCCATTGATTCAACTTAGGGTAAACATTAGTAAAGTAAGGTCAGTTCAGTTAATCAATGATTAGAAACTAAATGATATATTTTCTATTTCTCTGCTTTTCCTTCCAATTACTTTTTGAATATTTTTGTAAAACATGAATGTGAAAAAATAAAACCCTAGTCAGCCTCTGTTTTGGAGGTACCAAGGGAGAAATCTCAATGAATGGTATTTGGGATGGAGCTAATCTTCAATACAGTTGAAAGGCATAAATAATACACATGCATACAGGTGCATTGTCACACTATATTATGGATACACATTGTGCATTCAGAAAGCACAATGTGTATCCATAATACAGTCATGAATGATCCTAGTCATAATATAGTCATGAATGATCCTGGGTTATTACAATAAGTGAATCAAATGAAAACAAAGTTTGTCAGGATTATAGCTGGGGTTATAGGATTTTCAATTTTGCTAAAGTTGTTTAGTAGAACCAATATTCAAGTATCTCCTACTTTTTAAAAAGTTATTTGATAGAAGTTTGCATAGTGGACAGCTTTGATCAGAATTATTTGTTCTCTGCCTTGTTCCAACATAATAAAAGTATGCATTCACAAAAAATGCATATTAGACAATAAGAGAAAATAAAAATCAGTGAATGAGGAAACTGATGTAATAGGAACAATTTCTGAAAAGGTTAAGATAAATCCAAAAGGAGGTGAATTTCTACAGTGGAAAATCTTTTTCATTTCAATCAAAAATTTGTTTCAGAATGTTAGCAAGTAGCAGCAACATGGTAATTATCCAAATTTACACCGTTTCCTTAGTTCCAACTTAGCGCCTGAGATGTAGGCTCTGTTGCTGATGCTAGGGCCTTCTCCATGAGGCAGAACTCCTACCCATATAGGGCTTGCTTTTTCTCCAAGGTTAATAAAATGCCATCGAACACCTAAAAGGAAACGGCAAGTTTATTTTTTTTTTGCTTAATATACTAAGGGAGAGCTCTGCTGTTTAGACACATTCTTGGAACAATGCAGAGTGTGAAACTGAGGAATTGACAGACATTAAGTTGTGTACAGAAGCTGGCATTATTTGTAGAAACAAACTTGTTGAGGTAAAATTTGTAGTGAAAGAGGAATATTTATTGAAGTCTGTGACTGACCTGATTTTTCAAAGTGCTGGCACTGTTTTATTATTATTACTGTTACTATCACTATTATTACCTGTAACAGCTTTTTCACTGAGGGAGTTAGGCTTTATAGATTAGTTAAATTTAAACCTGATTTTGATGGGTGCATTTTACAATGATTGCAGAACAACTATTTACTAAATATTTCTGAAAGTCTAAATTGTCATTTTCTAAGAAGACATAATACACCTTTGTTTTTAAAGAAATGAAGAGTATTTACTAATTAGTAACAGTTTGTTAAATAATTCCTCTGATATATGTTCTAGAGCCTTGGAAGTAAGTAAATAGGAAAATAGGTACTTTAAAGGTTTTTTTTTTTTTTTTTTTTTTTTTACATAGATGCATATGGACCACTGAAGCACATACACACATGTGTATTGTGTATATATGTCAGGAATTTTTTTTATGGAATTAGATTATGACATCACCATCAAACAAGCTGACTTATTAAAAGAAGGCTTATAGTTTTAATATTTATTCAAAGAATGTTTTTTGATTGTGTCCTAGGGATAGTGATCAGCTCAAAACCTGAAGGAAGAAGTTGGGTGACTTCTCCATTTCCAACTGAGGTACCAGGTTCATCTCACTTGGGAGTGTTGGGAAGTGGGGCAGGACAGTGGGTGCAGTGCATCAATTGTGACCTGAAGCAAGGTGAGGTATCACCTCACCCGGGAAGCAAAAGGGGTCAGGGAATTCCTTTTCCTAGTCAAAGAAAGTGGCATCTGGAAAATCAGGTCACTCTCACCCTAGTACTGTGGTTTTCCAACGGTCTTAGCAAACGGCACACCAGAAGATGATATCCCGTGCCTGCATCAGAGCGTCCTACACTGATGGAGCCTCACTCATTGCTAGCACAGTAATCTGAGATCAAACTGCAAGGTGGCAGCATGGCTGGGGGAAGGGCGTCCACCATTGCCAAGGCTTGAGTAGGTAAATGAAGCAGCTTGGAAGTTCGAACTCAGTGGAGCCCACCCCAGCTCAAGGAGGCCTGCCAGCTTCTGTAGACTCTGCCTGTGGGGGCAGGGCATAGCCAAACAAAAGGCAGCAGAAACCTCTGCAGACTTAAATGTCCCTGTCTGACAGCTTTGAAGACAGTAGTGGTTCTCCCAGCACGCAGATGGATATCTGAGAACAGACAGACTGCCTCCTCAAGTGGGTCCCTGGCCCCCAGGTAGCCTAACTGGGAGGTACCCATCAGTAGGGGCAGACTGACAACTCACATGACCAGGTACTCCCCTGAGACAAAAATTCCCGAGGAATGATCAGGCAGCACCAGTTGCTGTTCACCAATATCCGCTGTTCTGCAGCCTCCGCTGCTGACACCCATGAAAACAGGGTCTGCAGTGGACCTCAGCAAACTCAACAGACCTGCAGCTGAGGGTCTTGACTGTTAGAAGGAAAACTAAAAAACAGAAAGGACATCAACACCAAAACCCCATCTGTACGTCACCATCATCAAAGACCAAAGATAGATAAAACCAGAAAGATGGGGAAATAATAGAACAGAAAAACTGGATGCTCTAAAAATCAGAGCACCTCTCCCCCTCCAAAGGAACACAGCTCCTCACCAGCAATGGAACAAAGCTGGACAGAGAATGACTTTGACTATTTGAGAGAAAAAGGCTTCAGATGATCAAACTACTCTGAGCTAAAGGAGGAAGATTGAACCCATGGCAAAGTTGAAAACCTTGAAAAAAAAATAGATGAATGGCTAACTAGAATAACAATGCAGAGAAGTCCTTAAAGGATGTGATGGAGCTGAAAACCAAGGCACAAGAAAAACGTGATGAATGCACAAGCCTCAGTAGCTGATTTGATCAACTGGAAGAAAGGGTATCAGTGATGGAAGATCGAATGAATGAAATGAAGTGAGAAGAGAAGTTCACAGAAAAAAGAATAAAAAGAAATGAATAAAAGTTCCAAGAAATATGGGACTATGTGAAAAGACCAAATCTACGTCTGATTGGTGTACCTGAAAGTGATGGGGAGAATGGAACCAAGTTGGAAAACACTGTAGGATATTATCCATGAGAAGTTCCCCAATCTAGCAAGGCAGGCCAAAATTCAGATTCAGGAAATGCAGAGAACACCACAAAGACACTCGTCAAGAAGAGCAGCTCCAAGACACATAATTGTCAGATTCACCAAAGTTGAAATGAAGGAAAAAATGTTAAGGGCAGCCAGAGAAAAATGTCAGCTTATCCACAAAGGGAAGCCCATCAGACTAACAGCTGATCTCTTGGCAGAAAGTCTACAAGCCAGAAGAGAGTGGGGGCCAATATTCAACATTCTTATAGAAAAGAATTTTTACCCAGAATTTCATATCCAGCCAAACTAAGCTTCATAAGTGAAGGAGAAATAAAATCCTTTACAGAAAAGCAAATGCTGGGAGATTTTGTCATCACCAGGCCTGCCCTACAAGAGCTCCTGAAGGAAGCACTAAACATGGAAAGGAACAACCAGTAGCAACCACTGCAATAACATGCCAAATTGTGAAGACCATTGAGGCTAGGAAGAAACTGCATCAACTAGTGAGTAAAATAACCAGCTAACATCTTAATGACAAGACCAAATTCACACATAACAATATTAGCCTTAAATGTAAATGGGCTAAATGCTCCAATGAAAAGACACAGACTGGCAAATTGGATAAAGAGTAAAGACCCATCAGTGTGCTCTATTCAGGAAACCCATCTCACGTACGGAGACACACATAGGCTCAAAATAAAGGGATGGAGGAAGATCTACCAAGCAAATGGAAAACAAAAATAGGCACGGGTTGCAAGCCAAGACTCTGGTAAAACAGACTTTTAACCAACAAAGATCAAAAGAGACAAAGAAGGCCATTACATAATGGTAAAGTGATCAATTCAACAAGAAGAGCTAACTATCCTAAATATATATGCACCCAGTAAACGAGCACCCAGATTTATAAAGCAAGTCCTTAGAGACATACAAAGAGACTTAGACTCCCACACAATAATAATGGGATAATTTAACACCCCACCGTCAAAATTAGACAGATCAATGAGACAGAAAGTTAACAAGGATATCCAAGATTGAACTCAGCTCTGCACCAAGCCGACATAATAGACATATACAGAACTCTCCACCCCACATCAACAGAATATGCATTCTTTACAGCACCACACCACACCTATTCCAAAATTGACCACATAGTTGGAAGTAAAGGACTCCTCAGCAAATGTAAAGGAACAGAAATTATAAAAAAACTCTCTCTCAGACCACAGTCCAATCGAACTAAAACTCAGGATTAGAAAATTCACTCAAAACTGCTCAATTACATGGAAACTGAACCGTCTGTTCCTGAATGACTACTGTGTACATAACGAAGTGAAGCCAGAAATAAAGATGTTCTTTGAAACCAACAAACAGCATCTCAAGGATGTGTCTTTGAGAACAAAGACACAACATACCAGAATCTCTGGGATGCATTCAAAGCCGTGTTTAGAGGGAAATTTATAGCACTAAATGCCCATGATAGAAAGCAGGAAAGATATAAAATTGACACCCTAACATCACAATTAAAAGAACTAGAGAAGCAAGAGCAAACACATTCAAAAGCTAGCAGAAGGCAAGAAATAACTAAGATCAGAGCAGAACTGAAGGCGATAGAGACACAAAAAACCCATCTGAAAATCAATGAATCCAGGAGCTGGTTTTTTGAAAACATCACCAAAATTCATAGACCATTAGCAAGACAAATACAGAAGAAAAGAGAGCAGAATCAAATAGACACAATAAAAAATGATAAAGGGGATATCACCACAGATCCCACAGAAATACAGACTACCATCAGTGAATACCATAACCACCTCTACACAAATAAACTTGAAAATCTAGAAGAAATGGATAAATTCCTCAACACATACAACCTCCCAAGTCTAAACCAGGAAAAACTTGAATCTCTTAATAGACCAATAACAGGCTCTGAGATTGAGGAAATAATTAATAGCTTTCCAACCAAACAAAGTCCAGGACCAGAAGGATTCACAGCCGAATTCTACCAGACCTACAAGGAGGAGCTGGTACCATTCCTTCTGAAACTTTTCCAATCAAGAGAAAAAGAAGGAATCCTCCCTAACTCACTTTATGAGGCCAGCATCATCCTGATACTGAAAACTGGTAGAGACACAACAACAAAAAAAGATAATTTTAGACCAATATCTCTGATGAAGATTGATGAAAAAATCCTCACTAAAATACTGGGAAACTGAATCCAGCAGCACATCGAAAAGCTTATCCACCATGATCAAGTGGGCTTTAACCCTGGGATGCAAGGCTGGTTCAACATATGCAAATTGATAAATGTAATCCAGCATATAAACAGAAGCAATGACAAAAACCACATGATTATCTCAACAGGTGAAGAAAAGTCCTTTGACAAAATTCAACATTCTTTCATGCTAAATAGTCTCAGTAAATTAGGTCTTGATGGGACGTATCTCAAAATAATAAGAGCTATCTATGATAAACCCACAGCCACTGTTATACTGAATGAGCAGAAACTGGAAGCATTCCCTTTGAAAACTGGCACAAGACAGGGATGCCCTCTCTCACCATTCCTATTCAACATAGTGTTGGAAGTTCTGACCAGGGCAATCAAGCAGGAGAAGTAAACAAAGTGTATTCAATTAGAAAAAGAGGAAGTCCAATTGTCCCTGTTTGCAGATGGTAGGATTGTATATCTAGAAAACCCCATCATCTCAGCCTAAAATCTCTTTAAGCTGATAGGCAACTTCAGCAAAGTCTCAGGATACAAAATCAATGTGCAAAAATCACAAGCATTCTTAAACACCACCAACAGACAAACAGAGAGCAAAATCATGAGTGAACTCCCATTCACAATTGCTTCAAAGAGAATAAAATACCTAGGAATCCAACTTACAAGGGACGTGAAAGACATCTTCTAGGAGAACTGCAAACCACTTCTCAATGAATTAAAAGAGGATAGAAGCAAATGGAAGAACATTCCATGCCCATGGGTAGGAAAAATCAATATCGTGAAAATGGCCACACTGCCTAAGGTAATTTGTAGATTCAAGGCCATCCCCATCAAGCTACCAATGACTTTCTTCACAGAATTCGGAAAATCTACTTTGAAGTTCATATGGAAGCAAAAGGAGCCCACGTTGCCAAGACAATCCTAAGTCAAAAGAACAAAACTGTAGGCATTACGCTACCAGACTTCAAATTATACTACAAGGCTACAGTAAGCAAAACAGCATGGAATTGGTACCAAAACAGAGATATAGACCAATGGAACAGAACAGAGCCCTCAGAAATAATGCCGCATATCTACAACCATCTGATCTTTGATAAACCTGACAAAAACAAGAAATGGGGAAATGATTCCTTATTTAATAAATGGTGCTGGGAAAACTGGCTAGCTGTATGTAGAAAGCTGAAACTGGATCCCTTCCTTACACCTTATACAAAAATTAATTCAAGATGGATTAAAGGGTAGAGCCAAGACGGCCAAATAGGAAGAGCTCCGGCCTACAGCTCCCCGTGTGAGTGACGCAGAAGACGGGTGATTCCTGCATTTCCATCTGAGGTACTGGGTTCATCTCACTGGGGAGTGCCAGGCAGTGGGTGTAGGACAGTGGGTGCCATGCACCAGGTGTGAGCTGAAGCAGGGCGAGGCATTGCCTCACTCAGGAAGTGAAAGTGATCCGGGAGTTTCCTTTCCTAGTCAAAGAAAGGGGTGACAGATAGCACCTGGAAAATCCTGTCACTCCCACCCTAATACTGCACTTTTCCAATGGGCTTAAAAAACGGCACACCAGGAGATTATATCCCGCACATGGCTCAGAGGGTCCTACGTCCATGGAGTCTCACTGATTGCTAGCACAGCAGTCTGAGATCAAACTGCAAGGCAGCAGTGAGGCTGGGGGAGGGGTGCCTGCCATTGCCCAGGCTTGATTAAGTGAACAAAGCAGCCGGGATGCTCGAACTGGGCAGAGCCCAGCGTAGCTCAAGGAGGCCTGCCTGCCTCTGTAGGCTCCACCTCCAGGGGCAGGGCACAGACAAACAAAAAGACAGCAGTAACCTCTGCAGACTTAAATGTCCCAGTCTGACAGCTTTGAGGAGAGTAGTGGTTCTCACAGCACACAGCTGGAGATCTGAGAATGGGCAGACTGCCTCCTCAAGTAGGTCCCTGACCCCTGAGCAGCCTAAGTGGAAGGCATCCCCCAGTAGGGGCAGACCAACACGTCACAAGGCCAGGTACTCCTCTGAGACAAAACTTCCAGAGGAACGACCAGGCAGCAGCATTTGTGGATCACCAATATCTGCTGTTCTACAGACACCAATATCTGTTGTTCTATAGCCACCACTGTTCTGCAGCCACCACTGCTGATACCCAGGAAAACAGCGTCTGGAGTGGGCCTCTAGCAAATTCCAACAGAGCAGCAGCTGCGGGTCCTGTCTGTTAGAAGGAAAACTAACAAACAGAAAGGACATCCACACCAAAACCCCTTCTGTACGTCACCATTATCAAAGACCAAAGGTAGACAAAACCACAAAGATGGGAAAAAAACAGAGCAGAAAAACTGGAAACTCTAAAAAGCAGAGTGCCTCTCCTCCTCCAAGGGAACACAGCTTCTCACCAGCAATGCAACAAAGCTGGATGGAGAATGACTTTGACCAGTTGAGAGAAGAAGGCTTCAGATGATCAAACTACTCTGAGCTACAGGAGGAAATTCAAACCAATGGCAAAGAAGTTAAAAACTTTGAAAAAAATTTAGAAGAATGGATATCTAGAATAACCAATGCAGAGAAGTCCTTAAAGGAGCTGATGGAGCTGAAAGCCAAGGCACAAGGACTACGTGATGAATGCACAAGCCTCAGGAGCCAATGCAATCAACTGGAAGAAAGAGTATCAGTGATGGAAGATGAAATGAATGAAATGAAGAAAGAAGGGAAGTTTAGAGAAAAAAGAATAACAAGAAATGAAGAAAACCTCCAAGAAATATGGGAGTATGTGAAAAGACCAAATCTACTTCTGATTGGTGTACCTGAAAGTGACGGGGAGAATGGAACCAAGTTGGAAACTTGGTTTCCAACCAAGTGTTGGAATACTCTGCAGGATATCATCCAGGAGAACTTCCCCAATCTAGCAAGGCAGGCCAACATTCAGATTCAGGAAATACACAGAATGCCACAAAGATAGCCCTCGTGAAGAGCAACTCCAAGACACATAATTGTCAGATTCACCAAAGTTGAAATGAAGGAAAAAATGTTAAGAGCAGCCAGAGAGAAAGGTCGGGTTACCCACAAAGGGAAGCCCATCAGACTAAGAGCTGATCAGTTGGCAGAAAGCCTACAAGCCAGAAGAAAGTGGGGGCCAGTATTCAACATCCTTAAAAAAAGGAATTTTCTACCCAGAATTTCATATCCAGCCAAATTAAGCTTCATAAGTGAAGGAGAAATAAAATCCTTTACAGAAAAGCAAATGCTAGGAGATTTTGTCACCACAGGGCCTGCCCTACAAGAGCTCCTGAAGGAAGCATTAAACATGGAAAGGAACAACCGGTACCAGGCTCTGCAAAAACGTGCCAAAATGTAAAGACCTTCAAGGCTAGGAAGAAACTGCATCGACTAATGAGCAAAATAACCAGCTAACATCATAATGACAGGACCGAATTCACACATAACAGTATTAATTTTAAATGTAAATTGGCTAAATGCTCCAATTAAAAGATACAGACTGGCAAATTGGAAAAAGAGTCAAGACCCATCAGTGCACTGTATTCTGGAAACCCGTCTCACATACAGAGACACACATAGGCTCAAAATAAAGGAATGGAGGAAGATCTACCAAGCACATGGAAAACAAAAAAAGGCAGGGGTTGCAATCCTAGTCTCTGCTAAAACAGACTTTCAACCAACAAAGATCAAAAGAGACAAAGAAGGCCATCACATAACGGTAAAGGGATCAATTCAAAAAGATGAGCTAACTATCCTAAATATATATGCACCCAATACAGGAGCACCCAGATTCATAAAGCAAGTCCTTAGTGACCTACAAAGAGACATAGACTCCCACACAATGATAATGGGAGATTTTAACACCCCACTGTCAACATTAGACAGATCAATGAGACAGAAATTTAACAAGGATACGCAGGAATTGCACTCAGCTCTGCACCAAGCGGACCTAGTAGACATCTACAAAACTCTCCACCCCAAATCAACAGAATATACATTTTTTTTCAACACCACAGCACACCTATTCCAAAACTGACCACATAGTTGGAAGTAAAGCACTCCTCAGCAAATGTAAAAGAACAGAAATCACAACAAACTGTCTCTCAGACCACAGTGCAGTCAAACTAGAACTAAGGATTAGAAAATTCACCCAAAACCGCTCGACTACATGGAAACTGAACAACCTGCTCCTGAATGACTACTGTGTACATAACGAAATGAAGGCAGAAATAAAGATGTTCTTTGAAACCAATGAGAACAAAGACACAACATACCAGAATCTCAGGGACACATTCAAAGCAGTGGGTACAGGGAAACTTATAGCACTAAATGCCCACAAGAGAAAGAAGGAAAGATCCAAAATTGACACCCTAACATCACAATTAAAAGAACTAGAGAAGCAAGAGCAAACAAACTCAGAAGCTAGCAGAAGGCAAGAAATAACTAAGATCAGAGCAGAACTGAAGGAAATAGAGACAGAAAAACGCTTCAAAAAATTAACGAATCCAGGAGCTGGTTTTTTGAAAAGATCACCAAAATTGGTAGACTGCTAGGAAGATTAATAAAGAAGAAAGGAGAGAAGAACAAAACAGATGCAATAAAAAATGATAAAGGGGATATCACCACTGATCCCACAGAAATACAAACTCCCATCAGAGAGTACTACAAACACCTCTATGCAAATGAACTAGAAAATCTAGAAGAAATAGATAAATTCCTCAACACATACATCTTCCCAAGACTAAACAAGGAAGAAGTTGAATCTCTGAATAGACCAATAACAGGCTCTGATATTGTGGCAATAATCAAGAGCTTACCAACCAAAAAAAGTCCAGGACCATATGGATTCACAGCCGAATTCTACCAGACCTACAAGGAGGAGCTGGTACCATTCCTTCTGAAACCATTCCAATCAATAGAAAAAGAGGGAATCCTCCCTAACTCATTTTATGAGGCCAGCATCATCCTGATACCAAAGCCTGGAAGAGACACAACCAAAAAAGAGAAGTTTAGACCAATATCCTTGATGAACATTGTTGCAAAAATCCTCAATAAAATACTGCAAAGCGAATCTAGCAGCACATCAAAAAGCATACCTGCCATCATCAAGTGGGCTTCATCCCTGGGATGCAAGGCTGGTTTAATATACGCAAATTGATAAATGTAATCCAGCATATAAACAGAACCAAAGACAAAAACCACATGATTATCTCAATAGATGCAGAAAAGGCCTTTGACAAAATTCAACAATCCTTCATACAAAAAACTCTCAATAAATTAGGTATTGATGAGACGTATCTCAAATTAATAAGAGATATCTATGACAAACCCACAGCCAATATCATACTGAATGGACAAAAACTGGAAACATTCCCTTTGAAAAGTGGCACAAGACAGGGATGCCCTCTCTCACCACTCCTATTCAACATAGTATTGGAAGTTCTGGCCAGGGCAATTAGGCAGGAGAAGGAAATAAAGGGTATTCAATTAGGAAAAGAGGAAGTCATATTGTCCCTGTTTGTAGATGACATGATTGTATATCTAGAACACCCCATTGTCTCAGCCCAAAGCCTCCTTAAGCTGATAAGCAACATCAGCAAAGTCTCAGGATACAAAATCAATGCACAAAAATCACTAGCATTCTTATACATCAATAACAGACAAACACAGAGCCAAATCATGAGTGAACTCCCATTTACAATTGCTTCAAAGAGAATAAAATACCTAGGAATCTGACTTACAAGGGATGTGAAGGACCTTTTCAAGGAGAACTGCAAACCACTGCTCAATGAAATAAAAGAGGATACAAAGAAATGGAAGAACATTCCATGCTCATGGGTAGGAAGAATCAATATCATGAAAAAGGCCATAATGCCTGAGGTAATTTATAGATTCAATGTCATCCCCATCAAGCTACCAATGACTTTCTTCACAGAACTGGAAAAAACTTTAAAGTTCATATGGAACCAAAAAGGAGCCTGCATCGCCAAGTCAATCCTAAGCCAAAAGAACAAAGCCAGAGGCATCACGCTACCTGACTTCAAACTCTATTACAGGGCTACAGCAACCAAAACAGCATGTTACTGGTATCAAAACAGAGATATAGATCAATGGAACAGAACCAAGCCCTCAGAAATAATCTTACATATCTACAACTATCTGACAAACCTGAGAAAAACAAGCAATGGGGAAAGGATTCCCTATTTAATAAATGGTGCTGGGAAAACAGGCTAGCCATATGTAGAAAGCTGAAACTGGATCCCTTCCTTACACCTTATACAAAAATTAATTCAAGATGGATTAAAGACTTAAATGTTAGACTTAAAACCATAAAAACCCTAGAAGAAAACCTAGGCAATACCATTCAGGACATAGGCATGGGCAAGGACTTCATGTCTAAAACACCAAAAGCATGCCAACAAAAGCCAAAATTGACAAATGGGATCTGTTTAAACTAAAGAGCTTCTGCACAGCAAAAGAAACTACTATCAGAGTGAAGAGGCAACCTACAGAATGGGAGAACATTTTCACAACCTACTCATCTGACAAAGGGCTAATATCCAGAATCTACAATGAACACCAACAAATTTACAAGAAAAAAAAAATAAACAACCCCATCAAAAAGTGGGCGAAGGACATGAACAGACACTTCTCAAAAGAAGACATTTATGCAGTCAAAAAACACATGAAAAAATGCTCATCATCACTGGCCATCAGACAAATGCAAATCAAAACCACAATGAGATACCATCTCACACCATTTAGAATGGCGATCATGAAAAAGTCAGGAAACAGCAGGTGCTGGAGAGGATGTGGAGAAATAGGAACAATTTTACACTGTTGGTGGGACTGTAAACTAGTTCAGCCATTGTGGAAGTCAGTGTGGTGATTCCTCCAGGATCTAGAACTAGAAATACCATTTGACCCAGCCATCCCATTGCTGGGCATATTCCCAAAGGATTATAAATCATGCTGCTATGAAGACACATGCACACGTATGTTTATTGTGGCACTATTCACAATAACAAAGACTTGGAACCAAGCCAAATGCCCAACAATGATAGACTTGATTAAGAAAATGTGGCACATATGTGCCATGGAATACTATGGAGCTATAAAAAATTATGAGTTCATATCCTTTGTAGGGACATGGATGAAGCTGTAAACCATCATTCTCAGCAAACTATCTCAAGGACAAAAAACCAAACACCGCATGTTCTCACTCATAGCTGGGAGTTGAACAATGAGAACACATGGACACAGGATGGGGAACATCGCACACCAGAGCCTGTTTTGGGGTGGGGGGCGTGGGGAGGGATAGCATTTGGAGATATACCTAATGTTAAATGATGAGTTAATGGGTGCAACACACCAACATGGCCCATGTATACATATATAACTAGCCTGCACGTTGTGCACATGTACCCTAAAACTGAAAGTATAATAAAAAAAGAATACTTTTTGAAAATACTTACAGACTGTTTAGTTTTCCATCCCTTTATATATTTTTATATATGCATGTATATGTGTGAGTGTGTGTGTGTGCCTGTGTATATGTATATATAAATATTTATGGGAGGTTATAAGTACTTACGTACATGATCACAATAGGCTGCCTGCAAGCTGAGGAACAAGGAGAGCAAGTCTGAGTCCCAAACCTAGAAGAACTTGGAGCCCACTGTCTGAGAGAAAAAGTATCCAGTATAGAAGAAAGATGTATGCTTTCGAAGCTAGTCCCATCTCGCTTTTTGACATGTTTCTGTCTGCTTGATATTCGCTAGAAGCTCATGAGATTGTGCCCATCAGATTAATGTAGATCTTCCCATTGACTCAAATGTTAATTTTTGGGGGTGAACCACCCAAGAAACTCATCCACGATTAATACTCTCTATCCTTCGATCCAATGAATGAGACACTCAGTATTAAGCATCACAAGTCCACCCCTTGTTAACTCGAATCAAATCACATCTCCTGCTATAATACATAATCTTCAAATGCAGACAGAAATGAGGTAATAATTACACCTAACATAATACAATTATCCTCTTACAACCAGGAATGCAGCAATCTCCAATCCAAACACTATTTCATAAAGTTTACAATACACAAATGTTGATAAGAACTCAATAAATCTTATGTAGCATGATAAAGGAAAATAAAAAAAATTTTCTTAGTACATGTGTATACATGCACAAACTTTTTTTTTTTTAACAAAAGAAGGACGAAATACTTAAAACAATTAACGTCCTCATTTCTGCAGCTGGTCACTTGTTTATAGCGGATATGGATGACTAACTTCTTCTAACACCCATTCTGCCTTCCTTTTATCTTCCTCAAGCACCTCAGCAGGTTGCGGTTTTTATTGTTTTGTTGTTGTTGTTCCTTTTGTTGTTGTTACCCTGGTGAGTGACCCAAACCTTAATACCTGAAGGGTCTGATCCAACTGTAGCCCTGTCAGAATTGGGCTGTTGTAGTTTTCCACTGACCTTGGTTGCACGTCATGGTAATTCTGGAACACATCTTAATGCATCTTCTGTATTTTATGCCACACTCTTTCTTCCCTCCATTGTGGAGGAGTAGGCTGATTTCATCTTGATAGTTCAGGTCAATCACCTCAGTCAACACTGTAACTGCCTTTTTACAATGCTGACGTAAAGGTAGGAGGAGGCCCAAGTGTCCAGGTGGCAATCTTGACTTCCAGTTTAATGGAATCAGTTTTGTTTCATCTGGTGGCAGCGCTTTTCCTTGGGGAGCTAAGACCTCTAGGCCAGCAGAACATAATATCATAAGAAACAGGAAACAAAAATGTTGCTAGTGAAGCACAGGAGTGATAGTGAGTGGTGAAATTTCTACTTCCATCGCTTGATTCCTGGACCAGCGAATTTTGGCTACAGAAGTAACAATACCATATATTGGATGCTGATTCAGAGAACATATGGTCTTCTGGAGAACTTTGCCACAGCCCTACAAAGTATTGTCACATAGTTGGCATTGCAATTGTAACTTCAAAAGGCCACTTCACAATCCTATTAATTTAGTTGCTTCAAGATAATGAGAAACATGGTAAGACCAGCGTTTTAATGAGCAGGAGCCCACTGCCACATTTCTTTAGCTGTAAAGTTAGTGCACTGGTCAGAGGAAATGTTGTGTGGAACACCATAATGGTGAATATGGCATTTTGTGAGTTCATGAATGGTAGTCTTATCAGAAGCATTGCATGAAGAATGGGGAAACCCATATCCACAGTAAGTGGCTATTCCAGTGAGGACAAACCTCTGCCATTTCCTTGATGAAAGAGTTCCAGTATAATTAATCTGTCACCAGGTAGCTGGCTGATCACCCCAAGAAACTGGGCCATACTGAGGGCTCAGTTTTGGCCTCTGGTACTGGCAAATTGGGCACTCAGCAGTGGCCATAGCCAGGTCAGGCTTTGTGAGTGGAAGTCCATGTTGCTGAGCACATGTGTAACCTCAATTTCTGCCACCATGGCCGCTTTGTTCATGGACTCATCGGGCAATGACAGGGGTGGCTGGGGAAAGAGGCAGAGTGGTGTCCCTGGAACCAGTGTTTTTATCCACTTGATTATTAAACTCTTTATCTACTAAGGCTGCTCGTTGGTTAGAACTCACATGGAATACAAATATTTTGACAGCTTTTGACCACTCACAAAGGTCCGTCCACATACGTCTTCCTCAAATATCTTTCTCACCAATATTCTAATCATGCATCTACCAAGTGCCTGACACCCAGACAAACCATTAGCTATGGACCATGAATCAGTATATAGTCAGAAATCTGGCCATTTGGGTATCGACATAGGCTGAAGGAGTGAAGATGGGGTGGCTGCAGTGGAGATCGTGAGCATTTGAACCACTTTCTCAGGTAACTTAGTTGTGCCTTAGGACCTGCTTAAGCCTGGCCACATGTATACCACATCCATTTCATGATGAAATCCTGCTGTGCACAACCCACTTTAAGACTCGATGGGTCAGAAAGCACCAAGTTCATGATAGGCAGTGTAGTTCACATGGTGACTTGATGACCAACATTGAAATGTTTCACCAAAGCCCAGCAATGGGCCAAGAGCTGTCTCTCCAAAGAATACTAGTTATCTGCAGAAAATGGCAGGGCCTTGCTTCAAAATCCTAGAGATGTATGGTCTGATTCACCTGTGGGAGCACTGCAAAGTATTGTCACATCGTTGGCATTGTAATTGTAACTTCAAAAAGCCACTTAACCATTCTATTTATCCAGCTCCTTCAGGATAATGGGAAACATGGTAAGACAAGTAGATTTAATGAGCAGGACACTGCTGCCACAGTTATTTAGCTCCAAACAACATTCCTATCTGCCACTGAAACTTCAAGCATCATTGAATCTCCTGGTTCATATGGCCCAAAGAGTAGAGGGGTTTGCAACACAGCCTGAAGTAGTTGCAGAGTCTTTTCCTGTTTTGGATGCCCCTGAAAGCTGGCAGCCCTTTGGGTCACTAATAAGTGGGCCAGTGGGACATATTCAAATAAAAAAGGTACTGCTTCAAAAATCCAACTAGGCCTAGTAAGTATTGTGCCTCTTTCTTGGTTATAAGAGGGGCCTCACACAACAACTTGTTCTTCTCCCTGGAAAGGATATTTTGACAGGCTTCCCAAGACTGGACCTCTAGGAACATTACGGAGGTAGAAGGTCTCTGAATTTTAGTCACATTTATTTCACATCTTCTGGTACATAAATGTCTCACCAATAATTCAAATGTGCTTGCTACTTCTTGCTCACTCATCAAATCAGCCTAATTTCATCAATGAGATGGATGAAATCATTGTGATACTTTACAGAAGTGAAGAGCAATCAAGGTCTCTCTGAGTAAGATTATGACAGGAAGCCAGAAAGTTAATATACACCTGAACAAGGTTAATAAATGTGTATTGCTGGCCTTGCCAGCTGAGGGCAAATTGCCTCTGGTGGTCCTTATGGAAAGGAATAAAGAAAAGGGCACTGGCCAAGTGAATGGCTGTATACCATGTGACAGGAGATGTATTAATTTGCTCAAAAAATAAACCATATCTAGAATATCAGCTGCATGTTGATTCACAACTGTATTAAGTTGCAATACTCCAATGTGATTATCCAAGGTCCACCTGTCTTTTGCACAGGCCAAATGGGAGAGTTGAATTAGAATGTGCTGGTAATTACCAATCCAGCATCTTTGAAATTTTTGATGGTGGCACCCATCTTCACAATCTTCTCAGGGTTTTGATATCATTTCTTATTTACTATTTTTCTAGGTAGGGGCAGCTCTTGTGGCTTCCATTTAACCTTTTCTATTGTTGTAGCCCTCACCTTGGAGGTCATGGAAATGTGGGATTCTGCCAGCTGCTAAGTATATCTATGCCAGTTATGCAATTTAGCACTGGGAAAATGACCACAGGATGACTCCAGGGACTCACTGGGCACTCTGTAAATCTGACCTAATAAGCTAAAGCACTATTAATTACCTGACCTCCCTGAGCTCCTACTTTAACTGCAGGACCACAGTAACATTTTGGGTCCCCTGGAACCCACATCAGCACAGAGCTAGTGGCCAGTAGTTTCTCCAAAGTCTGACTATTTCCCTTTCCCTAGTACACAATTACTTTGGTAAAGCCTGGAGGTCTTCTTGGGGAAAGATTGTGTAAAGATTCACTGCATAAATAGTCAGTTGTGTTGTGGGTTTCTTGGTCAAGGGAACCCAGCCTCCTCTTCATTCGATGGATTCTCGGTCTTTAAACTGTCTCTAGCCTGGTAATTGATGGAGGGGCCGTACTTCTCTGTTTTCATCATTCCGAATAGTGATTTGTCCTTTTGACGCAACGATTTCTGTATGTATAACATAAGTATGAATGCAGTAAGCTTTCCATCAATTTCACTTGCACGAACACCGTGACTAATTAACCAATGGCAAGGCTCTACAGGAGTCATAATATTTGACTGCCACTATCCCTTCGCTGTACCCACACCTTTGATGTTTGAGTGGTGCCACTTGACCCCTGTCACATCGGGATCCAACTATTCTCAACATATTTAAATTTTGTCGTTGCATGACTGTGGTTTCCAGAGAAGAGCAATTACAGGGCAATTGTGCCCACCAGATTAAGGGTGGAACTACCTTCTCCAGCCCACTGCCCCTAGTGTTAATCTCTTTTAGGCAACACTTACACAGACACATGCCAAACTAATACTCTGTATCTCTCAATCCAGTTAAATTGATACTCAGTGTTAGCCATCACAGGCTCTTGGCGATAAATTTGCTGGTCCCCACTGAGGCTCCACCTTCAAGCCAGTTACAGCCTGAAGTCTAGGTTCTAGGCTGATGGACAAGAATGGGAACCACTTTTGCTTTTTTCTAAAACGCACGCATGGTTGCCAAATAATCCAATCAGCAAGCACTTTCTTTCCTTTGAAGCAAATAATATTCCTGGACTCAGCCACATTTGAGGACTATTCAAACTACCAGCTGTGGAGAGGAGCTACCTACCCAAGGGCCATCTCTCTCCTGCAAGCTTAGGAGATGTCAGGACTATCAGCAGTGGGCTGGAGCTACCCACCACAGTATCTGCTGAAAGCTGGGGAGATAATGGGATGACCAGCTAGAGTGAGGAGCTACCCAGTCGAGGGTCTTCTTTTTGCTGAAGGCTTAGCCAATCTTGGAACCACCAGGTGTGAAGTAGACCTACCCACTCCAGGGTCTTCACTCTGTGGAGAGCTTAACATCTCACAATATGACCAGCTGGATGGAGAAGCTACCAAGTCCAGGGTTTCTTTCCTGCTGAGAGCTGGACACTAAGCCTTGACAACTTGCCTGTAAAGATAAGCTGCCCACTCTAAAGCCGTCTCTCCACTGAGAGCTGGACACTCATCAGAACATCCAGCCTGTGGAGAAGACCTACCCAATCAGGATCTCTTTTGAGTTCTGTCCCTCAGTAAATCTTGTCTATAAATGTCTCACTCTCCACGTGTCCATCTACCTCATTCTTCCTGGATAAAGAACTATTATTTGAGAATCACTGAATGGTGGTGCTGAAAGAACTGTAACACAAACAGGGAAAAAAATGTCTCTTGCTCATCACGTTGTGAAAGACAAAAGTAAGAGGACAGCTAGGCTATCTCAAAACCAGGGCTGTGACACCCTCTTTAGGGCTTTGCTGTTTCTGGCATCCTGAAACTTCTGGGCACCACTACATTCCCCAGTATCAGCTGTGGAAGCTGCTTGCAGTATGCCTGGTCCAGCTGCTGCATCTCAGTGAGATGGTACTTCTGTTGGTACCTAAAATTTCTTGCTTTGCAACAGCTGGTAGGCCTGGCTGTCTATAGCGGCTGGACCCCACACTTGCTCAAACACCATTGCCACTCTACCTCACGTTTGCCCTTGGCAGGTGTTAAATCCTGGCCCATAATGCAAGCTGAGTGCAGCCTGTCAGGCAGAGTGGGTAAAGCTAGCTTAGCAGGCCTGAGAAAACGCAGGCAAAGGCACCACTGGCCGCAGAGGTTTTCAACTGGCAAGGTGACTCTCCCAAAATCTCATGACAAAAGGAGCATAGCTAGTTGCGTTTAAATGCCTTTCTTCTGTTGGATCTTGAACTACTTAAAATTCAGTCTCCTACAATTTGGAATGTTTAAACCTTATTTGAAAATCATTATATTTCAAAATCTTTTGGAAATTAAAGTTGAAAGACTGGTATTTCCACTGAAACATCCTATCCCTCTTACTTGCACAGACATCTAGTCTCTGAGAATATACTTCTGTAACCCATGGCATTGGGCTTCAGGTTAGCACTCTTCCACTGTGTTATAAAGCTTTCTGATGAAACAGAATTTCTGATTTTGACATTTTGTACTCATAAAATTTCTTTATGTGAGGAGCTTTTGCTGTGCATTGCAGGATGATGAGCAGCATTTTGGGCCTCTTCCATTAAGTGCAATTGTAAATGCCTTTTTTTTTTCCCCATGGAAGAAATGCCCAAATATGTTTGTGTCTTGTGGAAACAAAATTGATGGCTATCTTTATCGTATAAGTTAATACCCATGAAAAAACTGATGGTAGTGAGCTAGTGCAGTCATAGGAATGTTTTTACATTGTTCTTTGGAATGTAAATCAGTACAGACAATGTGGAAAAGTGTGTGGTGATTCACACTTTTAGTCTTTCAGAATCCCAATCCCACTGGATTCAGCAATTTCATTACTGGGTGTATAGCACCTGCAAAATTAGTCATTCTATTACAAGGACGCATGCCTGTGTATGTGTATTACAGCACTATTCACAAATTCAAAGTCATGGAATTAACCCAAATGCCTATGAGTGACAGACTGGATAAAGAAAGTGGGAAAACAACACCTTCAGGACAAATAGCTAATTTATGCAGAGATAAATACCTAGGTGATGGGGTAATGGGTTCAGTGAACAACCATGGCACACGTTTACCTGTGAAATAAATCTGCATGTCCTGCATACATATCATGAAACTTAATATAAATTTAAATTAAATTAAATTAAAATTAAAAGGCTTTCATTTTTGTAGCAGTTATAGTAACTTTGGAATATGTGCCACATCTTATTTAAGAGATTTTATAAAATAACTATAAATCAGAGTTTTGACAAACTGCACCAAAAAGTAAATAAGTAGTATATTTCAATTCTCAGTTGATTGAATTTCTTTTCTTTCATTTTGAGGATAGAATCTTACACAGTGTCTTCAGCTGGAGTGCAGTGGTGCAATCTTGACATGCTGCAACCCCTGCTTCCGAGCTTCAAGGGATTAATCTGCCTCAGCCATTTGATTAGCTGAGATTACACGTGTGCACCAACACAGGTGATGGGGTTTAACCATGTTGGCCAGGCTAGTCCCAAACTCCTGATGTCAAGTAATCTGCCTGCCTCATCATCTGAAAGTCCTGGGATTATAGGTGTGAGTCAGGATGTCTGGCAGTTGAATGAATTTCTAATTGAGAAACTTATCCATGTTGCAAAACTTTATTTTCTATATCATACGTTTATGAGTTTCTTCATATGTCTCATAAGTCAAGAAAAATAATATAATTTTAATGCATTCTCTTTTCATTGGAAATGAATGTGTATCCATTTATATGTAATTAAAAGAGAAAGTTTATTTAGAATATCATTTTTCTTTTGTGTAAAACTCTGGGGTTTTAGAAATTTCTTTAAAAATATTACTTTGGAAACTACATTTCTTGACATAAATGTTTGTTTTTTAAGGATCTTTTTTGGTAAGAAAATTCAAAATTGTTTGAAGATACAATGAGATGTTTAATTATATCAAATAAACTTAAAGGTATTTTCTTTGAGAAAACAGGTTTTTCTTAATTTAGGTTTTCTACAAATAATATTATGATTACTTTCTCTTCCTAAAATTAATTTATGTTTTCCTCTTCCCTGCATCAATAGTTCACCTGCAATGTATAAGAAGTAAGAACTGCCAGCAGAACAGGCATTTCCAAGAGGTAGGTCACCCACTACCATGAATCCTAGTTTGAGCTACTTGTTGCGCCAGCTATTGACTGCGTAAAAAAATCTAAAAATGAGAGTAGGCTCTTTGACTGCAATATATGACACAGACAAGGCAATAACTAGTGAGTGGTTTAAATTATAAATCTGATTTTATTCATTAATATTCATTTACTTTGGTTTGAAATACTATTTTTTTCATTTAGAAAAAGAAGTAACTCACTTTTTTTTGTTTGTTTGTTTTTGGTCAACTAGCCCAACATTTTGTAGTCATCAGGTATGTAAGTAGAAGAACTTTAGTGAGAGAATACAATTTTTTTGAAGAAGATGCCTTTCTTTAATGGTTTCCTGTAGCTGGTTTTGGTAACTTAACACATGAGTTGTTTTTATCATATGTGAAAAAATATGGAAATGTTACATTAACGAGGGGCCAAACTTAATGCTATAAAATGTTATATTTAAAATGTATGCACTGAAGTTGCTTGTTATTTTAATTAAATTCTAAAAGAGGAATGGTTTTGAAAATCATGATATTAGAAGGAAACATTTGAGTGCACTTTATTACTTCTAAATATCCAAATAAGTTCCACAAAAAGGTAGCAATGTTTAAACTTACACAGAACTGAAACTCAAAGTGGAAGGTAATGTAAGCAAATTAACATACAGTAACATAAAACTTAGTGTATTTCAAGATTAAGCTAAGTGTTAAGTATGTAATTAACAAACATATTCAGTATAGGCCTGTAATTAGTAAATACGAAATTTTATATATATATATATATATTTCCATGTAAGTATTTTTTTAACACATTGTAGGAGTTTCCAGCTAACTCACTGCTTAAAAGATCAAATCTTCATTTGCATTGTGAGATCTATGTAGAGGGAAAAACTTGCTTTTAAAAAACACTTTTTTTGTTAATTTATTTAATGATTGTATTGACATGGTAAATATATATTTGCAAATGAGTTTTTTTTAAACAAACACTGCTGTTGTTAAATGCTTTAGCTAACTGTTTTACATAGTTTATATATATTTTCACTATATAGGATGATATATACTAACAATTATTAACTGACCACCAATTTTATATTCCTGTTCCAGAGATTATCTCTGTGCCTGCAGTAATCCATATATATAGCTATTTATTTATTTTTTACACAAATGAATATATACAATAGACTATATTGTTAACTTCGTTTTGTACTTCGTCACACGTCTGTCAGTATATGAAGATCCATTTAATTTTGTTTGTAGCTGCATAACTTGCAATTCAGTGTGCTCTAATTTATGCAGTCCACCACTGAGATGGATTGACGTGTAAGTGGTATTCAGTTTTACACTAAATAAAGAAGAATTTACACTTCCACCATAATTTTAAACACACCATCTCGTTGACTTCATCTCACAACAAAATTCTGAGTTCAGGCAAAGTGATTATCATTATTTGCTGAGGAAAGAAGCAGATATTTACATGAAAGTTATAGCTTTATGAGTCAGAACAATAACTTAAAGGAAGTGCTCAATTAAAACTGGGAAAACTCTCATTTTTTTAATGTAAAGTTCTAATGGCAATGAATTGAATACAATCATTTTAAGTGCAAAAGTTTTTAATGAGCAAACTCATAATGATCAAAGTTAAGTCTGTGTTTAACACATGAAAATTTAATACTACGCCATCTTCTATAACTCTTTCAAAGAAAGCGTTTTTTTTTTCTTCTTATCTCAGCTTGTGAAACATTTACTGAGTGGGACTATCTGCCCCTGTTGGACCCCACCCAACAAAAGTATTTGTGGGACTCAAAGACGCTGGAGCTACTTATCAAACACATTCTGTGATCCAGCAGCTATACCTGATCCCTGTCATCGGCAACAGCATTTCTACCATTGAAAACACAGGTAGTGACATAGATGATGATCGTGGGGATGGGAAATGAGGGTTTTCATCCTCCAGACTTCAGAATGGTTAGTCCATTGACAGCTTGATGGTGTGCCCAGAAAAGCCCATAGATACTCAATGCCAGATGGTGAAAGCAGTTGGGAGGAAGGCTGTACCCCATAAAGCCTCATGGGGGGATCTGCTCAAGACCATAGAAACCCACCTCTTGCATCAGCATGACCTGGATATGAGACATTAGGTTAAAGAAGATCATCCTGGAGCCTTAAATTTTTAGTGCCTCATCAGATTTCAGATGTACTTAGGGCCTGTAATCCCTTTATTCTGGTCAGTTTCTCATATTTGGAATGCCTGTATTTTCCCAATGCCAGTACCCTCATTGTATCTAGGATGTAACTAACTTGCTTTAATTTTTGCAGGTTCATAGGCAGAAAAAAACTTGCCTTGTCTCAGATAAAATCTCAGACTTTGGACTATTGAGTTCATGCTTGAATGAGTTAAGACATTGCAGTACTATTGGAAAAGCATGACTGGTTTTGAAATGTGAGGATTTGAGATTTTGGAGGGGCCAGGGTTGGAATGATATGATTTGACTATGTCCCCATCGAAATTTTATCTTACATTTTTACATGTGGTGGAGGGGGATGAGATAGGGAGTAACCATATTGTGGGGGCAGGTGTTTTTTTGTTCTGATCTTGTGACAGTGAATAAGTCTCATCAGATCTGATGGCTTTAAACATCAGTGTTTCCCTGAACAAGCTCTCTCTTTGCTTGCTGCCATCATATAAGATGTGACTTGCTCCTCTTTGCCTTGGCAGATACATAAATCTCTAAGTCCATAAACTGCTCTTCCTTTTATAAATTGCCCAGTCTAGCGTATGTCTTTATAAGTGCATGAAAATGTACAAATATAGTACAAATGTCATATTGACTAATAAAGCTCTGAAACTTCAGTTTCACAGTCAAGTCAAGAAGTAAATAAAATGCAAGTATACGTAGGTCTCTGAAAATGTATATCAAACACTTTTTAGTTCAGCAACATTTTATTAACATCTTTTAATAAAAACAAGGCAGAAAGAGTTGTGAAGTCAAGTTATTATAATGTACTCTATACTTGTATAATTTGTACTAACTTAAGACTAAAGCCATTTTACTTTTTTTAAGAGACAATTTTCTAGTGCTCCAGCTGGAATGAATACAGTGGTGCCATCGTCACTAACTGCAGCTTCCAACTCCTGGACTTATGTCGTCCTGCTTCCTCAGCCTCCCAATTAGCTACATCTAGAAGAAAAGGCCAGTAGGCTCAGCTAATTATTTAATTTATATATTTATTTTAATTTTTTCTTAGAGTCAGAATCTTGCAGTGTTACTCAGGCTGGCCTCAAATCCTAGGCCTAAAGTGATCCACCCATCTTGGCCTCATTAAGTGACAAGATTACCAGTGTTAAGCCACCACATCTTCTCATTTTAAAAAACTTTTTATAAAGATGGTGTTTCAGGATTTTGCCAAACTCTGTTCCAAATTCCTGGCCTCAATTGTCCTTTTTTCCTTGCCCTTCCAAATTATTGGAATTATCAACATGAGAAACAAAATCTGATGTAAAACCTGATCCACTTTTTAAATTATAAGTAAAGATTTTGTTTAGAATAGATAAAGCTTAATACTGAATGATAAAGTAGAATAAGCTATGATACAAATTTTTTGAAGACAGAGATAATTTTTAATTAAAAAATGCATATTTAGATTAGAGAATTTTATGTTTACCAAGAATTCTCACACAATTACCGCAAAAATGTTTTTCGTGTATTTAAAAATTGAAATAATAATTTTACTGTTAGGAAATATAAAGTGGCATAATAGACAATCAAACCAATTATAATTACATTATGAGTGAAATCCAAAGCCATGTACCAGTCACTGGCAGGAACACAAACATTTTTTGGTGTAACATCCTGTGGTAATGATGAATATAGAGGCAATTTGTATGCTAATCATAGAAAATTCTTTTCCTTCATGCAGAAAATAATTCTACTGTTCAAAAAAAATTATATATATAGTCAAAAACATTTGTATTTTCAAGCTGTTAATAAAATATTTGTTAGTTAAGCCAAATCTTAGTGATTACTTCACTGACTCGTATTTCAAACTGCTTAAGTAAAAAGTAATAATTAATATAATACATAAATGCTCTTCCATATTTCCATATATTAAAAACCAATATTCTAAGGTAAAGATATCTTAAATATTTTACCTTGAAATAACTAAACCAAAAAGGCAACACATTCATATAAATTAGATCTAATGATTTCATAAAGAAAGAACAAGAAGACTGAAGAAATAGATTAAACACATTCGATACCTTGTAAAAACTCCTACAAGCCAAACACAAATTACTTATCATAAGAAGCAAATCTAAATTGTTACACTGAGTACAGTTTAGGTTTTAAGAAATCTATGTTTGCAGAATCTGTAGGTGTAAAAGGTCACTTATTTGTCATAAATTACAAAAGATTACTGACACAGACACTGATGCTTTTGTGGTTCCATATAGCCACTACTATCTGACTGTTACTGTTCTGTTTTCTTTTATGCTATGAAGCAGAATTTGGTGTGAGTAAATTGAAGATACATGATAAGCAATAATAGCAGCTGATATTTATAGCACTTAAAGAAGAGGTAATACACTAAGAGACACACAGACACTAATGTGTTTAATTCTCACAGTTTTTTTTCTTTTCTTTCTTTCTTTCTTTTTTTTTTTTTTTTTTTTTTTTTTTGAGATGATAGGGTTTTGCTCTCTTCCCCTAGGCTGCGGTGCAATGGCAGGATCTCCGCTCACTGTAACATATGCCTCCCAGATTCAAGAAATTCACCTGTCTCAGCCTCCCCAGTATCTAATTTTACAGGCATATGCCACGACGCCTGGCTAATTTTCATATTTTTAGCAGAGGTGGAGTTTCACCCTTTTGGCCAGGCCGGTCTCACTGTCTTATAAAAAAAACGTTTAGGACCTGGCCGAGCGCGGTGACCTGTAATCCCACGCCTGTAATCTCAACACGTTGGGAGGCCGAGATGGGCAGATCACGAAGTCAGGAAATCCCAACCATCCTGGCTAACACGGTTCAACCCTGTCTCTATTAAAAATACTAAAAAATTAGCCAGGCGTGGTGGCTGGCGCCTGTAGTCCCAGCTACTCTGGAGGCTGAGGCAGGAGAATGGCGTGAACCTGGAAGTTGGAGTTGCAGTGAGCATAGACCGGGCCACGGCACTCCAGCCTGGGTGACAGAGTGAGACTCTATCTCAAAAATAAATAAAAAATGAGTAAATAAAATAAAATACAACATTAAGACCTATATATAGTTATTTTAAGAGGTTTGCATTAAGAGTGAAAGGGTGAAATAAATTGTTTCATTTCTCAGAGATGTGAAGAGCAGGCAATATGATGTTACAAATGAACCACAATCTAAATGACAGCTAAGTTCACAGCAATGCAGACAGCTTGGAGGTGAGAAGTTATGAAGGCCAAGAAAGACATCCATGTTATTTAGCTTACGTCTCCCAAGATAGTTCTTCATTCCATCTCCCAAACAAGTTCCAAAGAGGTAAAATGGGCTGGTTAGGCCTAAAGAATGAAATCTGTTTGTGAAACTACTCGTGGTTGTTAACATCTGTTGTAACCGCATAAAATGAAGAGGTATCTGTAATAGAAAAAGAATAATATTTTCTTCTGTCAACTCTTCAATATTCAATCATTAAATTGCAATTTATCATAGAGGACAGATGAGAACCCTCTGTGAGATCGTCTACATCCAAAATTATTCATTTAATAACAATCATTTTTCCTCAAGTCAGTCACTGTATTTTGTCAATATTATTTTCCTTTAAACAAGTTATCATCTTAACTACCTGTCTGATACCACTAAAACAGTAAAGAGAAACCAGAAGTTAATTTTGTGGATGAGCACAAACAACTCTAATGTCTTCTGGTTTTGTTGAATGAGATCTTTTTTTTTTTCAAAACTGAAAAAAACATACATTTTATCCCATTTTACAACAATGTGGATTTTCCCCTTCCATTGGATATACTATACCAAAGATTCAAGAAGATTTTGATGACTGTTAATGTCCACATTTAAAGTGTTAAAATATTTTTCATATTTGTACCTAAAGATATTTTAAAGAAATAAATTATAAATATATATTCTTCATGTTTTTGTTTGGTTTTGTTTGGTTTGGTTTTCCAGTGAAGATAATAGAAAATTGTCTTTCACAAAACAGGTCCCTTGTGCCAATTGTTTGCAAACAATCACACATAGATGCATGCACACATAAATTATTGAGTAAAAGTTTTGAAGACAGAAACTCATAGTGTTATAGTAATTTGAATGAAAAAGAACAGAAATGTTGACTAGATTTCAGAAAAAAAATGTCTTGAGTAGATCAAATAAATGAAAATAACTTGTTGATGCAAGAAAAAGGGAGTGTTGGTCACACGTGAGGCTATAGAACCGAAATAGTTCAATAAGAATTACGTATGCAAATTACACTTACAACCCTAAGTTTACAGTTTAGCTACGGAATCTAGAACCTCAAACTGAGAGATACAATGGGGAGTCAGTGCATTACAGGTGCACTGCAGACATTTAAAAGAAATCTAAGTGATATGCTAATACAGAGAAGGGAGCTGCTGTGAGTGAAACAGAAGGAAGCCCAGAAATCAGAAGATCCCTTTTTCTTTCTACCTCTGAGATATCTATGAATTACCTTCCTGAAAGAACAATAAACAGGTCTAATTTGTGGCATGCATGACAATAAAACACTGTCACACAACTTTTTACTGTATACTGTAACATATAGCTCTTTCTAGTTTCTAAAACAAGCTGTCCCAGGTAGCAGGGACTACAGGTGCAGACAATTACACTCACCTAGCTAGCTTTTTGCATCTTAATAGAGATGATATATCACCACGTTACTCAGGCTGGTTTTGATCTCCTGAAATCAAGTAATCTGGCTGCCTTGGCTTCCCAAAATGTTAAGACTACCAGTGCGAAGGAACGTGCCTGGCACAAGCTTGCATTTATATATGTTGTATATATATATTTGCAAATATATATATAGATACGCACACACATATATGCATATATATACACATACACATATGTATTATATAAAGTTACACATTATATATGTACATATAAGTTTATCATATATATATATTTTCTTGCAGGGCTAGAAAGGGGTACTATCTTGACAGTGATGAAAACGTTCATTTGATAAGAAAAAATGTTTATTTGATGTTGAGTAATGTTGATCTTTGATATACATAATCTCATGGATAAACATTACTCTAGAAACTAAAAGACATCATTGATGCACTAATCTAATTTGAAAAGAGTAATGAAGGAACTTTAAGCATACACCGAAAGTCAGTGAATGAAATGGCATTTTACCTTCCCAAGTAGCTGATACTACAGGCTCAAACCACCACACCTGAGTAATTTTTGTATTTTTTGTGGAGACTGGTTTTTGCCATGTTGCCCAAGCTTATGAAATAATTTTTATTATGTGTGATGACAGCACCATGGTCAACTTTTTAAGGAAAATCTTTACAGATGTGTTCTAACACTTATAGAGATAAAATTATATAATTGAGATTTACTTCATTAGACAACTGTTAGATCAAGGAAATGGCTACATTTTAATGTTTAGTTTATATATAGAGTAGAAATCTTATTATAATAAGAATTTAATTATATTTTAAGTGATGAAAGAATACATGGCCTGTCTTTGCTGTGACAATTTTTGTCTCTTTCTATGGGGATAATACTAGTAGAAGTGACCAAGAAAGACAGCTATAATATTACTTTTGTTTAAATATTTAACATCAAATGCATTATGGATTTTAAGATATATTTAAAAATTTCAGTTTATGTAGAGTTGATTTCATCAAAATTAAATGATAACTCACCCATAATTTACCTGAACTGTTTCCAAAAACTTTTGGGTACGTAGAATTGTAGTCAGAAAGCAGCTAAATCAAAAGATTGACCTGAAGCTGTCTTAGGACACCAATATTGTACTCTTTACTATCTTCTGTCTTGTTTAATGCTAGTTTGTCTTCACATTTATGATAATACTTAAATACATCATCGTGAGGATGAGCCTTACTCTAGAAGCCAAAAGGCAGTATCTTTAAAAGTATTGTGAAAGTAGTTGAATGAAATATATACCAAAACTGAGTTAATGAAATGATTCGCAATTTTTGTAGTATTTTCAAAGAACTTACTGTGTTTAATGTTTAGCGTTAGTGTTTATTTCACAGGTGGACCATCATAAAGAGTATACAGAAAAGTTATCAGTAGAAATAATAAAATAATAACATACCTCACAGGTAAGAAAATAGACTACAATCTTCTCAAGTCGACAAGATTGGAAAGAAATCAGTGCTCTGCCATAAATAACTTACAAGAACTAAGTACTTTTTTCTCCTGGAATGCAGTGTCTTCTTGTGAGTATCATGCATTTTTGATATTTACATGGTATAATTTATGTGATGTATTGAGAATTATTACAAATCAATAAATATGGCCCTTAAGAGTAGTTGTGGAAGGATCGAGAGCATACACAGAAGCTCCAAAGGTCATAATTTCCTTGTAGCTACAGAACAAAATACAGCTGTTTTACACATATGCAACATGTTTCTCTATGCTTTGGTATGCATCTGAGGTTTATGACAGAGAAATAAAAATTATCTGCTTCATGTCCTGATGAAGTTCATGGCACAGAAAAGTAGCTAGGCAGACATGCATGCCACAGTAAAGGGCTGAGACAACATAAAGCACAAGCAACTAAGCACAATGGTGGGGACTTAATTTGAATGCTATATTCTGTCTACTTCATTCGCTTCTTGCCAGTACAATTTGCCATCTCGATCAGTTTTCAATTCCAAACCCTAGAGGAAAAACGAGCTAGAGGGTCAAGAACCAAATTCTATCTTTTTGTCCAGTAGTGGCTGTTAACCAAGTAAGAGTGGACATCCCATAATGAGATCCTACTAAAAGGAATGTTACCCAAGTTGTAATGTCTGCATAGTGTGATCTGTCATATCTAGAAAGGCAGAGGCAAGTGTGTGTTTTGTAATCTCTGTAAACTTTAAGTGCCAAGATGTTATTTGAAGGCAAAGTTATTTCTGACCACTGAGGAAAAGAAATGTAGAAATTTTGGAACTGTTTACTACAGTTAAAATATTCTAATTTCTTTCTTTAGTTTCTATCAATATCTATGCGAAAAAAGTAAAGGAATGGTAAACAGTTTGAGTGTAAACATTTCCAAAATTCAGGTTTCCTGTATTAACTTACTTAATAGCTGCATCTTAAATATGTGATCTGCCACTAAAGCCTAACTTTTTGCTGCCTTATGATCAACCGAATACTTTTTATTTTCAACCAGGTGCTTTTATACCTTTAGTAGCCTTATTGTAATTGTGAAATAATGTTGATAACAGGTCCATGTAGCATTATCTGAAAAACGATTTTTTTCTTAAGCAGAAAAATAGCTAATTTGAGGAAAATATACAGAAAATCCTAAAAATAAACACAACTTATATAACACAGATAAAATTAAAGTTAAAAATTAAATAGCATACTTCAAATACAAGATGAGAATATACTTATTAAAATAAATATTTTTTTATTCTTAAAATTCTGAATTGCGTTTACCATGTCATACAAATATGATTGTATCAATTATACTTTGAAAACAAACAAAAAATAATAAAAATTATCAAGTAAACTTTCAAGTTATTAGATAGTGAGCATGAAAAATATGCCATTCATAGTATCTCAGACATTCTAGCCATATTGTCAAAATGCAGTCCTTACAAAATCTCATGAAAGTACAGTAATCTCAGGAAGAAAAACAGTACCTGGTATCAGAATATTAAAAACAAATAAATAATTAAAATTTAACTCACACCTTTGTTACTCATCTTTGAACCATCATTGTCTACATCATCACATGTGTTTCTAATTGTAGAGCTACTGTTTCTAACCACTAAGATTATGTATAGTTGCTAGATCACACAATTTATGTGACTAGTCACACCAGCCTCTTTGAGTCCCACAAGTCATTTTTGTGGGCAGGGTCTGATCGGGGGCAAATATTCCTACTATCTGAGTGTTTCACAACCTCAGAGAAGAAGAACTATGCTTATGCTACAAAAATGATGACTCTGTCCATAGTTCTTCTAATCAGGCTGGGAAATTCACTTTATCAGGCTAACACAGCACTCTTCAAATGGTACCTTAAATTTTTATATCATCAGAAACATGATCCAATATATGCACCATTAACTAGAGATATCTTAATTCTGCATTTTTAATGGCATTGCTTCTGTAACAGTTTTATTTGAAAAAGTCATATAAGGTGGTATAATATTAAATTTCCAAGTGCTAACACAGACTTAACTTTAATCATTGTGTGTTAACTGATTGAAAAACTTTTGTACTTAAAATAAGTGTATTCAATACAATGTCATCAGAAATTTATATAAATAGGACATTAGAGTTTTCTCAGTTCAAACTGAGCACTGCATACAAGTTATTGTTCTCAAACCTAAAAACTATAATCTTCACATAAATATCTGCTTTTTTCCTCATTACATAGTGATGATTAATTTATATTCATTTTATTATGAGATAAAGTCAATTAGGCGGTGTATTTAAAATCCCTGTGAGAACTAGAAATCTTCTCTATCTTATAAAACTGAACACAACTTACACATCAATCCATCTTAGATGTGGACTGCATAAATTAGAGTACATTGAATGCCAAGTTATGTAGCACAGAACAGAAATAAACAGATCTTCATGTATTGACAGGTGTGTCACTAAGTAAAAAACAAATAACTATATTGTATATTTTATATTCTCATTTCTGTAAAAAAAGAGGAGAGGAAGAAGAAGAAGAAGAAGAAGAAGAGGAAATAGCTCTATGTATGAAGACGTGCATATACTTCAAAAAACATCTCTGGACCAGAAATACAATATTCATGGCAAGTTAATAATTTTTATTGCATGCCGTCTTATATATTTGGAAATATACATTAACCACAAGGAAAGAAAAGATTGACTTAACGTTTCATAACAGTAGTGGTTGCTTAAAAAAATTTTAAAAATATTTATTTATTCTGCCAATACAATAGTTAAATAAATTAACAAAAGTCTGTGTTTTTAAAAAGGAAACTCTCCTCTTTACATAGATCCCACAGGACAAATAAAGATCTGTCCTTTTAAACAGTGAGTTTAGCTAGAAACTCCTGCAATGTACCAAAAAATATACTCACAGAGAGAAACATATAAACTAACATAATTTCACATTTTCAATTAAATATCTGTACAGAATACTGTTGTTAATTATATTTGTAACTCTCTGATTTCCCTTGAAATGAACTAAATTTTATGGTTTTTGTTTGTTTGTTTGTTTTGAGACGGAGTCTCCCTCTTTCGCCTAGGCTGGAGTGCAGTGGTGTGATCTCGGCTCACTGCAAGCTCCGACTCTCGGGCTCACACCATTCTCCTGCCTCAGCCTCCCGTGTAGCTGGGGCTACAGGCACCCACCAGCACGCCCGGCTAATTTTTTCTATTTTTAGTAGAGACGGGTTTCACCTTGTTAGCCAGGATGGTCTCGATCTCCTGACCTTGTGATCCGCCCTCCTTGGTCTCCCAAAAGGGCTGGGATTACAGGTGTGAGCCACCGCGCCTGGCCTATTGTTTTTCAATTTACTTACATTACCTCTCGCTATGAGTTTCAGTTCTGCGTAAGATTTGAACATTGCTATCCATTTTGTTTAATTGACGTGGACATTTAAAAGTAATAACATGCACTCAGATGATCTCTTTTCACATTATGATTTTAAAATAATACTTCTCTTGGAATTTAACTAAAACAACATTAAGCAACTTCAATGTTTGGGTTAGAAAAATCTTTTTAATGTATACATTTTTAGTATAAACTTTTTGTACCATTAAATTTGGTTTCTTCTTACTCAACAGTCTTACTATTTTTTTGTATATGATTAAATCAATTCCACTGTGTTAAATTACCAAAACCATATATGAGAGCATTTAAGTAATACATCTTATTTAAAAAAATAATATTCTCTGATAGAAATGGTTTTAATTATATACCTGATGGCTACAAAATGTTAAGCTAGTTGATTAAAAACAAAGCAACACAAAAGCGATGAGTTAATTTTTTCTAAATGTAAATATAGAATTTCAAACAAAACTGTTATTAACGATAAAAAACCTCTTTATGATTTTAAATACCCACTAGTCATTTCTTTGTCTATGTAATATATTTCCATCAAACAGACTGATATCTTTTTGAGATTTTTTTACCCAGCCAATCTTGTGCTGCAGGTAGCTCAAAACCAGGGTTGACGGTAGTGGGTGAACTATGGACCAGAACAGCCTGCTCTGCTAGCAGTTCTTTATTTCTTAAATATTGCAGATGAACTTTGGATGCTGGGAAGATTTAAACATCAATTAATTCCTAGTAACATACAAAAAGTAATCACACAGTATTAGTAGAAACATAGCTTAAGAAAAAGTTGTCTTTCGAAGAAAATACCTTTTAAGTTTATTTGACATAATTAAACATCTTATTGTATCTTGAAACAATTTAGAATACTCTTACAAAAGAAAATGCAAAGGAAAAAAAAATGCAAGTGTAATCAATAAATGCAATGAGTTTTCCAAATGAGATATGTAAAGCAATTTCTAAGATGTGAGAACTCTTCACCATAGAAAAATGACTTTCTACATAAACCTACTCTTTTAATTATGTATTAATGGAAATAAATTCATTTCCAATAGAGAGACAATGCACTTAAATTATCTTTGTGAATTATGAGACATAAAATGAAACTCATCAAAAATATGATATAAAAAATAAGGTTTGTAAGACCAGTGTATTTCTCAATTGGAAACTCAGACGAGGGCCGGCAAGCCTTGGTGGCTCATGCCTGTAATTCCGGCACTTTTAGAGGCCAAAACAGGCAGAGTACTTGAAGCCAGGAGTTTGAGACAACATGGCCAATATGGTGAAAACCCTTCGAGTGTGTTGGTGCATACCTGTAATCTCAGCTATTCAAGAAGCTGAGGAAGAATGAACATTTGAACTTGGGAGGCAGGGTGCTGCAGTGTGCTAAGATTGCACCACTGCACACCATCCAAAGAGACAGTGTGGGATTCCATTCTAAGAATAAAAGAAAATAAATTTGATCAATTAAGAATTGAGATATTCTACTTATTTGCTTTTCAATGCAGTTTGTGACAACCCTGATTTGTAATTAGAAAATGTCTTAAATAAAGTGTGGCACACATTTCAGTTACTATAACCTCACTTCTAAGAAAAGAAAGCCTTTCTAGTTTTATTTAATTTCTTTAACTTTGTTTTGTATTAAGTTCCAGGGTACATGCAGGACATTCTGGTTCATTGCGTAAGTGACAGGATATTAGAACAGCAGAAAGTTAGATAAAAATAAGATCTCATATAAAATTTGTGTATTTGTTTTGTTTTGTTTTGTTTTGTTTTTTAAGACAGAGTTCGCTATTGTGATGCAGGCTGGAGTGCAATGGCATGATCTCAGCTCATTCTCGCCTCCTGGTTTCAATCAATTCTCCTGGCCTCAACCTCCCGAGTAGCTGGGATTACAGGCGACTGTCACCATGCCCAGCTAATTTTGTTTGTTTGTTTACTTATTGTATTTTTAGTAGAGACAGGGTTACACCATGTTGGCCAGACTGGTCTCCAACTCCTGACCTAGGGTGATTCTCCCAATTTGGCCTCCCAAAGTGCTGGGATTACAGGTGTGAACCACCCTGCATGGCCTCTGCAAAATTGTTAAAACTGGTTTTTTTATTCATTCTTCATAACTCTTTAGAATAGTCAATGTCAACAATTTAGCTTCCAGAAGACACTAAGATATTTGGACATTTCAACCATGGAAAAAGGATGCTACTATTGCACTTAGTGGAAAAGGTCAGAAATGCTGCTCATCCTCTTACAATGCACAGCAAAAGTGCCTCCACAAAAAAAAAAAAGTATGTGAGTATATAATGTCAAAATCCAGGGATTAGAAATTGTGTTCCATTGGCAAGTTTCATAATCTGCTAAAAGAATGCTAATCTGAAGCCCAATGCCTATATTTCAGAAATATATTTTGTGAGAATCAGGTGGTTCCATGCAAATATGTTCTTGGGATTCAGGTGGTTCAACGCAAATACCAATTATGCAAATTTTATTTCTAAATAATGTTGAAATATAATACTTTCCAAATAAGGATAAAATATGAAAATATTCAGGGTATTGACACTCAATTATCAGTGTCTCAGGATTTAAGAGAAGTAAGGCATTTAAACACAATTAGCTATGCTTCTTTTGTTACAGAATTTTAGGGGAGTCACTTTGCCAGATGAAAACCCCTGTGGCCAGTGGTGCCTTTGCTTGAGTTTTTCCCAGGCCTGCTACATGTGTTCTACCCACTCTGCCTGACAGGCTGCACTCAGCTTGCATTAAGAGCCAGCATTTATCACCTGCCAAGGGCAAGCATGGTGGAGTGGTGAGTGTTGTATGAGCAAGTGTGGGCTCCAACCACTAAACTCATCCAGGCATGCCAGCTGTGGCAAAACAAGAAATTTTAGGTGCCAGCAGAAGTTCCGTCTCACTGAGAAGCAGCAGCTGGGCCAGGCATACTGCAGGCAGCATCCACAGCTGATACTGTGAAACGTAGTGGGGCCCAGAAGCTTGGAGATGCCAGAAAATGCAAAGCCCCTAAGAGGGTGTCACAGTCATGGCATCGAGAGCCCCTAAGTCTGTGCACCCTGAAGGGCCACAGCTGTCCTCTTATTTTTGTGTTCCACACTACGATAAGCAAGGGGGCGAGTTTTATCCATAGTTGTGTTACAGGTCATTCAGCCCTGATAGTCAGCTGATCTCAAATTATTGTTCTGCATCCCAGAAGAGAGAGGTACATGCTGCCTTCAGTCTTTCCACCTCTACCTATAGAGATAAACCATGTGCTGGCTGAGGCCACAGTGATAGCCTCCCCTGAGTCAGTTGCCAGGTATGATAATGTTGATTCTTCTCAGAGGCCACCCCCAACATCTCTGTTTGGTTCTAAGCCTATAACTAAACTAAAGTACTGGCGGGCTCTTTACGGTGATATTGAGAGTGCAACCCATGAGAAGTTGTGGTAAACTGAAGAACAACTGTTTGAGTTCTATAATATACATGAACAGCAGGCTAGAGAACACAGAAGCAAATGGATATTAAGGGTATGGGATAATAGCAGAAGGAACACAGGGTTGTATCAGGCTGAATTTATTGACTAGGGCTGACCTAGTAGGGACTCTGCATTTAAAGATGCAGCACAGGGAGCTAAGAATTTCTCATAGTTTATCTGCTTGGTTAGCTAAAATATGAATTCAAAGATGGCCCACTGTGAGTGAGCTCTATAAATGTCCGCTCTCCATTGGTTTAAAGTAAAGGATGAAATCCAAAGGCCTTGGGAGATTGGAATGGTGGAGTAGATTAGTTCACTTTAGACCTACTCATCCCAGCTGAGAGAGTCCAGAGGATATATTCTTGATCAATGCCTTGTGAAGCAGAGCAGTACCTGCATCTTTGAACAGCTCTGTAATTACTCTTCTCTGTGTGTCAGATCTAAGGGCGGGAACTGCAGCCACTAACTATAACATTTAAATACACTAGGGATAATTGAATCCCAAGGTGGCAGGAACCAAGTGGCAACACTCGACCATCAAAGGCAAGGTGGGTGTAGGTACCATAATGGACAGCTGTCGCAAAGCAGCAATCAGAAGAGTCTGACACCTGTAGAACCCTGGCACTGGCTAATTAATCAAGGTGTTCCTGGAAGTGAAATTGATAGAAAGCCTACTGCATTCCTACTTAAGTTATAGAAACAGAAAACTTTGGTGTCAAATAGATGAAGAACTATTCTAAATTATAAAAACAGAACCACAGCTTCTCAACCTATTTCCATACCAGAGCCAATTTAAAGACACAGAACCCCTTGAATGAAGGGGAGGCTGGATCCCCTTGAGGAAAGACCCCACTCCATTACCAACAATTTATGCAGTGAATCTTTCTCTCATTGTTCCTTAAGTAACGCCTGGATTTTGTCAGGGTAACTATGCCTGGAAGAAAGGGAAATGATCAGAATTTTCAGGCTACTGGACCCTGGATCTGAGCTGATACTGACTCCAGGAGACCCGAAACATCATTGTGGTTCTACAGTTAAAATAGAACCTTATGAAGGTCAGGCAATTAATAAAGTTTTAGCCCCCGTCAGACTTACAGTGGGTCGAGCGTGTACCTAGAGTCATCCTAAGGTCATTTTCCCAGTGCCAGAATGCATTATTGACATAGACACACTTAGCTGCTGGTAGAACCCCACATTTGCTTCCTGACCTGTAGGGTGAGGATTACTAAAATGGGAAAAGGCAAATGGAAGCATTTGAGCTTCCTCTATCTGAAAATACAGTAAATCAAAAACAATATCACAACCCCAGAGAGATTGTGAAGGTTAGTACCATCATTAACGACTTGAAAGACACACAGTTGGTCATTACCAGCACGTCTGAAAGCAACTCTCCCATTTAACCTGTGCAGAAGACAAGTGGATCTTGGAGAATGACAGGAGATTTTGGTAAGCTTAACCACTTGGTGACTCGAATTGCAGCTGCTGTACCAAATGTGGTTTTATTGCTTGAGCAAATAAATATATCTCCTGGCATCTGGTATGCAGCCATTGACTTGGCAAATGCCTTTTTCTGCATTCCTGTCCATAAGACCCACCAGAGGCAATTTGCCTTCACCCAACAATACCAGCAATACACCTTTACTCTCCTACCTCAGGGGTATACCAACTCTCTACCTTTGTGCCTTAATCTTTTTCAGAGAGATCTTGATTTCTTTTGGCTCATGCAAGATATCACACTTGTCTGTTACACTGATGACATTATGCTGATTTGATCCAGTGAGCAAGAAGTAGCAAACACACTGGACTTATTGGTGAGGCATGTTTATACCAGATTATAGGAAATAAATCTGACTAAAATTCAGGGACCTTCTACCTCAGTAAAATTTCTAGGGGTCCAGTGGTGTAAGACCTGTTGACATATTCCTTCTAAGGTAAAGAACAATTTGCTGCATTTGGCCCCTCATACAAACAAAAAAATGGGGGACAATGTCTAGTGAGTTTCTTTGGATATTGGAGAAAACATATTCCTTATGTGAGGTTGTTACTCTCCCCCTTTTATTGAGTGACTTAAAAGGCTGCCAGTTGTGAATAGTGTCCAGAACAGGAGAAAGCTCTGTAGAAGATCCAGGCAAGCTTTTCTGTCACTTGGGCCGTATGACCCAGAAGATATAATGATGATTGAGGTGTCAGTGGTAGATAGGGGTGCTCTTTGGAACCTAATGCCAGGATCTCACAGGTGAATCACAGCATAGGTCTCTAGGATTTTGAAGTAAGGCCCTGCCATCTTCTGCAGATAACCATTGTCCTATTGAGAGACAACTCTTGGCCTGTTACTGGGTTTGGTGGAAACTGTACCCTTGTCTATAAGTCATCAAGTCACCAAGTGAACTGAAATGCCTATCATGAACTGGGTGCTTTCTGATCCATCTAGCCATAAAGTGGGTTGTCCATAGCAGAATTTCATCATCAAATGGAAGTGGTACATATGTGCTCAGTCTCAAGCCAGTCCTGAAGGCACAAGTAATTTACATGCGTCACTGACTCAAATGCTCATGTTCTCCAGTCTTGCCACCATGCCTTCTCCCCTCCAACCTGCACTGATGGTCTCATGGCTAGTTCCCTATGGTCAGTTGACAGAATAAGAGGAGACTATGGCCTGGCTCCAGATGGTTCTGCACCATATATGGAGCCACCACCCAAGAATGAACAGCTGCAGCAGTACAGATTTTTGCTGGGATATCCGTGAAGAACAGTGGTGAAGGGACCTCTTCCCAGTAGACTGAATGCCAAGGAGAAATAACCAGATGTGTGATTATATACTGGTTCATGGGCCATAACCAATGCTTTGGCTGGATGATCAGGAACTTGGAAGAAGCATTATCAGTAAATAAGTGGCAAAGTAATTTAAGAGAGAGTTATGTAGATTAGCCTCTCTGAGTGGTCAAAAACTGTGAGGATATTTATATTTCATGTAAGTGTTCAACAACGGTGACCTCAGAAGAGGAAAAATTTTGTAAGCAAATGGATAGAATAAACCATCCTGTGGAAACCACTCAGCCTCTCTCCCGAGTTTCTGCTGTCATCACCCAGAGAGCCCATAAACAAAGTGGCCATGATTGCAGGGGTGAAGATTATGCATGGGTTCAGCGAAATGGACTTTTACTCACCAAAGCTAACCTGGCTATGGCCACTGCTGCATGCCCCATTTGCAAGCAACAGAGTCCAACACTGATCCGTCGATATGGCACCGTTTCTCAGGGTGCTTACACTGGATATGCGTTTGCCTATTCTGCATCCAATGCTTCTGCCAAGACTACCATCTGTGGACACGCTAAATACCTCATCCACCAACATAGCATTCCACACAGCATTCCCTCTGACAAAGACACTCACCTTATGGCTAAAGAAGTGTGGCAGTGGGCTCCTGCATTATGGAATTCGTTGGTCTTACCATGCTTCCCATCATCCTAGGGCAGCTGGATTAATAGAATGGTGAAATGGCCTTTTAAAGTTACAATTACAATACCAACCATGTGACAAGACTTTGCAAACCTGGGGAAAAGTTCTCCAGAAGGCAATGTATGTTTTGAATCAGTGTTGAACATATACTCTTTTTCCCATAGCCAGAATTATTGGGTACAGAAATCAAGGTGTGGAAGTGAAAATGTCCCCACTCACCATCACCCCTAGTGATCCACTAGCAAAATGTTTGCTTCCTGTTTCCTTTACATTATGTTCCACAGGCTTACAGGTCTTAGTTCCAGAGGGAGAAATGTTGCCACCAGGAGACAGAATGACATTTCCATTAAACTGACAGTGAAGATTGTCCCCTTGGCATTTTGGGCTACTCCTGCCTTTCAGTCAACAGGCTAAGGAAGTGACAGTGTTGGCTGTGGTGACTGACTTGAATTAGCAAGATAAAATCAGTCTACTATTTTACAACGGAGGTATGGAAGAATATACATGGAACACAGGAGATCCATTAAGGTGCCTGATAGTATTTAACTGCCCTGAGATTAAGATCAACGGAAAATTACAACAGCCTAATTTTGACAGGACTGTAAATGATCCAGAACCTTCAGGAGTTAAGGTTTGGGTTACTCCAACAGAAAAGAAAGGAAGCAAGCAAGCAAGCAAGCCAGCAAGCAAGCAAGCCAGCCAGCCAGCCAGCCAGGCAGCCAGCCAGCCAGAAAGCAAACAAACAAGAAAGAAAGAAGAAAAGAGAGAGAGAGAGGAAGAAAGGAAGGAAGAAAAGAAGGAAGGAAGGGAGGGAGGGAGGAAGGAAGGAAGGAATAGAAGAAACAAGGGAGGAAGGAATGGAGGAAGGAAGGAAATAAAGAAGGAAGGAAGAAAGGAAAGAAAGAAGAAAGGAAAGGTATTAGGGGTCTCAGCTGAGGTGCTTGTTGAACGCAAAGGGAACACATAAAGGTTGGTAGAAGAAGGTAGACATCAACACCAGCTACAACCAGGTGACCAGCTGCAGAAATGAGGACGTTAATTGTTCTAAATAGTTCCTCTTTTTGTCAAAAAAAAAGTTTGTGTATGTATACACATGTAATAGTACCTTCATTTTTTCTTTTTCTTTATTATGTGACATTAGATTTATTGACATCAAATCAACATTTGAGTATGGTTAACTTCACATAATAGTGTTTAGATTTGGGATTGGTGAATTACTGGTTTTAACAAAGACAGTTGTATTACGTTAGGTGTAATTATGATGTTATTATTTTCTTTACTTGAAAATTAGGTATTCTCTTAGGAGACGTGTAGTGGTTCAAGTTGTCAAGGGGTGGATTTGTGATGGTTAATACTGAGTGTTGACTTCGTTGGATTGAGGTATACAGGGTATTAATCCTGGGTGTATCTGTTGGAATTTTTCCCCGAAACAATCTTTGAATCAGTGAGCTGTGGAATGCAGATCCACCTTATTCTTGTGGGCACACTCTAATCAGCTTTTAGTGAATATAAATCTGGCAGAAAAATGTAAATTCATGAGATGAGCCTCATGAACTACAAAACAATTTTTGTAATCAAATGTAAAAGATTTTACACTGTATGAATTAACCTCCTTTTTTGATTTATCTTAACATTTCCACATACATTTTTCTATTACAGCTACTTCTTCATTCACTTGTTTTTATTTTCTCTAATTGGCTCATGTAAATTTTTGTGAATGTATTTATTTCTGGTTAATTTAGAACATGAGAGAGCATAACTAATTGAGATCAAAGATTCCCACTATAAAAATCTTCTATCAAATACAATTTTAGAACAGTAGAAGATACCTCAGTGTTAATTCTACTCAACAACTTTAGCAAAAGCAAGAGTTCTCTAACCCCAGCTATAATCCTTGAAATCTTTGTTTTCATTGGGCTTCGTTATTATAATGGCTCAGCAACTTTTATGTCATCAGACATATTTAATTTTTGCCTTACGATAAATATTATGCCCATTGTGCATGCATAATGTAGTGTGCCAATCCACAAGTGTGTATGTCTTTTCTGTATGCCTTCCAGCTGTAGTCAAGTTTAGTTCTATCCCAAAAGCCATTCGTTGTGTTTTCTTAATTGCCACCCACAAAACAGAGGCTGCCTGGCTTCGTTTTTTTGTTGTTGTTGTTGTTTTTTCTTTGCTATACTAGTGTTTTACGGAAATATTTAAAAAGTAATGGGAAAAGGAAAGGGGAGAAAAAGAAATATATGGTTTACTTTGTAATCATTGACTAACTCAACTGACTTCGCTTTACTAACACTTACCTTAACTTGAATCAACAGAACTTTACAAAAGCTTCTTAAAATTCTTCTGATTTATAGAAACCAAAGATTGAGTTAAGTAATCTTGAAAATATAAAATCAAAGTGTGCTTTTCTTATGTACAATTTTCTGGAGAGATGATCTATCACTGTTAATTTATCAAAGAGAGGCCTGAGACTCTAGATTTTAAGATATTTTTCAGCTTTTCTAATCTCTCAGGGCTAGATGCTAGTAACCACCTTACCAATTCCACTTCTAGTCATGAACCAGGCTTAGGGTAAAAAGAAAGTAAAATCTATTGACTTACAGAAACCCTAGCCACTCACATGGACTGTCTGTTACCTCCATGAGCTCAATGTCTATAACTGTTTGCCTTCCACGGTCTGCTCCAGCCACAGTGACCTGGCTGTTTTTCAAACAATTTAAGCAGACGTCTGGTGGAGGTCATCAAACTTGTTGATCTTGATGCATGCTTGTGTGATTATTCCCTTATTATTTTATTTAGATATTTACTTCACAGTCACTTTAGAGACTAATTATTTTATGCTTGTCTCACATGAGTCCAAGCTGTACTCAATAGAGAATTTTACCTCATGCATTTTATATGAAATTGATAGGATCAATTAATATAAAGCAAACAAAAAACCTTACACTATAACCACTAAAACAAACAAATAAAAAATCTAGAAACCCAAATTAAAAGTGTAACATTTAACTTCAGCATTTGAAACAACATTTTCATGGGACAAAATTTAGATCTCCTAAATAAAAATAAACTGAGATTAGAAAACAGTTCATGCTTCACAAATAAAACTGAAACAAAATTGCAGAGCAGGCAGCGTCAAACCATTCAAAGAAATCTCAAACAAATAAAAAACCGTCTACACCCAGGAAACCAATAGTTCACCAATAGTTCACATCAACCAAGGAAACACTTAATCAAGAGAGACAATTTTAAAACAGTTAATGTTTTGGATTGTCATACTGCCTCCCAGACACAGATGAAGCCTGCAAAACTGAAATCCACATTTTCAATTTGAGGCCCTGATTCCTGATTCTAGAAGGAGTAAAACAGCCCTTATGTGCTAATTTATTGTGTTTGTTCTAGTCTTTCTAGAGAATAAACGATGAATTGATTAGTCATTTTTATTTCTGTTTTGCCAAAGTCAGAAGTCACTCTTGGTTGAAAATGCCAGGAATTGGTCACAAACATTTAGTTTCCTGAGAACCAACAATGCAGTTACTTCATATAATTGACAATCTGATAATACATATTCAGTTTTTTTAAATAATAGCTTGTATACTGCTCTTATACAAAATGCTATTTAAGTGGATACTAAGCTGCCAATAACTAAGAAGACACCTTGGAGAAATGAAGAACATTTATAACCTGTAAAATAATACACAAGCAGAAAATGTCTAGATAAAAATAAGCTAAAGAAATGTGTGTCTAACCCTCCCCCCACCAATAAAAGCTATTACTATTACCTAGCAAAGATAATTACTACTATTATGCTTATTATAGGCAGCTATTACATACAAAAAAAATACAGATTTAATTTCATGGACACTCTGTGAGTGGAGACATAGTCTGAGACAATATAATATAATTTGAGAAGAATAGAAAAGTGCAGGAGCAGAGTACCTTTATATTGTTGAACTTAGACTTTAGATTATTTAAATAAGGTAGTATTATCCAACGTAGGCTATTTTAAGTTTAGAATATTTATTGAGGTCCCAAATGTAACTAAATATAATATAAAATATATAGAAGAAGAAAGTTTTGAGAAATTAAGAAATTTTTCTGAAAGATGAAAGGAGAAATTTAAAAATTCAAATAAGGTAAAGAACATACAGAAAGCAAGTAATTAAATATCAGAGTGAATAGTTTTTTACGTTTAATAACTTTAAATGTGAGCTCCTTCATAAAAAGGCACAGAATGATGCAAATGTACCTTTAAAAGAAGGGTTCACATATGTGATTTCCCTGCAAGTGTTACCTTAAGTGCAAAGAGAGAGATTGAAAATAAAATGATACAGGTTCTTGCAAAAACGAGACAATGGATTACAGAGCACTATGCATCTGTCCCTTCAACTCTTCAATATGTGCAGTGGCAGAATCGCTATGACGCAAATAGTTTGGAATTATAGATCCTATCTGAAGTTTTGAAGCTTTCAAAACACGATTTGTAAAGTCAACAACAATTAAGTTCGATCAACTTTATAGCATAGGTCAACAGCAGTTATTTATTCCTATCAACTATTGCCGTGGTGTGCAGCCTTGCAAATACTTCTGGAGCAGCTGGCAATAGCCACGATAGGCAAAAATGACCTTATCCTCCAAATCTCAGGAGGACTGGCTAACCGATTGCTGTTTCTTATTACGGAGGTCCTGCGAGTGGTGAACAGTCATTTTTCATTTTCCAAACCTTTTACAGGCTTTTTCTCCTGCTACTCAAGTAACTTTCAGACGATTTACAAAGGCAGAGCCTTTCTTTCCTAATTTTTCTGTTTTTTTTTTTCTCTTTAGAGGCCAGAGAATGATAGAGAAAACATTCAAAGAAAACATATGTACGTGAAAATTTAGAATAAAATGTGTTGCTACACATCTGTGCTCCAAAATGATGCAGCCTCAAGAAAAACCCCCAACAAAATCAGTAAGACTGATTGTCATGACAGAAATAGCCTAGATGATGAATAAACAAATCCCTAGCAAGCTACAGAGGGAGAAAATCTGATTTTCAAAGGTACAACACTTGAAAATTTATATGCCTGTTTTCGACACCAACAGAATCACATAGCATAAGGTGAAATAAGAAAGTGTGGTTCGGCCGGGCGCGGTGGCTCACTCCTGTAATCCCAGCACTTTGGGAGGCCGAGGTGGGCGGATCCCGAGATCAGGAGATCCAGAACCATCCTGGCTAACACGGTGAAACCCCGTCTCTACTAAAAAAATTAGCCGGGCGTGGTGGCGAGCGCCTGTAGTCCCAGCTACTCTGGAGGCTGAGGCAGGAGAGTGGCGTGAACCTGGGAGGCGGAGCTTGCAGTGAGCCGAGATCTCGCCACTGCACTCCAGCCTGGGGAACAGAGCGAGACTCCCTCTCAAAAAAAAAAAAAAAAGAAAGAAAGAAAGTGTGGTTCACCCTAGAAAGAAAAAAAATCACTAACAGAAGCTTTTCCCAGGTGGCCCAAATGGCAGGCTAACTAAAAAATAACTTTTAAATTTAATGATTTTTTTAGAAAGCTAATGCAATGAAGAAAAGCACAGAAAGCCATGAATATAAAAAAATTATTAATAGACAGTAAACTTACAATAAACAAAACTTACAATAAAGTAAACTTACAGTAAAACTAAGAAGGAAATTCTAGGCCAGGTTCAGTAGTTCTCTCTCTCTCTCTCTCTCTCTCTCTCTCTAATATATCTGTCTATCTATCTAATCTATATATACATATATCTTAGACTTTAGATTATGTTAGACTTTAGTTTACATATATAGAATACATAAAAATATATTTCTATATTATATATAATATATTTTATTTAATATATAATATAAATATATATGTGTATATATGTGTGTGTGTATATATATTATATATATACCTATACATATATATCTGGAGCTGAAAAGTTAAACAACTGTCACTAAAATTTACTACAGCCTGGCACAGTGGCTCACGCCTGCAATCTTAGCACTTTCGGAGGCCAAGTCGGTTAGATCATGAGGTCAAATGATGAAGATTATCCTGGCCAATATGGTGAAACCTTGTCTTTACTAAAAAATACAAAAATTAGCAGGGTGTGGTGGCATGAGCCTGTAGTCCCAGCTACTTGAGAGGCTGAGGCAGGATAATTGTTTGAAATCAGGAGGTAGAGGTTGCAGTCAGCCAAGTTTGCCTCACTGAACTCCACCCTGGTGACAGAGCAAAACTCAATAAAAAAAAAAAAAAATCTCTACAGAGATTTAAAAGGACACTTGAGAAGATAGAAGAACAAACTATCAGCAGATCTAAGAAAAGGGCAGTTGAAATTGTTAAGTCAAGAAGGGAATAAACAAATAAATAAATAAATAAATAACTGTGAAAACAACCTAGAAACCAGTGGAACACCATCAAGCAGTCCTCCTAAAGGAGACTAAAACAGTAGTGGTCAGGAAGGTCATAAATTTGAGGAAATAAATAAACACCAAAGAAATTCAACAAACTCCAAGCAGCATAAACTCAAATACATTCAAACTTACTTGATAATTAACCTGTCTAAAACAAAAACAACTTGAAACTTGAAAATAGCAAGAGAAGTGACTGGTCATGTAAAAAGAACCCCCATGAGTAATCAGTGGATTTCTTTTCTGAAAATTCAGAGGTCAGAAAGTAGTAGACTAATATATTCCAAATGCTGTAAGAAAAAAACTTTTAACAGAAATCTCATGTTTACACTAAATGCCCATCAAAAGTGAGAGAGATATTATAAAATTCCCATGTAAAAGCTGCAGTCTTTTACCAGTAGACTACCCTTTAAGAAATGCTTTATGGTGTATTTTAGGATAAAATGAATAGACATGAAACAGCAGTGTGAATAAGTAAAGATTAAGGAAAAGATAAATATATAAATATAAAAGATAAAAAAATGCAGCAGTGTGAATAAGTAAAGATTAAGGAAAAGATAAATAAATAAATATAAAAGATAAAAAAAATGCACCTCCACAATTGGTTTTCCACATAATTAAGTCACTATTATATATTTTAGAAACTCACTAGCTTGTGTTTCTGGCATACGGTGCCTAAAGGTATAATTTTGCGAACTCAATAGGTGAAATAGAAGGGGTTGTGCTATAAACCCCCCCCCTTTTTTTATGGTAGCAAGAGTAAACTAACATGAATTTAGAAGTGTTTTAACTTTAGAATGTTTAATGTAATCATTAGAAGAGCCACAAAGGAAAAGTACCAGGCAGGTAGAAGCTTTCTGCACTATACCAGCAAATTAAGAGTAGTGGATTCAGCTGCTCTTAGCTGAGACTACATAGTGGGCCATCTTGGCACCGTAAAAGGAAGCCTGAGCTGTCCAACCATGGAGTAAATGTAGAGAGCCTAAGGGACATAGCATAGTTGCTTCTTCACACATCTCTTTCTACACCACAGGCCACAAACTGGAAGAGGCTCATCTGTACCCAAGATCTGCTGAAGCACTGGAGGCAGAATGCAGTGACTATGTAGACACTCAACTGAAAGAAAGATGACACAGCAGCTGCTTCAATACCTTCTCTTTCCTTCTAGCTTCCCAAAAGTTTCAGGTTCAAAATATTGTTGACAAAAGACAAGACAAAAATGGGAAGACATAGTATTTCATTCAGTGGAAATGCTATGACAAACAGGGTGACACAGGGCAACTGGAACAGAACTTCGTAAATTGTAAGAAATATTATGACTTTAACAGATGACAGAAAAATGGAGACAAAGGACATGGGACTGGGTGTGATGGCTGACGCCTATAATCACAGAACATTTGGAGATTGAGGCAGGCAGATTATGTGGTCATGAGTTCCAGATCAGCCTGAACAACATGGTGAAACCGCATCTCTATTAAAAATACAAACATTAGCTGAGCATGGTGGCATGCATCTGTAATCCCAGCTACTCAGGAGGCTGAGGCAGGAGAATCCCTTGAATTCAGGAGGTGGAGATTGCAGTGAGCTGAGATCGCACCACTGAACTCCAGCATGAGTGACAGAGTGGGATCCCATCTAAAAAAAAAAAAAAAAAGTCGTGGACTGGAATGAGCAGAAGTTTTTCAAACAATGCCAGAAAAGGAATGTTCGGATCTACCTACATCAGCTTTTCTAAGAACGTTTCTAAAATGCTAATGACTCGCAAACACCACACATCCAAACACAGCCAGATGTATGCTGCTGGCCACAACGTTAGGATAAATGCAGCTTTACCTTTCTTTGACCCAAAAATGTGAAGCTAGGAAGTTAACCCCTCAAGACACTTGCACTTCAGAGCCCATTTAACAGCAAGAACTCACTGAGTGGCTTTCCGGGACTCGGGAAACTGGACCCTATTGTGTCACATCAGCTGGACATGGTGGTGCACAAGATGGCAGCAGAGAAGCCCATCAGAGATTTGTCAGATTCCAGTGCAGAAGAGGCTGGAAGAAAGGATAGGTCCCAGATACACCCACTAATGTCTCTGGTGTCTGGCTCAATTATCACTTCCATGGTTACGGGCTCAGTTAACAAGGAAGGTACATTGGTATTAACGAATCCATTAACAGCCAATGGAACAAAAAACATTCATATAGCTGTTTGAAGAGGGAGAGATGGGAAAATAAAGATTATTGATGATTGAAAAAAAACAGCCTTTTATCAAAAGGATGTACTTTACACTAAGGTTAACAGAAAATGCCAGCAGATTCAGAGACATTGTGGTGAGGAAAGAGAGCTTCACTACCCAGAAATTACTATCAACTAGGTTGACAGAGAATATCTCACTAAATACAGAGCGAATGAAAGAAATTGAGAATGCCCTGAATAGGGTTTCTGTGGATGACAGCAAATTTGTGCTCCCTGCTCAGTGCAGCCAGCAGTGTCCTTTGCTGTGGTCTTGATTTTGTGTGCATTTAAGAAATGACAGAAAGAGAGCAAGCATTGAAATGGGGGACACCGCAAAGACCTGGCACATAGTTTTATTCAGTTTAAGAAACCTATTTTTGCATCAGGCAGTAGCACGGTAATTTGACTAGGTGCATCCATATTGCCTCTTTGTGATTTGCTTTGGGGCTAACAGAAAGGCTTGGCTTGAAACTTCTTTTATGACATTTGGACAGAGTTCAGGTGGCTGTTCTAACATTGCATTTCCCAAGATGCTGGGTGGAGCATCAGCCAGTGAAATGTGGTTTGGTGGGAGAAAGCTGACAGCACTGGATGCATGTGCCAAGGGCCTGGTCTCTTATGTGTCTTGGACTGAAAATTTCACACAAGAGGTTATGATCCAAATTAAAGAGCTTTCCTCTTGTAATCCAGTTGTTCTGGAGAAAGGTAAGGCCTTTGTTCGCTGTAAAATTAAAATGATGTTGGAACGGGCCAAGGAGAAAGTGTGAAATGCTGAAAAAAATTCTGGGCCTCAGCGCAAGGGATAGAATCCATGGTCAAATATGTACAAAGAAAAATTGATGAGTTCTAATTATCTGCTCAGGACCCAAGAACTGAGCTAAGCGGCATACATCGTTAGCTGCAAGATGCCCTAATCCATGTTCATAGCCCAAAACAATTTCAACCATAGATAAGGCTTGAAAGGAGACTGAAAATATCCAAGGTACTTATTTAATATTATCAATTCACTTCAAGCACTGTAACTGTAAAATAAATAATGAAACAGCTTTTTTTGTCCAAATATCATTACTTTATGCACAAGCCCAAATATAAGAGCAGACAGATGAGCATCAGACTGTTCTTGCAAGCTCTATTTTTTTTTCTTTTTCTGAGACAGAATCTCACTCTGTCACTCAAGCTAGAATGCAGTGGCATAGTCTCCACTCTCTGCAACCTCCGACTCTTGGGTTCACGCCGTTCTCCTGCCTTAGCCTCCCAAGTAGCTGGGACAACCGGTGCTTGCCACCATGCCCAGCCAATTTTTTTCTATTCTTACCAGAGACGATATTTCACCATGTTAGCTGAAATGATCTCGATCTCCTGACCTCATGATTCACCCACCTCAGCCCCCTCAAAGTGCTGGGATTACAGGTTTTGCCACCGCGCCTGGAAGAGCTCTAATTTTTATCTATGGCTACTAGTATATAAAAGACTAGAATTGTTTTTTGTTAGACTTGGATGACTGAAAGTCTGTAATAGTGTTTATTATTATTATTATTTAATTTTAAGTATCCTAGAATGCAGAGTCTAATGGGGTATGAGGCAGTTTCTGCTGCCCTCCCCTAAACAGAGACACAAAAACAACTGAGATGGTGATTTGAATTTACCAAGTCACAAATATCTCAGAGACACAAAATTCTAAACTGAACATATGGTTAGAACTTTTGCTGAGATATCAGTTGATTTGTATTTTGTTTTTTGCATAAGGCTCTAGATCTTACACTGTTAACATGAATAAAGAACTACCTCTTTAAAGGAAACCTTGAGCAGGATTAGTCAATCATGGAATCATTTAGGTAGAAATATCTAAGTTTTAATGGTCATAAAGTGTGCTTTTTAGATTAACTTAGATTATATTCTATTTAGTAAGCTAAAATTCTGCACACATGATTAAATGCAGAAACTTCCTTCAAAACAAAGGAAAAACACGTACATATTCTTAGACATTTAAAATGATTAATGTCTGGTTTTATGTGCACACAATTGTCTAGGATACTCTATAAGTTCAGATTTCCAGAAGTTCTCTGAAGCCTGCCATTTTGGGTTATTATGCAGGCTCCATTACATGGGCATGATTGAATAATCTACTGGTCCTTGGTGATCACAGTGACTTTTGTTGCAGGATCTATAGACTATCGCTTTCCCAGCCAAAAATCTCAGTGGATGGTAGCACCTTTGCCAAAATTTCTCTTGGGCCTGCTGGGCTAAATTTGCCACTCATTTTGACAGGTTGCACTCACCTCAAACTATGTGCTCAGATTCTATTTTTACTGTGGGTGAGACAGACCCAGAGCAGAGAGAGAAGCCTGAGTGAGCGACTGTTGAGTCCAGCCACTTCACACAGCTGAGCATGTTGGCTATGATAAGGTGAGAAAGCCCAGGTGGTGCCAGCTCCCTGCAAGCCTTTGGCTGAATCAGCATAGCAAAAGCCTTTTTTTCCTCACTGCTCAGAAATACAACGGCATCCAGAAGCTTAAAAATGCCAGAAACTGCAAAGCCCCCAAAATGGTGTCACAGCCCTGGCTTTGAAAATGTTTAAGTCTGGGCTCCTTTAAGGACTGAACCTCTTCTATCCTTTTTTATTTTTTAAATCCCAGTAATCAGAAATGTGACAAGTGGGGGTTTGTGTGTTTCAGACCAGTTTTTGTTACTAATCTTATAGTTTTGCCCTTAAGTGGGTTCTGAGTTCTTGTCCCATGCCTAGGAAGAATAAGCTTTGTGGGCAACTGGAGAATAATTAAGGTAAATAGAAGCTGCACTGAGTGAAGGTACAGCTCTCAGGAGACAGAAAGGAGGTAACTCCATTTCACAAACAGGACATACCTACAACCACACAACACTCAGTTAAGAGAATACCTAGAGTGACCAAGTGCCATTGGCTGACAGGTTGCTACAATGTCTCTGAAGCCCTCAGTGGAGAGGAGATTTTTTAGAGTGGGTAGCTTCTATATGCAGGAAGGTTGTTGAGATGTGTCCTCAGCTTTAAGTTGAGAGAAGACAAATCTATCTGCTGACGTGCAATACCAAGAAGTGTACAACTCTCAGTGAAGAGAGGCTACTCAGGATGCTAATGCAGGAGAATCACTTGAACATGGGAGGTGGAGGTTGAAGTGAGCTGAGTTGATACCACTGCACTTCAGGCTGGTGACAGAGTGAGATTCCGTCTCAAAAATAGTAATAATTATGATTATAACTAGTTTAGAGGAAAACATAAATGTCCTGACGGAGCTAAAAAACACAGGGCAAGAACTTTGCACAACGTACCTGAGGATCAATAGCTGAATTAATCAAGCAGAAGGAAGAATATCACAGATTGAAGATAAACTTAATGAAATAAAGCATGAAGACAAGATTAGAGAAAAAAGAATGAAAAGGAAGAAACAAAGCCTCTCAGAAATATGGGATTATGTGAGAAGACCAAACCTGTGATTGATTTGTGTACCCAAAAGTGATGAAGACAATTGAACCAACTTGAAAAACAAACTTCAGGATGTTATTCAGGAGAAATTCCCCAACCTACAAAGACAGGCCAATGTACACATTCAGGAAATATAGAGAACACCACTGAGATACTTCATGAGAAGACAACCCCCAAGACACATAACTGGCAGATTCTCCAAGGTAGAAAAAAAGGAAAAAAAAATGTTTAGAGCAGCCAGAGAGAAAGATCAGGTTATCTACAAAGGGAAGCCCATTAGACTAACAGCAGATAATTCTGCAGAAACCCTACAAGCCACAAGAGAGAGGTGGCAAATATTCACCGATCTTAAAGGAAAGAATTTTCAGACCAGAATTTTATAGCCATCCAAACTAAGCTTTATGGCCAAAGGAGAAATAAAATAATTTTCAGACAAGTTAAGTGTACAAACATTTTGTCACCACCATGAGTGCCTTACAAGAGTTCCTAAAGGGAACATTAAATATGTAAGGGGACATCTGGTAACAGCTACTGCAAAAAATAACAAATAAAAAGTCCAACAACACTATGAAGAAACTGCATCAAGAATATGCAAAATAACCAGCTAGCATCACCATATCATGGTCAAATTGACACGTAACAATATTAATCTTAAATATAAATACACTAAGTGTGCTTTATTTAGGAGACACATCTGACGTGCAAAGGCACACATAGCCTCAAAATAAAACGATGGAAGAATATTTTTTTCTTTTTTTAAATTGTACTTTATGTTTTAGGGTACATGTGCACAACGTGCAGGTTTGTTACATATGTATACATGTGCCATGTTGGTGTGCTGCACCCATTAACTCATCATTTAGCATTAGGTATAGCTCCTAATGCTATCCTTGCCCGCTCCCCCCACCCCAGAACAGTCCCCGGAGTGTGATATTCCCCTTCCTGTGTCCACATGTTCTCATTGTTCAATTCCCACCTATGAGTGAGAACATGCAGTGTTTGGTTTTTTGTTCTTGCCATAGTTTGCTGAGAATGATGGTTTCCAGTTTCATCCATGTCCCTACAAAGGACATGAACTCATCATTTTTTATGGCTGCCTAGTATTCCATAGTGTATATGTGCCACATTTTCTTAATCCAGTCTGTCGTTGTTAGACATTTAGGTTGGTTCCAAGTCTTTGCTATTGTGAATTGTGCCGCGATAAATATACGTTGGTTGTGTCTTTATAGCAGCATGATTTGTAATCCTTTGGGTATATACCCAGTAATGGGATGGCTGGGTCAAATGGGATTTCTAGTTCTAGATCCTTGAGGAATCGCCACACTGACTTGTACAATGGCCGAACTAGTTGACAGTCCCACCAACAGTGTAAAAGTGTTCCTATTTCTCCACATCCTCTCCAGCACCTGTTGTTTCCTGCCTTTTTCATGATCGCCATTCTAACTGGTGTGAGATGGTGTCTCACTGTGGTTTTGATTTGCATTTCTCTGATGGCCAGTGATGATGAGCATTTTTTCATGTGTTTTTTGGCTGCATGAATGTGTTCTTTTGAGAAATGTCGGCCGGGCGCGGTGGCTCACGCCTGTAATCCCAGCACTTTGGGAGGCCGAGGCGGGTGGATCATGAGGTCAGGAGATCGAGACCATCCCGGCTAAAACGGCGAAACCCCGTCTCTACTAAAAATACAAAAAATTAGCCGGGCGTAGTGGCGGGCGCCTGTAGTCCCAGCTACTTGGGAGGCTGAGGCAGGAGAATGGCATGAACCCGGGAGGCGGAGCTTGCAGTGAGCCGAGATCCCGCCACTGCACTCCAGCCTGGGCGACAGAGCGAGACTCCGTCTCAAAAAAAAAAAAAAAAAAGAAAAAGAGAAATGTCTGTTCATATCCTTCACCCACTTTTGGATGGGGTTGTTTGTTTTTTTCTTGTAAATTTGTTTGAGTTCATTGTAGAGTCTGGATATTAGCCCTTTGTCAGACGGGTAGATTGCAAAAATTTTCTCCCATTCTGTAGGTTGCCTGTTCACTCTGATGGTAGTTTCTTTTGCTGTGCAGAAGCTCTTTAGTTTAGTTAGATCCCATTTGTCAATTTTGGCTTTTGTTGTCATTGTGTTTGGCGTTTTGGACATGAAGTCCTTGCCCATGCCTATGTCCTGAATGGTATTGCTTAAGTTTTCTTCTAGGGTTTTTATGGTTTTAGGTCTAATATGTAAGTCTTCAATGCATCTTGAATTAATTTTTGTATAAGGTGTAAGGAAGGGCTCCAGCTACAGCTTACTACATATGGCTAACCAGTTTTCCCAGCACCATTTATTAAATAGGGATTCCTTTCCCCATTTCTTGTTTTTGTCTGGTTTGCCAAAGATCAGATAGTTGTGGATATGTGGCATTATTTCTGAGTGCCTGGTTCTCTTCCATTTGTCCACATCTCTGTTTTGGTACCAGTACCATGCTGTTTGGTTGTTGTAGCCTCGTAGCATAGTTTGAAGTCAGGTAGTATGATGCCTCCAGCTTTGTTCTTTTGACTTAGGAATGACTTGGCAATGTGGGCTCTTTTTTGGTTCCATATGAACTTTTCCATTCTGTGAAGAAAGTCATTGGTAGGTTGCTGGGGATGGCATTGAATCTATAAATTACGTTGGGCAGTATGGCCATTTTCATGATGTTGATTCTTCCTATCCATGAGCATGGCATTTTCTCCCATTTGTTTGTAACCTCTTTTATTTCATTGAGCAGTGGTTTGTAGTTCTCCTTGAAGAGGCCCTTCACATCCCTTGTAAGTTGGATTCCTAGGTATTTTATTCTCTTTGAAGCAATTGTGAATGGGAGTTCACTCATGATTTAGCTCTCTGTTTGTCTGTTATTGGTATATCAGAATGCTTGTGATTTTTTGCACATTGATTTTGTATCCTGAGACTTTGCTGAAGTTGCTTATAAGCGTAAGGAGATTTTGGGCTGAGATTATGGGGTTTTCTAAACATACAATCATGTCATCTGCAAACAGGGAGAATTTGACTTCCTCTTTTACTAATTGAATACCCTTTGTTTACTTCTCCTGCCTGATTGCCCAGGCCAGAACTTCCAACACTATGTTGAATAGGAATGGTGAGAGAGGGCATCCCTGTCTTGTGCCAGTTTTCAAAGGGAATGCTTCCAGTTTTTTCCCATTCAGTATGACAGTGGCTGTGCATTTGTCATGGATATCCCATCCATAACTAATTTATTGAGAGTTTTTAGCATGAACTGCTGTTGAATTTTGTCAAAGGCCCTTTCTGCATCTATTGAGATAATAATGTGGTTTTTGTCATTGGTTCTGTTTATATGCTGGATTATGTTTATTGATTTGCATATGTTGAACCAGCTTTGCATCCCAGGGATGAAGCCTACTTGATCACGGTGGGTAAGCTTTTAGACGTGCTGCTGGGTTCGGTTTGCCAGTTTTTTATTGACGATTCTTGCATTGATGTTCATCAGGGATTTTGGTCTAAAATTCTCTATTTTTGCTGTGTCTCTGCCAGGCTTTGGTATCAGGATGATGCTGGCCTCATAAAATGAGTTAGAGAGGACTCCCTCTTCTTCTATTGATTGGACTCTTTTCAGAAGGAATGGTACCAGGTCCACCTTGTACGTCTGGTAGAATTCGGATGTGAATCCATCTGGTCCTGGACTTTTTTTTGCAATATTACTTATTGCCTGAATTTCAGAGCCTGTTACTTTTCTATTCAGAGATCCAACTTCTTCCTGGTTTAGTCTTGGGACGGTGTATGTGTCAAGGAATTTATCCATTTCTTCTAGGTTTTCTACTTCATTTGTGTAGAGGTGTTTATAGTATTCTCTGATGGTAGTTTGTATTTCTGTGGGATCGGTGGTGATATCCCTTTTGTCATTTTTTATTGCGTCTATTTGATTCTTCTTTTTTCTTCTTTATTAGTCCTGCTAGCAGTCTATCAATTTTGTTGATCTTTTCAAAAAACCAGCTCCTGGATTCATTGACTTTTTGAAGGGGTTTTTGTGTCTCTATTTCTTTCAGTTCTGCTCTGATCTTAGTTATTTCTCACCTTCTGCTAGCTTTTGAATGTGTTTGGTCTTGCTTCTCTAGTTAATTGTCATGTCAGGGTGTCAATTTTAGATCTTTCCTGCTTTATTCTGTGGGCATTTAGTGCTACACATTTCCCTCTACATGCTGATTTGAACGTGTCCCAGAGATTCTGGCATATTGTATCTTTGTTCTTGTTGGTTTCAAGGAACATCTTTATTTCTGCCTTCATTTCGTTATGTACCTAGTAGTCATTCAGGAGCAGGTTGTTCAGTTTCCATGCAGTTGAGCAGTTTTGAGTGAGTTTCTTAATCCTGAGTTCTAGTTTGCTTTCACTGTGGTCTGAGAGACAGTTTGTTATAATTTCTGTTCTTTTACATTTGCTGTGGAGTGCTTTACTTCCAACTATGGGGTCAGTTTTGGAATAGGTGTGGTGTGATGCTGAAAAGAACGTATATTCTGTTGATTTGGGGTGGAGAGTTCTATAGATGTCTATTAGGTCCACTTGGTGCAGAGCTGAGTTCATTTGCTGCATATCGTTCTTAACTTTCTGTCTCGTTGATCTGTCTAATGTTGACAGTGGGGTGTTAAAGTCTCCCATTATCATTGTGTGGGAGTCTAAGTCTCTTTGTAGGTCTCTAAGGACTTGCTTTATGAATCTGGGTGCTCCTGTATTGAGTACATATATATTTAGGATAGTTAGCTCTTCTTATTGATTTGATCTCTTGATCTTTGTTGGTTTAAAGTCTGTTTTATCAGAGACTAGGATTGCAACCCTTGCCTTTTTTTGTCTTCCATTTGCTTGGTAGATCTTCCTCCATCCCTTTATTCTGAGCCCATGTGTGTCTCTGCACATCAGATGGGTTTCCTGAACAGAGCACACTGATGGGTCTTGACTCTTTTTCCAATTTGCCAGTCTGTGTCTTTTAATTGGAACATTTAGCCCATTTACATTTAAGGTTAATATTGTTATGTGTGAATTTGATTCTGTCACTTTGATGTTAGCTTGTTATTTTGCTAGTTCGTTGATGCAGTTTCTTCCTAGCCTTGAAGGTCTTTACAATTTGGTATGTCTTTGCAGTGGCTGGTACTGGTTGTTCCTTTCCATGTTTGGTGCTTCCTTTAGGAGCTCTTTTAGGGCAGGTCTGGTGATGACAAAATCTCTCAGCATTTGCTTGCCTGTAAAGGATTTTATGTCTCCTTCATTTATGATGCTTAGTTTGGCTGGATATGAAATTCTGGGTTGAAAATTCCTTTCTTTAAGAATGTTGAATATTAGCCCTCACTCTCTTGTGGCTTGTAGAGTTTCTCCAAGGGATCAGCTGTTAGTCTGATGGGCTTCCCTTTGTGGGTGACCCTACCTTCTCTCTGGCTTCCCTTAACATTTTTTCCTTCATTTCAACTTTGGTGAACCTGACAGTTATGTGTCTTGGAGTTGCTCTTCTTGAGGTGTATCTTTGTGGCGTCCTCTGTATTTCCTGAATCTGAGTGCTGGCCTGCCTGGCTAGATTTGGGAAGTTCTCCCAGATAATAGTTCCATTCTCCCCGTGACTTTCAGGTATACCAATCAGATGTCACTTTGGTCTTTTCACATAGTCCCAAATTTTTTGGAGGCTTTGTTCATTTCTTTTTATTCTTTTTTCTCTTAACTTCTCTTCTCACTTCATTTCATTCATTTAATCTTACATCACTGATACCCTTTCTTCCAGTTGATCAAATCGGCTAATGAGGCTTGTGCGTTCATCACGTAGTTCTCGTGCCATGGTTTTCAGCTCCATCAGGTCCTTTAAGGGCTTCTCTGCTTTGGTTATTCTAGTTAGCCATTCATCTAATTTTTTTTTTTCAAGGTTTTCAGCTCCTTTGCCATGGGTTCGAACTTCCTCCTTTAGCTCGGAGTAGTTTGATCATCTGAAACCTTCTTCTTTCAACACGTCAAAGTCATTCTCCATCCAGCTTTGTTCCACTGCTGGTAAGGAGCTGCGTTCATTTGGAGGAGGAGAGGTGTTCTGATTTTTAGAGTTTCCAGTTTTTCTGCTCTGTTTTTTCCCAATCTTTGTGGTTTTATCTACCTTTGGTCTTTGATGACGGTGACATACAGATGGGGTTTTGGTGTGGATGTCCTTTCTGTTTGTTAGTTTTCCTTCTAACAGTCAGGACCCTCAGCTGCAGGTCTGTTGGAGTTTGCTGGAGGTCCACTCCAGACCCTGTTTCCCTGGGTATCAGCGGCGGAGCCTGCAGAACAGCAGATATTGGTGAACAGCAAATGTTGCTGGCTGATTGTTCCTCTGGAAGTTTTGCCTCAGAGGAGTACCCAGCCATGTGAGGTGTCAGTCTGCAGCTACTGGGGGGTGCCTCCCAGTTAGGCTATGTGGGGTTCAGGGACCCACTTGAAGAGGCAGTCTGTCTGTTCTGAGATTTCAAGCTGCGTGCTGGGAGAACCACTATTTTCTTCAAAGCTGTCAGACAGAGATATTTAAGTCTGCATAGGTTTCTGCTGCCTTTTGTTTGGCTATGCCCTGCCCCCACAGGCAGAGTCTACAGAGGCAGGCAGGCCTCCTTGAGCTGCAGTGGGCTCCACCCAGCTCGAACTTCCCAGCCACTTTGTTTACCTACTCAAGCCGCAGCAATGATGGGCTCCCCTCCCCCAGCCTCACTGTCGCCTTGCAGTTTGATCTCAGACTGCTGTGCTAGCAAAGAGTGAGGCTCCGTGGGTGTAGGCCTTCCAAACTAGGTGTGTGATATAATCTCCTGGTGTCCCATTTCCTAAGACCGTTGGAAAAGCACAGTACTAGTGTGGGAGTGACCTGATTTTCCAGGTGCCATCTGCCAGCCCTTTCTTTGAATAGGAAAGGGAATTCCCGGACCCCTTGTGCTCCCTGGGTGAGGTGATGCCTCGCTGTGCTTTGGCTCATGCTCAGTGCACTGCACCCACTGTCCTGCACCCACTGTCTGACACGCCCCAGTGAGATGAATCCAGTACCTCAGTTGGAAATGCAGAAATCCCCTGTCTTCTGTGTGGCTCATGGTGGGAGCTGTAGACTGGAGCTGTTCCTATTCAGCCATCTTGGCTCCACCCCCGTTCTCTAACTTTTGACAGAAAAGTGTTTGGAATCAGAGTTTTTATCTAATTTTTCAGATCCTACACTGCCACCTAGTAAGATAGGATTTTTCTCTGTGTAGAGCCTTGTCAGCCCTTTGCCCAAAACGTCTAGTTTCTAACTTTCTCTTCCTCCCATGTCCCGCTAATAATTATAAGACTCTATGTCCCATCTGTAAGCAGAAAATCTCCACTTTCAACAGTCAAAAAGAAGCTGCCCTTGAGAGACAAATTCCAACCTCATTGCTGAAGTTTTTATAAAAGAAGGAAAAGAATGGAATCTCTTTTTTTTTTTTTTTTTTTTTGAGGCAGCTGTTCTACATCCAGCTACATTGATATCTAAATAAGAAGAGAATGTTAATTTTCAAAGTCAGTCCCTATTATTTACGAGGATGTCAATGTTTTGCTAGGACCACAGTAAGGGAAGCCAGGGATAGTATAAAGACTCAAACTCTATTAAAGACTCTTGCTGCCATCTAACTACTGCATAATCTCTCTTAAGCTTCCCACATACCTGGAAGGTTTTGGGTTGAATGGGCTTAGGAGACAAACAACGAATTATATATATATATATATGTGTGTGTGTGTGTGTGTGTGTGTGTGTGTGTGTGTATAATTTTATATATGTGTGAGGAATTATATATATATAAACATATATAGACATACATATATACACATATATACATATACACACGTGTGTATATGTATATATGTGTGTAATATATATGTTTGTATGTGTATATATAAACACATTTATAGACAGAGCATGCATATATATGTAAATATACACACTCACTTATATGTGTGTCTGTATGTGTGCATATATGTGTGTATATATACACGTGTTATATATACACATACATATGTGTATGTGTATACGTATATACCTACATATACACATACCATCTATACACACATACCAGAGTGTATATGTGTACATCCAGAAACTCTGGGTATTACATATGTGCATATTACATATGTGCATATTACATACATATATGTACACACATACATATGTGTGTATGTGTATATGTATATATATACACACATATAGAGATATATATACACATATACATATACATATGTATCAACACAAGTGTAAGGTTTCAGCAAAATTTTAGTATATAAAAGCAGACCGATTTGCCAGCAAGTTGCTACATGATTTGAGAGCTATTAATGCACAGATTAAATCAATGGGTGCATTACAGCAAGGTCTGCCGTTCCTGGCAGCCATTCCAAGTGACTCACCTCCCATCGTAGCAGATCTCAAAGATTATTTCCTTACTGTACCCTTACATGAGAAGGATAAGCAAAGTTTCACCCCAAAGCATGCTCACCGGTCCTACGCTATTTCAGCGTTTTGTAGGACAGTCCTTAAAGGAGCCTCGTAATATATTTCCTACTGCCTACATAATTCATTATATGGATGAAATTCTTTTGGCTGCTCCAATGGAAGAGTTATTACACCAATTGCTGAGAGAAGCAAAACAGGGGGACATCTCAAAATAGTTCAACAAAAGGTAGAAGCAACCTCCCCATACCAATACTTAGGCACTATTGCTACTGAAACAAATGTTTGACCTCAGAAAGCAGTCCTCTGTAGGGACAGATTACAAACCTTCAGTGATTTCCAACAACTATTAGGAGATATAAATTGGCTGTGCCCAATCCTAGGTATTGCTACTCATCAACTCAAACACTCAGGCACTCCATGGAAATTCTTCATTAGGAGCAATGGGCTTAGGAGACAACCCAGTTGCTGGTTTGTCTAAGGAGGCTGAAGCTGAGTTACAGCTTGTAGAGTAGATTCTTCAGCAAACACATGCCTCCTGGCTACAGCCACAAAATCCCTTGGTTCCCTTTTTTCTCTCTACCCCCCATTCTCCAACAGGACTTTTAGGCCAGATCATAGAAAAATATGTAATTGTAATAGAATGGCTTTGTTTGAAATTCAATCAGAGAGTAAAATCTCTGCAAGTTTATCTTTCTTTAACTACTCAGTTTATAACAAGGGATAGGGATAGATCAAAAATGCTTAAGAGATATGATCCACACAAAATTATTGTTCTCCTTTTAGAGCCAGTCTACAAGTATGAGGAGAAATATTGGATTCCCAGCAACAGGCTGCAGCATGGGAAATGTTGACTGTGTGGCAAATTGCTCTTTCAGGTTGTGTAGGAATAATACATAAACATTATCCCTCAGACAAAATTTTGCAATTTTAAAAATTCAGCCTTTCATCTTCCCTGTGATTCCTCATCACAAGCCCATTTCAGGCAGCCAGACCTATTTTACTGGTGGCTCTTCCAAAGGTCGCAAAGCTACTTATGGTACTAAGCATGCTCAAACAATAAAAAACCCCGGAGTTTCAGATCAACGCTCAGAACTAATGGCAGTTATGCAGGTTTTAGAGCTCACTGGTTCATCTCTTATTAACACTCTCTGTCATTCAGCCTATGTTGTAAATGTAGCCAGTCATATTGGGACGACCACTATTAAAAGCACCCTGGAACCAGAGCAGTTTAACTTGTTTCTAAGACTTTAACAAGCTGTTTGCTCTTGTGCTGCTTTTTATATTTCTTATATTTGCTCTCCCACACAACTCCCTACACCACTATTTCTAGGTAACAATAGAGCCAATAAATTGGTTTGTTCTGCATTTCAACAAGCTCAACCTTCTCATATATTACTGCATCAAAACTCTGCCTTTACTCGTATGTTTCATTTGCCTCACAGCCAGGCTGCAGCCTGTACAAGCCTGTCCTGCTTGCCAGCATGTCACTGGAGTCACACTCACAGAAGGCTGTACCCCATGAGACTTAGCTTCAAATGAAATCTGACAGATGGATGTTACTCACAAAGCTGCCATTGGTAAGTTCTCCTTTGTTCATGTGACTACAGACACTTATTCTCATATGCGGCATGCTACATGCAAACCAGGTCACACAGCTGGTTATGTGTGATGACATTGTCTGTCATCATTTGCTCATATCGGGGGGTCCCTAAACAATTAAAAACTGACAATGGACACACTTATGTTAGTCATGCTTTTTAAAATTTTTTACAGCTATGGTCAGTCACTCATAAAACAGGAATTCCTTACAAACCCCAAGGACAAGGAATTATAGAGCGGGCAAATCAAACATTACAAGGTGTGCTGAAAAAAACCGAAAGGGGAAACAAGAGATCAGTTACCACCTCAAACAAAATACATTTACTTTTACTTTAATTAATTTTTTTACTTATTTACTTTAATTTTTTGACTCCTGGCACAGATAGTAAGACTATGGCAGAACGACACTGGTAAATGTCATAGGGAAAAAGTAAAGTATACCCAAAAATATTATGAAAATCCCCCTAAGGACGATGGAAATGCTCAGGAGATTTACTGATGTAAGGATGAGGGTATGCTTGTGTTTTTACAGGAGACGGATAATCTGTGTGGGGTGCCTTCAATGTGTTTGTGACCATGTAAAGGAAGACTGGAGAGAGCCATGGATCCCAACTATGAATCCGACTCCTCCATTACAAGGCATGAGTCAGTTGAAATTGCTGGAGCACCAGGGTCAGGCAAACACCCCCGATGTCACGTTTATGGCCATGCTACCTGCAACATCCTGTGCAGTAGGTTTTCCTTGTGCAGAGACAAAAACATATTGGGCCTATATTCCCAATCCCCCAGTATTATGGACTGTAATTTGGAGTGACACTCCCCCTGACATCTATCATGATCATGAAGCATGGGCACCAGGACCCCTAACACCCCCTGACAAACAGTTATTAGACTCTCAGAACAATGATTATCAATTATGCTGCTCCATTGGAGGGACTTCCTTCATGAGTCACACAGCGTACATCACTCAACTGCAGTGGCCTTGCAAATTAATCCCAAGTATGGCTGACTTACCATCGAAAAAAAATATGTACCTATTAGGCCTTAGCTCTATTACCATTACCGGTGTAGCTACTAATCTCTCCCAGCCCCATCCCCCAAATCGTATTAATTATACAGAATGAGCTCTCTTTGATAATTCTTACCCCCCCCTCCTTGGACCCAGTGTCTTGGTGCCCTAGCTAGACAAGAGTACATGCTAATCGGAGACATTATTTTCTAGGTCCCTGTGGTCATTTAGATGGGAGAGATGAGAATCCGACCTCATGGCATAAACTTCGCTGACACTGGTCAGCATCTCTTCACTGCATTGCGCTGGGATTCAATCCCAATCTGCAGCAAGTTTAACTTGGCATGGAACAGGCTTTAGCCCAACTTTGCCTCAATGGCATTACCAAGGAAAGAGAGGTCCAACTCAGGAGTCGATAGGGAAGGCAGCACTCCACTATATGAATGGCAGCATTTGTGTCGGAACACTATCTAATTTTAATAATTGTGCTGAACACAGTTTTAATGTTACCGTTGTGGAAAACATTACCACTCAATTTACAATTTGTGTTTTTGAACTTATGTTTTTCTGGCAGCAAAGAGGACCAACTCCAGGTAAACGATGCCCGATTGACTTGTGATTCCTGTCAACTGTATTATTCCCTTAATCATAGCACAGTACAAACATACAGCATATCCACCCTAGTAATTCTAGGTCACAATCCCGGATTATGGATTCCTGTAAATCTGCCTGAGGCTTGGGTGGCCACCTCTGGTTTCCATTGTGTAAACTTTTTTCTTAGTCAGCTTATTCGTTGTGCTTGTAGAGCCTTAGGCATGAAAATTTTTCTGAAAGTCTCCTTAGGTACATTAATAACTTCTGTTGTGGCGTCCTTAGTAGCAATGTACAGCTCCATTCAAATCACAGCTCAATATATAGAAAATTGGATGTGTACAGCCGACCAGGCATGGATGCTTAAAAATTAACTTAACACTGAGATACACATGGAAGTAGCAATGTTAAAGAATTAAAGATTACAGTTCTGTGGCTAGGAAACCAAGAACAAACTTGCAGTTGCGTCAGCAATTGCATTGTCATTTTAAGCATACTCATATTTGTGTAACCAATTTGGAATAAAACCAAAGGGAATATCCATGGAAACTTCATTTACAAAGCAAAATTCTAAACTTGAAAAAGCATACTCAAGTAATACAGCCATCTCTGAAAACTTGGGCAGAATTCCAGCAAGGTTTAGAGAGCCTTAGCGTTTGGACCTCCTCCAAACATCACCTAAATGTCTTTTTTGTGATTATCAGAGTAACGTTTTGATGTCTCTCTTTTATGTTCATTGTCTGTAAAAGCAGCTGGACCACCAAACAGCAGTGGAGAGTTGCACAGCCTGCAATGATCTTTACTCAATTAATGCAAAAATAAAAAGGAGGAGATGTTGGAGGCCAAAAGAATGAGGGTCGTGACCAACTCAGTAATGACTGGAGGGTCTATGAGCAGAGAGGAAACTGTTCTCATGAAAGCAGCATGTTGGCAACCTGACACACCACGTCTGGTGTCAGAAGGAATGCTGAGGGCAGTCATGCCCCAAGCACAGTCTTTCTTGTGGTTATATATAGGAACATCTGAAGCCTGTAGTATATAGAAAGCAATTACATGAGCCTGTGATAAATCAAGCAGCTGACCAACAATTACCTTTCCTCCCTGTTGATTCTGCCTAATAAATATGAAGGCCTGTAGAAGCTCAGGGCCTTTGCTGATTAGAAGCAATGAGCCCCCGACCCTTCTTTTAAAACAGACCTTTTTTGTCTCTGTCTTCATTTCTGCATTCAACCCCCTTCGTTTCATCCCATGTAACGACATGTGGCAGTAACTGACTGCCACACCGTCTCTATTAAAAATACAAAAAAAAAAAAAAAAAAAAAAAAAAAAATAGGTGGGCTTGTTGGCAGGCACATGTAATCCATGCTACTCCAGAACCTGAGGCAGAAGAATCCCTTCAACCCAGGAGACAGATGTTGCAGTGGGCCGAAATCACGCCTTTGCACCCCAGGCTGGGTGACAACGTGTGACTCCATCTCAAAAAAAGCAGAAAACAAAAAAGAAGAAACCAAAACCATACAAAACAAAACAAACAAAAACTATGTTCTGGTTAAGAGAACTGAAAAAGCAAGCCTCAGGCTAAGAAAAATCTAGGAAACACATCTGAAAAGTGACTTCTATGCAAAATATACAAAGAAATAAGATGACCCAATTAATAAGTAGAGACCTGAGTAGATACATCACCAAAACAGATATGGAGATGGAAAACCCGGTGCACAAAATACTGCTTGCTGAGCCCCTGTTACTTCTTCTGAAGGCTGAGGCTCCAAGCCATTTCCTGAGGAGCAACAGTGGCTGCCAGAGTGACAGTGGCTCCATAGATCATCCCCACCTACCCCAGCTCTACCTTTCTTCCAGGTTCCAAGGATTTCCCAGACATTGAGCATGCTCACGAGGAAAGAGCCAGAAGCTGGATATTTTATTTCACAACTTTTCTTAAAATTCTGGATGTCAACCAGTATCCTTTGGTTGGAAGTTTTATATTTATCCTAACAATCTTGAGGCACTGACAAGTATTAGGAAAGATGATTTTCAACCTACGTTTGATTCCATGAAGAAATAAAGGAATTGGTGTGGCCAGGCATGATGGCTCACATCGGTAATTCCAGCAGTTTGGGAGGCTGAGCCAGGTGGATGTCCTTAGGTCAGGTGTTTGAGATCATCCTGGTCAACGTGGTGAAACAAACTCTCTACTAAAAATGTAAAAAATTAGCCAGTACCGGTAGTGGTGTCTGGGTCCTGTAAACGCAGATCCTCAGGAAGCTAAGACAGGAGAATTGCATGAACCTGGGAAGCTGAGGTTACCAAAGCCGAGATCATGTCATTGCACTCCAGCCATGGGAACAGACCAAGACTCCGTCTCAAAACAAACAAACAAACAACAACAACAACAAACAGAACAGAACAACAACAAAAAAAGGACTCAATTACATTTTTAGGCAGTTATTTTAGAAGGCTTGGTACAATGCATTACTATTTTGGTATTCTCAAGACAGAAAACACAGTAACGCTAGTAAGTAAAAACCAAACAGCAAGTCACTACAAATTCATGGGATTAATTTCATCCGTCATTCTTCCTGGCTTTTATTTAAAATGTGTAATGTTGAAATAATCAGACGTTTTACTTGTGATACCTAAATGCAAGAAGAAACACCAGTTACTGAACCATTATTAAATGAATCTCAGTCTTCAAATTTGATTCTGATGCAGTGGAATGTTTTGTGAAAGATGGAAAACTAACAGACCAAACACACGTGATTTCAAATTTTGGCCTACTTTTGTAGAAGCAGATTTAAGAACCAAAACCTTCATAGTTCTAATTTTTGTCAGTGATTCAACATTGCAAGATATGTAGTGAAACTGAAATCAGAGATTTTTTTCAATTCCAACAGAAACTAGTTTGTACTCTGGACATTCGTGTTGCTCCCTTGAAATCCGTAAAGAAATCACGTGATTGAAAGGGACTTTTACACAGTGAAAATCTGCCAATACACCGCATTATCTTATTAGCTACAGTTCACTATTTTATTGTAGTCACCATAAGATTAGAAAAAAAAAAAAAAGCAGATAAATGACTATGTGTACTAGAATTATTTTATTTTATTTTATTTTATTATTATTATACTTTAAGTTTAGGGTACATGTGCACAATGTGCAGGTTAGTTACATATGCATACATGTGCCATGCTGGTGTGCTGCACCCATTAACTCGTCATTTAGCATTAGGTATAGCTGCTAAAGCTATCCCTCCCCCGTAACCCCACCCCACAACAGTTCCCCGAGCGTGATGTTACCCTTCCTGTGACCATGTGTTCTCATTGTTCAATTCCCACCCATGAGTGAGAATACGTGGTGTTTGGTTTTTTGTTCTTGTGATAGTTTACTGAGAATGATGATTTCCAATTTCATCTATGTCCATACAAAGGACATGAACTCATCATTTCTTATGGCTGCATAGTATTCCATGGTGTATATGTGCCACATTTTCTTAATCCAGTCTATCATTGTTGGACATTTGGGTTGGTTCCAAGTCTTTGCTCTTGTGAATAGTGCTGCAATAAACATAGGTGTGCATGTGTCTTTATAGCAGCATGATTTATAGTCCTTTGTGTATACACCCAGTAATGGGATGGCTGGGTCAAATGGTATTTCTAGTTCTAGATCCCTGAGGAATCACCACACTGACTTCCACAAGGGTTGAACTAGTTGACAGTCCCACCAACAGTGTAAAAGTGTTCCTATTTCTCCACATCCTCTCCAGCACCTGTTGTTTCCTGACTTTTTCATGATTGCCATTCTAACTGGTGTGAGATGCTATCTCATTGTGGTTTTGATTTGCATTTCTCTGATGGCCAGTGATGGTGAGCATTTTTTCATGTGCTTTTTGGCTGCATAAATGTCTTCTTTTGAGAAGTGTCTGTTCATGTACTTTGCCCACTTTTTGATGGGGATGTTTTTTTTTTTTTTCTTGTAAATTTGTTTGAGTTCATTGTAGATTCTGGATATTAGCCCTTTGTCAGATGAGTAGGTTGCAAAAATTTTCTCCCATTTTGTAGGTTGCTTGTTCACTCTGATGGTAGTTTCTTTTGCTGTGCAGAAGCTCTTTAGTTTAATTAGATCCCATTTGTCAATTTTGGCTTTTGTTGCCATTGCTTTTGGTGTTTTAGACATGAAGTCCTTGCCCATGCCTATGTCCTGGATGGTAATGCCTAGGTTTTCTTCTCGGGTTTTTATGGTTTCAGGTCTAACGCTTAAGTCTTTAATACATCTTGAATTAATTTTTGTGTAAGGCGTAAGGAAGGGATCCAGTTTCAGCTTTCTACCTATGGCTAGCCAGTTTTCCCCGCACCATTTATTAAGTAGGGAATCCTTTCCCCATTGCTTGTTTTTCTCAGGTTTGTCAAAGATCAGATAGTTGTAGATATGCGGCATTATTTTCTGTTCCATTAATCTATATCTCTGTTTTGGTACCAGTACCATGCTGTTTTGGTTACTGTAGCCTTGTAGTATAGTTTGAAGTCAGGTAGCGTGATGCCTCCAGCTTTGTTCTTTTGGCTTAGGATTGACTTGGTGATGTGGGCTCTTTTTTGGTTCTATATGAACTTTAAAATAGTTTTTTCCAATTCAGTGAAGAAAGTCTTTGGTAGCTTGATGGGGATGGCATTGAATCTATAAATTACCTTGGGCAGTATGACCATTAATTTTTTCATTTTTTACTAAGTAGAGCTGAGAGTATGTTTTTTAAAATTGGTTTTCTGTGGCACAACACATGTATGCTTTTTGGCAGCAATCATAGATTAATGAACAAACAATAACAACAAAATAATGCTCAACAACACCTGCTGTTCGGGGAAGGCAAATTAAAATAAGAGTGTGAGCACTAAACAGCTATACTATGTCTAAATTTCTTTTTAAATATACTCAAAACTGCAACAGAAAATCTCATTCATTGCTGAAGGAATGCATAATTGTACAGCAACTTTAAAATGTGGTTGTTTTCTTCTGAAACAGTTTGACAGTTTTTTCCAAAGGTGGACATGGTCTCATCATATAGGCTGACAATTGTTAACACTTAGGTATCTAGACAACTGATTTGGAAACTCACATCTAACCAAAAACCACAAGCATTTATGTATAACGGCTCTTTTGACAATGTCCACATACTTGAAGGAATCACGATGCCCTTCAATATTAACCAAGCCAGGTAAATTCTTAAAATGAAATACTATTCATCAAACAAAAGGAGTGATTCATGAAGTCATGCAAAGCCATGGATGAAGCGGGCATTCATAAAGCAAAGTGATAAGAGCCAGTCTGAAGAGGTGACATACTGTATGATTTCATTTCTATTAGATTACAGAGAAGAAATATTTATAGAGACAGTAAACTGACCTGCAACTTACAGTTGTTTTTAGCGGGCCGGTAGTGAGTTGAAAAGGAGAATGCAATTATGGAAAGGAGCACAAATGGGCCAGATGAGAATAGACTCATTCTGCTTGATGAGATCCTGCTGGGCATGTGGAAGAGTCAAGAGTGTGTATAATGCCATGAATAAATAAATAGTCTTCTACTCATGATAGGAGAGGAGCGTCTTCTTTCATCACATATGGAACTATTTTAGGACAGTTTCTGAGGAAGCTTTTGTTGTAAGTGGAAAATCATACATAAACAAATGTACCATTTCAAACACTGAGTGTATAATTTGGAAGCATTAACTATGCTCAAATTGTGCAAACATCACCACCATTTCACAATCTCACCAGCAATGTACAAGAGTTCCAATTTCTCTGCATACTCTCAAACTTTTCTTTAAAAAAGAAAAGAAAAGAAAAGAAAAATTCTAATGGGGATAAAGTGGTAATCTCATTGTGGTTTAGATATTCCTGCATTAAGTGGCTAGTGAGTTTGAACATCTTTTCATGTGCTTATTGGTTGTGGATTTGTAAATGATTTCTTGGCTATATCACTGAATGAACACAAAACATAAGAAAAACTAGATCACTTGAACTTCATCAAAACTAAACACTTTTGTGCATTAAAAGACACTGTCAGTATAGTGGAAAGAAAACCAACAGCATGGAACACAATATTTGCAAGTCATATATATGGTATATATTCAAATCACCCACTTGGATCTCTTCCAAATGCACTCTTCTTTTTTTCTTACTCTAAAACATTTTAAATAAACATCGCCTTTTGCTGTGAAACCTTTCTCAGTCTGCTTTGCTACTTTATTCCCCTCAGTCAAATTCTTTCTCCTGAGGAGGCAAGAGTTGAGGTTACTGCAGACCATGATAGATTTGATGCCAGTAACTCAGATAACTTCCACTGGTAACAGGTCGAGGGACTGCTGGACAGCGTGGTGGGAGTTCATGTCTAGTGTGTGGCTGGCCTGGCCCCAGGCAGTTCTGGACTGTGGAGGGACTAGAACCCCATGCTACAAGCACTCTGTGGAAAGAGAGCTCACATTGCTGAGAGAATGCTGAGGAAGAAATTTTGTCTTTTTAGTGAGGTTAAATTCCTTCGCATAATATAAAATTAACTGTTTCTTAATGAATTCCTTAGTGATCTTTAGTACGTGCATATTTGTGTGCAACTACCACATCTTAGTTCCAAAGTATTTTCATTATTCCAAAAGGAAATACCCTACTTATTAAGAAGCTCCTACCCAATCTGTCCTCTTTCTGACACCAGTACCAATAATCTGCATTTTTTCTCTATGGATTTACCTACTCTAAATATTTATATAAATAGAATCATACACTATGTGACTTTTGTGCTCTGCTTCTTGAGCCAAAATTTAAGTTTCTTCACATTGTAGCATTAGAGTTGTAATCCTTTTCACAGCTGAATAGTATGCCGTTGTATGGACATACTACATTTTGTTTCTTATTTTTTTGTTGCTGGACATTTATTGGGTGTGTTTCAGATTTTAGTTATTGTGAATGCTGCTATGAACATACGTACACATATTTTTGTTTGAATAGCTCTTTTACATTTTTTTTGTGTGTATATAGCTTGGAGTGGATTTTGGGCGTTCTATGGTAATTTTATATTTAGCTTTTGCAGAACCACCAAACTATTTTCCACAGCAGCTGCAGCATTTTTCTTTCACATTTTCCCACTTCCATTTCAACCATTGTTAGCTTTTTTTTTCCTGCAATTATAATGTGTGTGAAGAGGTATCTTACTGTAGCTTTGACTTGCATTTCCACTAGGTTAAAATGTGCAGGTGGCATAAGAGTTGGAGGAGCAAGAGGAAGGCTGAGGACAGCCATGTGGAGAGGATAGGCAAGCTCCAGGGGAGAGAGTGGCTGTGGCAAACTCTGCCCGGTCTCAGCTCCAGCAGTGAATGGAAAGCAAGTCCATGATTGTAGTGTGGATTTTCTCACAACCTAGCTATTTCAGCAAGGAGAGCATGTGATTTGGGGTACTGCACCCTCTCTTCTCATAGGTCCCCTATAATTCAGTCCTCACGAGGCACCTGCCTGGAGCCAACCTGGTCTCTGCTACCAGACAAAGGAGACCCTCATGCCCTGGGAACCTGATCCTGGTGGTCCCTAATGGACACAGGCCTGGAGGGAGGAGCACAGCCCATATGTGCTATAACAAAGACTATAAAGTACAGAAGTGGATGCTACATTTAGCCCAGTCACCCCAGGCCACATGAACCAGGCTCACCACTCACGGGCCTCAGCCTCCCTCTGTGAGAAAGGAACTGCCACAACCATCAATCTCAACAGCCTTTCCAGGATTTAATAGGCCAAACAACTTGGAATTCTGCTGATTTTAAATGCTGTTGTCATTCCAGTTCTCACACAACCCAAGCGCCAGAGACTGGAGTCGGAGTCTGCAGGTTGCTTTCTCCTGCTGGTGTGGAGAATGTGCCAACTCAGTCTCCACTTGTGGCTGGTACACAGAGTGCTTGACCACTGACATTTAATTATTTCCACTTTTCTTTCTAAAGTTTAACAAAGAGTGTCTGTGGTGTAAGCTGTCACTAACTTCCCTTCCTTTGGGCCTTCCAGAGACTACCTCAAAACACATGTCACTCTCAAGCACAAGCTACTGTTGATTTGGTTAACTCTGGGTTCACATTTAGAAAAGCTGTGGCCTCAGAAAACAAATTCCTTTGGTTCTAATTATATGAGGCTGTACAATGAGCATTAAGATGGCCCTGAGCTTAGACCCGGAAAGCTCTGGATGCAAGGCTCAGTCCTCTCTTCTGCAGAAAAGAGTCATGACCTAATACTCTAGCCAGCTGCCCAGAGCCTTCTGTAATCCTAAACTGGCTAGCCATAGGTAGAAAGCTGAAACTGGATCCCTTCCTTACGCCTTACACAAAAATTAATTCAAGATGTATTAAAGACTTAAGCGTTAGACCTGAAACCATAAAAACCCGAGAAGAAAACCTAGGCATTACCATCCAGGACATAGGCATGGGCAAGGACTTCATGTCTAAAACACCAAAAGCAATGGCAACAAAAGCCAAAATTGACAAATGGGATCTAATTAAACTAAAGAGCTTCTGCACAGCAAAAGAAACTACCATCAGAGTGAACAAGCAACCTACAAAATGGGAGAAAATTTTTGCAACCTACTCATCTGACAAAGGGCTAATATCCAGAATCTACAATGAACTCAAACAAATTTACAAGAAAAAAAAAAAACATCCCCATCAAAAAGTGGGCAAAGTACATGAACAGACACTTCTCAAAAGAAGACATTTATGCAGCCAAAAAGCACATGAAAAAATGCTCACCATCACTGGCCATCAGAGAAATGCAAATCAAAACCACAATGAGATAGCATCTCACACCAGTTAGAATGGCAATCATGAAAAAGTCAGGAAACAACAGGTGCTGGAGAGGATGTGGAGAAATAGGAACACTTTTACACTGTTGGTGGGACTGTCAACTAGTTCAACCCTTGTGGAAGTCAGTGTGGTGATTCCTCAGGGATCTAGAACTAGAAATACCATTTGACCCAGCCATCCCATTACTGGGTGTATACACAAAGGACTATAAATCATGCTGCTATAAAGACACATGCACACCTATGTTTATTGCAGCACTATTCACAAGAGCAAAGACTTGGAACCAACCCAAATGTCCAACAATGATAGACTGGATTAAGAAAATGTGGCACATATACACCATGGAATACTATGCAGCCATAAGAAATGATGAGTTCATGTCCTTTGTATGGACATAGATGAAATTGGAAATCATCATTCTCAGTAAACTATCACAAGAACAAAAAACCAAACACCACGTATTCTCACTCATGGGTGGGAATTGAACAATGAGAACACATGGTCACAGGAAGGGTAACATCACGCTCGGGGAACTGTTGTGGGGTGGGGTTACGGGGGAGGGATAGCTTTAGCAGCTATACCTAATGCTAAATGACGAGTTAATGGGTGCAGCACACCAGCATGGCACATGTATGCATATGTAACTAACCTGCACATTGTGCACATGTACCCTAAACTTAAAGTATAATAATAATAAAATAAAATAAAATAAAATAATTCTAGTACACATAGTCATTTATCTGCTTTTTTTTTTTTTTTTCTAATCTTATGGTGACTACAATAAAATAGTGAACTGTAGCTAATAAGATAATGCGGTGTATTGGCAGATTTTCACTGTGTAAAAGTCCCTTTCAATCACGTGATTTCTTTACGGATTTCAAGGGAGCAACACGAATGTCCAGAGTACAAACTAGTTTCTGTTGGAATTGAAAAAAATCTCTGATTTCAGTTTCACTACATATCTTGCAATGCTGAATCACTGACAAAAATTAGAACTATGAAGGTTTTGGTTCTTAAATCTGCTTCTACAAAAGTAGGCCAAAATTTGAAATCACGTGTGTTTGGTCTGTTAGTTTTCCATCTTTCACAAAACATTCCACTGCATCAGAATCAAATTTGAAGACTGAGATTCATTTAATAATGGTTCAGTAACTGGTGTTTCTTCTTGCATTTAGGTATCACAAGTAAAACGTCTGATTATTTCAACATTACACATTTTAAATAAAAGCCAGGAAGAATGACGGATGAAATTAATCCCATGAATTTGTAGTGACTTGCTGTTTGGTTTTTACTTACTAGCGTTACTGTGTTTTCTGTCTTGAGAATACCAAAATAGTAATGCATTGTACCAAGCCTTCTAAAATAACTGCCTAAAAATGTAATTGAGTCCTTTTTTTGTTGTTGTTCTGTTCTGTTTGTTGTTGTTGTTGTTTGTTTGTTTGTTTTGAGACGGAGTCTTGGTCTGTTCCCATGGCTGGAGTGCAATGACATGATCTCGGCTTTGGTAACCTCAGCTTCCCAGGTTCATGCAATTCTCCTGTCTTAGCTTCCTGAGGATCTGCGTTTACAGGACCCAGACACCACTACCGGTACTGGCTAATTTTTTACATTTTTAGTAGAGAGTTTGTTTCACCACGTTGACCAGGATGATCTCAAACACCTGACCTAAGGACATCCACCTGGCTCAGCCTCCCAAACTGCTGGAATTACCGATGTGAGCCATCATGCCTGGCCACACCAATTCCTTTATTTCTTCATGGAATCAAACGTAGGTTGAAAATCATCTTTCCTAATACTTGTCAGTGCCTCAAGATTGTTAGGATAAATATAAAACTTCCAACCAAAGGATACTGGTTGACATCCAGAATTTTAAGAAAAGTTGTGAAATAAAATATCCAGCTTCTGGCTCTTTCCTCGTGAGCATGCTCAATGTCTGGGAAATCCTTGGAACCTGGAAGAAAGGTAGAGCTGGGGTAGGTGGGGATGATCTATGGAGCCACTGTCACTCTGGCAGCCACTGTTGCTCCTCAGGAAATGGCTTGGAGCCTCAGCCTTCAGAAGAAGTAACAGGGGCTCAGCAAGCAGTATTTTGTGCACCGGGTTTTCCATCTCCATATCTGTTTTGGTGATGTATCTACTCAGGTCTCTACTTATTAATTGGGTCATCTTATTTCTTTGTATATTTTGCATAGAAGTCACTTTTCAGATGTGTTTCCTAGATTTTTCTTAGCCTGAGGCTTGCTTTTTCAGTTCTCTTAACCAGAACATAGTTTTTGTTTGTTTTGTTTTGTATGGTTTTGGTTTCTTCTTTTTTGTTTTCTGCTTTTTTTGAGATGGAGTCACACGTTGTCACCCAGCCTGGGGTGCAAAGGCGTGATTTCGGCCCACTGCAACATCTGTCTCCTGGGTTGAAGGGATTCTTCTGCCTCAGGTTCTGGAGTAGCATGGATTACATGTGCCTGCCAACAAGCCCACCTATTTTTTTTTTTTTTTTTTTTTTTTTTTTTGTATTTTTAATAGAGACGGTGTGGCAGTCAGTTACTGCCACATGTCGTTACATGGGATGAAACGAAGGGGGTTGAATGCAGAAATGAAGACAGAGACAAAAAAGGTCTGTTTTAAAAGAAGGGTCGGGGGCTCATTGCTTCTAATCAGCAAAGGCCCTGAGCTTCTACAGGCCTTCATATTTATTAGGCAGAATCAACAGGGAGGAAAGGTAATTGTTGGTCAGCTGCTTGATTTATCACAGGCTCATGTAATTGCTTTCTATATACTACAGGCTTCAGATGTTCCTATATATAACCACAAGAAAGACTGTGCTTGGGGCATGACTGCCCTCAGCATTCCTTCTGACACCAGACGTGGTGTGTCAGGTTGCCAACATGCTGCTTTCATGAGAACAGTTTCCTCTCTGCTCATAGACCCTCCAGTCATTACTGAGTTGGTCACGACCCTCATTCTTTTGGCCTCCAACATCTCCTCCTTTTTATTTTTGCATTAATTGAGTAAAGATCATTGCAGGCTGTGCAACTCTCCACTGCTGTTTGGTGGTCCAGCTGCTTTTACAGACAATGAACATAAAAGAGAGACATCAAAACGTTACTCTGATAATCACAAAAAAGACATTTAGGTGATGTTTGGAGGAGGTCCAAACGCTAAGGCTCTCTAAACCTTGCTGGAATTCTGCCCAAGTTTTCAGAGATGGCTGTATTACTTGAGTATGCTTTTTCAAGTTTAGAATTTTGCTTTGTAAATGAAGTTTCCATGGATATTCCCTTTGGTTTTATTCCAAATTGGTTACACAAATATGAGTATGCTTAAAATGACAATGCAATTGCTGACGCAACTGCAAGTTTGTTCTTGGTTTCCTAGCCACAGAACTGTAATCTTTAATTCTTTAACATTGCTACTTCCATGTGTATCTCAGTGTTAAGTTAATTTTTAAGCATCCATGCCTGGTCGGCTGTACACATCCAATTTTCTATATATTGAGCTGTGATTTGAATGGAGCTGTACATTGCTACTAAGGACGCCACAACAGAAGTTATTAATGTACCTAAGGAGACTTTCAGAAAAATTTTCATGCCTAAGGCTCTACAAGCACAACGAATAAGCTGACTAAGAAAAAAGTTTACACAATGGAAACCAGAGGTGGCCACCCAAGCCTCAGGCAGATTTACAGGAATCCATAATCCGGGATTGTGACCTAGAATTACTAGGGTGGATATGCTGTATGTTTGTACTGTGCTATGATTAAGGGAATAATACAGTTGACAGGAATCACAAGTCAATCGGGCATCGTTTACCTGGAGTTGGTCCTCTTTGCTGCCAGAAAAACATAAGTTCAAAAACACAAATTGTAAATTGAGTGGTAATGTTTTCCACAACGGTAACATTAAAACTGTGTTCAGCACAATTATTAAAATTAGATAGTGTTCCGACACAAATGCTGCCATTCATATAGTGGAGTGCTGCCTTCCCTATCGACTCCTGAGTTGGACCTCTCTTTCCTTGGTAATGCCATTGAGGCAAAGTTGGGCTAAAGCCTGTTCCATGCCAAGTTAAACTTGCTGCAGATTGGGATTGAATCCCAGTGCAATGCAGTGAAGAGATGCTGACCAGTGTCAGCGAAGTTTATGCCATGAGGTCGGATTCTCATCTCTCCCATCTAAATGACCACAGGGACCTAGAAAATAATGTCTCCGATTAGCATGTACTCTTGTCTAGCTAGGGCACCAAGACACTGGGTCCAAGGAGGGGGGGGTAAGAATTATCAAAGAGAGCTCATTCTGTATAATTAATACGATTTGGGGGATGGGGCTGGGAGAGATTAGTAGCTACACCGGTAATGGTAATAGAGCTAAGGCCTAATAGGTACATATTTTTTTTCGATGGTAAGTCAGCCATACTTGGGATTAATTTGCAAGGCCACTGCAGTTGAGTGATGTACGCTGTGTGACTCATGAAGGAAGTCCCTCCAATGGAGCAGCATAATTGATAATCATTGTTCTGAGAGTCTAATAACTGTTTGTCAGGGGGTGTTAGGGGTCCTGGTGCCCATGCTTCATGATCATGATAGATGTCAGGGGGAGTGTCACTCCAAATTACAGTCCATAATACTGGGGGATTGGGAATATAGGCCCAATATGTTTTTGTCTCTGCACAAGGAAAACCTACTGCACAGGATGTTGCAGGTAGCATGGCCATAAACGTGACATCGGGGGTGTTTGCCTGACCCTGGTGCTCCAGCAATTTCAACTGACTCATGCCTTGTAATGGAGGAGTCGGATTCATAGTTGGGATCCATGGCTCTCTCCAGTCTTCCTTTACATGGTCACAAACACATTGAAGGCACCCCACACAGATTATCCGTCTCCTGTAAAAACACAAGCATACCCTCATCCTTACATCAGTAAATCTCCTGAGCATTTCCATCGTCCTTAGGGGGATTTTCATAATATTTTTGGGTATACTTTACTTTTTCCCTATGACATTTACCAGTGTCGTTCTGCCATAGTCTTACTATCTGTGCCAGGAGTCAAAAAATTAAAGTAAATAAGTAAAAAAATTAATTAAAGTAAAAGTAAATGTATTTTGTTTGAGGTGGTAACTGATCTCTTGTTTCCCCTTTCGGTTTTTTTCAGCACACCTTGTAATGTTTGATTTGCCCGCTCTATAATTCCTTGTCCTTGGGGTTTGTAAGGAATTCCTGTTTTATGAGTGACTGACCATAGCTGTAAAAAATTTTAAAAAGCATGACTAACATAAGTGTGTCCATTGTCAGTTTTTAATTGTTTAGGGACCCCCCGATATGAGCAAATGATGACAGACAATGTCATCACACATAACCAGCTGTGTGACCTGGTTTGCATGTAGCATGCCGCATATGAGAATAAGTGTCTGTAGTCACATGAACAAAGGAGAACTTACCAATGGCAGCTTTGTGAGTAACATCCATCTGTCAGATTTCATTTGAAGCTAAGTCTCATGGGTTACAGCCTTCTGTGAGTGTGACTCCAGTGACATGCTGGCAAGCAGGACAGGCTTGTACAGGCTGCAGCCTGGCTGTGAGGCAAATGAAACATACGAGTAAAGGCAGAGTTTTGATGCAGTAATATATGAGAAGGTTGAGCTTGTTGAAATGCAGAACAAACCAATTTATTGGCTCTATTGTTACCTAGAAATAGTGGTGTAGGGAGTTGTGTGGGAGAGCAAATATAAGAAATATAAAAAGCAGCACAAGAGCAAACAGCTTGTTAAAGTCTTAGAAACAAGTTAAACTGCTCTGGTTCCAGGGTGCTTTTAATAGTGGTCGTCCCAATATGACTGGCTACATTTACAACATAGGCTGAATGACAGAGAGTGTTAATAAGAGATGAACCAGTGAGCTCTAAAACCTGCATAACTGCCATTAGTTCTGAGCGTTGATCTGAAACTCCGGGGTTTTTTATTGTTTGAGCATGCTTAGTACCATAAGTAGCTTTGCGACCTTTGGAAGAGCCACCAGTAAAATAGGTCTGGCTGCCTGAAATGGGCTTGTGATGAGGAATCACAGGGAAGATGAAAGGCTGAATTTTTAAAATTGCAAAATTTTGTCTGAGGGATAATGTTTATGTATTATTCCTACACAACCTGAAAGAGCAATTTGCCACACAGTCAACATTTCCCATGCTGCAGCCTGTTGCTGGGAATCCAATATTTCTCCTCATACTTGTAGACTGGCTCTAAAAGGAGAACAATAATTTTGTGTGGATCATATCTCTTAAGCATTTTTGATCTATCCCTACCCCTTGTTATAAACTGAGTAGTTAAAGAAAGATAAACTTGCAGAGATTTTACTCTCTGATTGAATTTCAAACAAAGCCATTCTATTACAATTACATATTTTTCTATGATCTGGCCTAAAAGTCCTGTTGGAGAATGGGGGGTAGAGAGAAAAAAGGGAACCAAGGGATTTTGTGGCTGTAGCCAGGAGGCATGTGTTTGCTGAAGAATCTACTCTACAAGCTGTAACTCAGCTTCAGCCTCCTTAGACAAACCAGCAACTGGGTTGTCTCCTAAGCCCATTGCTCCTAATGAAGAATTTCCATGGAGTGCCTGAGTGTTTGAGTTGATGAGTAGCAATACCTAGGATTGGGCACAGCCAATTTATATCTCCTAATAGTTGTTGGAAATCACTGAAGGTTTGTAATCTGTCCCTACAGAGGACTGCTTTCTGAGGTCAAACATTTGTTTCAGTAGCAATAGTGCCTAAGTATTGGTATGGGGAGGTTGCTTCTACCTTTTGTTGAACTATTTTGAGATGTCCCCCTGTTTTGCTTCTCTCAGCAATTGGTGTAATAACTCTTCCATTGGAGCAGCCAAAAGAATTTCATCCATATAATGAATTATGTAGGCAGTAGGAAATATATTACGAGGCTCCTTTAAGGACTGTCCTACAAAACGCTGAAATAGCGTAGGACCGGTGAGCATGCTTTGGGGTGAAACTTTGCTTATCCTTCTCATGTAAGGGTACAGTAAGGAAATAATCTTTGAGATCTGCTACGATGGGAGGTGAGTCACTTGGAATGGCTGCCAGGAACGGCAGACCTTGCTGTAATGCACCCATTGATTTAATCTGTGCATTAATAGCTCTCAAATCATGTAGCAACTTGCTGGCAAATCGGTCTGCTTTTATATACTAAAATTTTGCTGAAACCTTACACTTGTGTTGATACATATGTATATGTATATGTGTATATATATCTCTATATGTGTGTATATATATACATATACACATACACACATATGTATGTGTGTACATATATGTATGTAATATGCACATATGTAATATGCACATATGTAATACCCAGAGTTTCTGGATGTACACATATACACTCTGGTATGTGTGTATAGATGGTATGTGTATATGTAGGTATATACGTATACACATACACATATGTATGTGTATATATAACACGTGTATATATACACACATATATGCACACATACAGACACACATATAAGTGAGTGTGTATATTTACATATATATGCATGCTCTGTCTATAAATGTGTTTATATATACACATACAAACATATATATTACACACATATATACATATACACACGTGTGTGTATATGTATATATGTGTATATATGTATGTCTATATATGTTTATATATATATAATTCCTCACACATATGTAAAATTATACACACACACACACACACACACACACACACACACACACACATATATATATATATAATTCGTTGTTTGTCTCCTAAGCCCATTCAACCCAAAACCTTCCAGGTATGTGGGAAGCTTAAGAGAGATTATGCAGTAGTTAGATGGCAGCAAGAGTCTTTAATAGAGTTTGAGTCTTTATACTATCCCTGGCTTCCCTTACTGTGGTCCTAGCAAAACATTGACATCCTCGTAAATAATAGGGACTGACTTTGAAAATTAACATTCTCTTCTTATTTAGATATCAATGTAGCTGGATGTAGAACAGCTGCCTCAAAAAAAAAAAAAAAAAAAAAGAGATTCCATTCTTTTCCTTCTTTTATAAAAACTTCAGCAATGAGGTTGGAATTTGTCTCTCAAGGGCAGCTTCTTTTTGACTGTTGAAAGTGGAGATTTTCTGCTTACAGATGGGACATAGAGTCTTATAATTATTAGCGGGACATGGGAGGAAGAGAAAGTTAGAAACTAGACGTTTTGGGCAAAGGGCTGACAAGGCTCTACACAGAGAAAAATCCTATCTTACTAGGTGGCAGTGTAGGATCTGAAAAATTAGATAAAAACTCTGATTCCAAACACTTTTCTGTCAAAAGTTAGAGAACGGGGGTGGAGCCAAGATGGCTGAATAGGAACAGCTCCAGTCTACAGCTCCCACCATGAGCCACACAGAAGACAGGGGATTTCTGCATTTCCAACTGAGGTACTGGATTCATCTCACTGGGGCGTGTCAGACAGTGGGTGCAGGACAGTGGGTGCAGTGCACTGAGCATGAGCCAAAGCACAGCGAGGCATCACCTCACCCAGGGAGCACAAGGGGTCCGGGAATTCCCTTTCCTATTCAAAGCAAGGGCTGGCAGATGGCACCTGGAAAATCAGGTCACTCCCACACTAGTACTGTGCTTTTCCAACGGTCTTAGGAAATGGGACACCAGGAGATTATATCACACACCTAGTTTGGAAGGCCTACACCCACGGAGCCTCACTCTTTGCTAGCACAGCAGTCTGAGATCAAACTGCAAGGCGACAGTGAGGCTGGGGGAGGGGAGCCCATCATTGCTGCGGCTTGAGTAGGTAAACAAAGTGGCTGGGAAGTTCGAGCTGGGTGGAGCCCACTGCAGCTCAAGGAGGCCTGCCTGCCTCTGTAGACTCTGCCTGTGGGGGCAGGGCATAGCCAAACAAAAGGCAGCAGAAACCTATGCAGACTTAAATATCTCTGTCTGACAGCTTTGAAGAAAATAGTGGTTCTCCCAGCACGCAGCTTGAAATCTCAGAACAGACAGACTGCCTCTTCAAGTGGGTCCCTGAACCCCACATAGCCTAACTGGGAGGCACCCCCCAGTAGCTGCAGACTGACACCTCACATGGCTGGGTACTCCTCTGAGGCAAAACTTCCAGAGGAACAATCAGCCAGCAACATTTGCTGTTCACCAATATCTGCTGTTCTGCAGGCTCCGCCGCTGATACCCAGGGAAACAGGGTCTGGAGTGGACCTCCAGCAAACTCCAACAGACCTGCAGCTGAGGGTCCTGACTGTTAGAAGGAAAACTAACAAACAGAAAGGACATCCACACCAAAACCCCATCTGTATGTCACCGTCATCAAAGACCAAAGGTAGATAAAACCACAAAGATTGGGAAAAAACAGAGCAGAAAAACTGGAAACTCTAAAAATCAGAGCAAGCACTATGGGAGGCCATGGCAGGTGGATCACCTGAGGACAGGAGTTTGAGACCAGCCTGGCCAACATGGTGAAATTCTGTCTCTACTAAAAGTACAAAAATTAGCCGGGCGTGGTGGTAGGCACATGTAATCTCAGCTACTCAGGTGGCTGAGGCAGGAGAATTGCTTGAATCTGGGAGGTGGAGGTTGCAGTGAGCCAAGGTCGTGCCACTGCACTCCTGCCTGAGTGACGAGCAAGACTCTGTCTCAAAAAAAAAAAAAAAAAAATATATATATATACATATCATAAATATCTTCTCTTTTGGTCATTTGAGTAATTCTCTAATCTCCTTTATAAATAACTATTAATATGGAATAATTGAAAGCACATCTTATTTGGAATGGAATGTAATTTATAAATTCTGGCTTTACCTCTAACTCATGATATGCCTTTGTGCAAATTTTTTTTATCTGAATTCTTGGATTTTATTTTCTGGAAAACAAAAGCTCTTAAGTTTTAACACTAAAATTATATTTAATACTAATCAGTACTTAACCTGTATTTGGTTATTTTTTGGAAGAGACACTACTGAGTTTAAAAAATTTTATGTTTGCATAAAAGGAGAATTTCAGAATATTTTAGAGACTACCTGCCAGAAGTAGTGAAACTGTCTCTTGCTGAAAAATCATTCAAACAAATTTGTCTTAGTCTGTTTCATAGTATTGTGACAGAATAACAGAGAGTGAGTAATTTATGAAGAGCAGTCGTTTATTTTCTGACAGTTCTGGAGTCTGGGAAATCCAAGATGAAAATATCAACATTTGGTGTCTCAGGACCTTCTTGTTTTATCCTCACATGGTAGCAGGCAGAAGGGCAGGAGAGCAAGCTGGTCCAATGTGTGAAGCCTCATTCATAAGGGCCTTAATCCCATGAAGGAGAAAGGAGCCCTCTTGGCCTAATCATCTATTAAAAGTCCTACCTCTTAATATCATCACATTGGCAACAGTTGAATTTTGGAGGGAATACATTGAAACAGTAGCAAATTTAGTAGAGCAAATTCCAAAGACATTGAGCCTAGGCCAGTTGTCAGTCATGGGTATAATTTTAGATGTTTTCTGGCTCTGAAGCCTTACATTTAAATTTGAACTTCAGAACAAAGATCTATGTCTCTGCATTGACCAAATAGAATGTATGTAAATTCCATGGTATCGATTGTTTTAAAAGATTTTTTTCTGTTTGAGGTCTTATAATTAATTTAGGCTTTCATTTTCTTGGTTTGGAAATTATTAATCTAAAATGTACTTTAGAGTGCTTCAGAACTAAAAAAGTAGTGTTGTAGTCTTCCTTTTGTTTGTTTTTTGAGACAGGGTTTCACTGTCACCCAGGCTGGAGTGCAGTAGCGCTGGCATGGCTCACTGTAACCTTGAACTCCTGGGTTCAAGCGATCCTCCTGAGTAGCTGGGACTACAGGCCGGTGCCCCACGTCCAGCTAATTTTTTTATTTTATTTTATTTTATTTTATTTTATTTTATTTTTATTTTTTATTTTAGCGTTTGAGTCTCACTTTGTTGCCCAGGCTGGTCTTGAACTCCTGACCTCAAGTGATCCACCACCTCAGCCTCCCAAAGTGCTGGGATTACAGGTGTGTGCCACTGTGCCTGGCTGTAGGCTTGTTTTATGAGTCTGGGAGTAAAATACTTCTTAAAATTGTCCAATTAGAATGAAAGTCTGTTTTAATGTTTTTATGCAGTTTAGCTTAGATGGAATAAACTGCATGAAAACATTAAACCTTTTCCATAGGTCAGGCAGCCATTGTACTAAAGTTCATGAACACTTTCATTTTCCCTTCACAAGATAAAAAACAAGGCACCGCAACTTTGAGGGAAATCTAGAAAGGTAGGAGACTGGACTTCGGAGTTGTCAGATTAGGACAGGTGAAAAGCAGATATTCTAGGCTCCTAAAATAATGTGGGAACAGGCCCAGAGCAACTTTGGACATGGTGTGTTTGGGTGCACTGGATGCTTTTCTTTTGAGAAGGAAAGTTGATGTGTTGAAGTCATGGAAAGCAAGATTGTCCAGAAAAGACAGATGGATAGAAGTCTTGAATTTGAGACAGGCATGTTTCTATTTGGTATGTTTGTTGATAAGAAGGCCTTAAGCAGGGAATCATGTGCTGAGAATATTGTTTTAGAAAGATATGTTGAATTCTGTTTGGGATGTGCTGATTAATACTTAGGTGGAGAAGTTTTGTGGATGGGAACATGACTGAGGTTGAAGGTACAGGTGGAAATACAGGCCAAAGGCATTTGTGAGCATTGTGGGGAAAACAAATGTGGGTAGAAGATCAGGGCTGAAAAGTGCACACAGGGAGAAGGGAGCTCCATGAAGTACAGACTCATGGGCAGAGTTTGAGTGAAGGTATTCAGTAGTCTGGTCTAGAAATCGGTGAATTAGCTGGCTTGGGAAAAAAAATCGAGATAAACATAAACTACCCCTTTAGAGATTTTGGCAATTGAAGTAGAAATATAAGGTAATTGAAAAAAGTTAGGATTTAAACAATTCTGCATATGTTTGTATATATGTAAGAACAGATAGTATGGGAAGGGAGGGAGCAGAATGATGTGAATAAAGATGTTGTTCTGCGGGGTATTATTCAAATTCTTTTGAAATTATTATTAGTTTTTGAGATAGGGTTGCTGTCACCCAGGGTGGAGTGCAGTGGCATGATCATAGCTTACTGCAGCCTCAAACTCCCGGGCCCAAACAATGCTTCTATTTCAGCCTCCTGAGCACCTGACATCAAATTCTTTTTCTAACTTATTTTTAAGTCATTAGCATCAATAGGTGCTTACTACATAAAACCATAAACTTGGAAATTAGGGTAAAGCACCAAATGTCTCCAGAGATAACAACTAAAATTAATTGAAATTAAGATTTCAATATAAGTTCTTCTCGTCTTTTTCTGTGCTTATTTCAGCATAATTGAAATTCTTTCTATTCCTTTGTGTAATCCATTTTTCATTTCAAAGTTTTTCGATACAGGAGAAATTATGCTGTGTTGATATTTCAGTGGCTTCTTAATAGTTCATGGAATTGAATTAACTGTTTTGCTATTTTTGCACATGCAGATTTTGTGTTTGTTTTTGTGGTTGCAAGGTTGAAATAGGTATCCTTATGCCTAAATTTGTGTTTACATCTTAGACTAGTTTCTTGTAATACAGTTCTAGAGGTCGAGTATCTGGAACAAACTATGAACACTTAAGGTTCTTGACACCTGCTGCTAAACTGTTTCAAAGGTTCCTCTTGAGAAGAGATTTAAAAGATGGCTTGGCTGGGCGTGGTGTCTGATGCCAGTAATCCCAGCACTTTGGGAGGCTGAGGTGGGCAGATCACTTGATGTCATAAGTTTGAGACCAGCCTGGCCAACATGTTGAAACCCTGTCTCTATTAAACATACAAAGAAATTAGCTGGGCGTGGCAGTGTACGTCTGTAATCCCAGCTACTCAGGAGACTGAGGCATGAGAATCACTTGAACCTGGGAGGCAGAGGTTGCAGTGAGCAGAGATTGCCCCACTATACTCCTGCCTGAATGACAGAGTGAGACTCTATCGTACAAAAAAAAATAAAATAAATTAAAGAAGTAAATAAATAAATGATGGCTTATTTCATAATAGGTGTGACTTTGTAAAGCTTTTAAATCTGCTTTCCCCAGAGTCTAGCTTTTAAATAAATTACAGGATATAAAAGGTGGGAGCCTCTTGAATGGAATGTGGGGGCTTTTTCTCTCTCCCCATAGGATAGATATATTCTGTTTCTTGTCCCCCACCGAGTCAAGAATAATTTAAGTTTTGGCATAAGAAACTGCTGAAGGAAAGTGGGTTGAATTGGCTAATATTTTTCTTCTTTTTGCAGGATATAGAAGACTTAGATCACTATGAGATGAAAGAAGAGCCTACTAGTGAGAAGAAGTTGGAAGATGAAGGAACTGAAAAAGAAAATTGGGCAATATTAGAGAAAATTAGGAAGACTGAAAGGCAAGGCCATTTAAATGTGTGTATAAATATCTGGACTTTTTGGTTAAGTAATTATAGTTAATACCAGGCAATTCATGAACATGCTGATCTTAGCTGCTCTCCTCCTCCATTCCTGCCTTAGTGGTAGATTCAGTCATATGTTTATTGGTTTTGAGATAGGGTCTTGCTCTGTCACCTGGGCTAGAGTGCAGTGGCACAATCATAGTTCACTGTAGCCTTTATCTCCCAGGCTCCAGTGGTCCTCCTACCTCAGCCTCCCAAGTGTCTGAGACTATGGTCATGTCCCACCACACAAGGCTAATTTTTTTTTTATTTTTAGTAGAGATGAGGCCTCACTATGTTGACCATTCTGGTCTTGAACACCTGAGTTCAAGCAGTCCTACTACCTTGGCCTGCCCAAGTGCTGGGATTACAGACATGAGCCACCATGCCTAGCCACACTCATATGCTTTGTTGCCCAAGGTTATCTTTCTCATCCATGAATAGCCACTTTTTACCCTGTTGATCTGCTCTTCACATCCTGGAACCACCTGCTGATCCCTGTATATGCCCCTTTCCAGCTTGTCTATGCTGTGTTCTCTGCTTACCTTCCTTCTGTGGCATCTGTATATTCAAGTTCATTCTCTCCTACAAAACACAACTCAAATTATTTCTCCTTCATGAAGCTGACTTTGATCCATCCTGCTCTGACCAAACCAAAAGTAGGGTTTCTCTTTTGACTTAACATCTCTTTTATGTGAAGTGGCAGGATGGGAAAGGAACACTGAGTTTGGTGACAGACACACCTTTTGTGGTTTCACTTTGTGCAACTCTAAAATATGGATAGACAGTACATATCTTTTGGATGGTTGCTATGAAAAATAAATTAAAATGATGCATGTTACTCATAAAATGCTTAGACAGAGTAGGGAAACATCAAATGATTGTCTGAACACTTACTGCTTCCTGCCTTGTATTAGAGCTATTTACCAACTCCACAATATCCGAGGACCAGTTACTTTGTCTTGGGCACAGGTTCTCCAAAACAGGGAATGAATTGTTAAGCAAGCAGATGTCAAGTGTTGCAATCAGATAGGTAACTCTCCCTCCTTCAATCTTATTTGTATATTAATTTAATTGGTAATTTTTCATACAGCAAATAAATTTAGTTAATCCCCATATTTTGATTATTTAAAAAACTAAGATTGTAGCATTTTAATTAATGTTATTGTACTTTCTGTGTCTTGTGATCAAGTCCAGTTTGAGTTATCTTCAAAACAAGTAAAAATTATTGAATAATTTTGTATGACTGATACTATGCTAAATACTTCATACTTAATACTTTATAGATCTTTTCATTTAGTCATCATAGCCACTGTGTGAAATAGGTGCTGTTTATACTTTAGAGATAGGAAAAACTCACATTTTATAGATATGAAATTAGTTCAGGGTTATATAGCTAGGAGGTAATATTTTTATAAACTTGATTTTTTTCCCCTTCAAATTCTAGTGCAGTCTTTAAAAGCTTTAGTTGCACATGACCAAAAAGTAGTTCCATTTCTATTTAGTCTTAGGATAAGATATCAATGTGTTTTCATCTTTAGAGAAGTCCCTGCACTGAAAAACTGAAACCAGTTGCATGTAGGCACACATGGTTCTCAGTGTCTTCATGTGTGAACTAGACCATCTGTGTGATATTCTTGCTTGCAGTCTTATGAATGGAAGCCTATTTTACTTAATATTTTGTCATCTTGAGTATTCTCAAAAATTGCTGGGGTTTGAAATAGACTCATACTGAATTCTATGCTATCGTGGAGTCCATGGTGGTATGAACATGTTGGCTAGAGTTTTTTAGGTGATAGGAAAATGGAAATGAACCAGACTTGTGTCTAGTTTTATATTCCCTTGAAATTTCATAATGCTTCATTTAATTGGACTTTTTCCTTTTACTTCTTAAATTGTTGAGTGGTGATCCATTTTTGTTGTAATCTTTTTCTTTTCTTTTCTTTTCTTTTTCTTTTGAGATGGAGTCTCACTCTGTGGCCCAGGCCAGAGTGCAGTGGCACCATCTCAACTCACTACTATCTCCACCTCCCAGGTTCAAGTAATTATCTTGCCTCAGCTTCTCGAGTAGCTGGGACTACAGGCACATGCAACCATGCCCGGCCAACTTTTGTATTTTTTTAGTGGAGATGGGGTTTCATCCTGATGGCAAGGCTGGTTTCAAACTCTTGGCCTCAAGTGATCCACCCCCCCTCAGCCTCCCAAAGTGCTGGGATTACAGGTGTGAGCCACCATGCCTGGCTACTGTAATCTTTTAGAGCAGGTTGAAATACCTTAAATCTTTAAATTATTTGGCTCAGTAGACCCTGGTAAACAGCAGCTTTTGTGTTTCAGGCTGCAGTGTCTGGGTCAGTGCAAGCTTCAGATAGACTTAAGAAAGATTTCAGGGACTTATACAGATCACAGAGTTATAAGACAGGTAAGGATCTCTAAATCCCTGTTCTTCTTATCATTCTTTTGTTCTTTTCTGTTGTCAGATTATAAATGTTGTTTCTTAAAACTGGACAGAAATGGAAATGTTTACTAGCTTTATTTTGTGAAACTCAAATGTAATCAAGTTCCAAAAGATGTAGGGAGTAAGATAGGATTAGTTTGCTTGTATTTTGGAATTAAAGAAATTGTTTTTATAGGTCCATTGGAATTTTATTTTGCCATCTTCCTGATAGAGTGAATATTTGCGTGATTTTTATCTTCTGGCAAAAAGCTTGAGCAATATTGCTTGATAATTTAATACAAATAATACATTTCAATATACAGATAATGATTGCCAAGTTGATTTTATGATTTTTTCCCCAGGTTTTGAAAGCAGCATAATCAACTCTTATTGTGGAGGTAGTTATGTTATTACTTTTAAAATATATAGGTGGAGTACACTTACAGTCCCAGCTACTAGGGGTGGTAGGAGACTGAGGCAGGAAGATCTTTTGAGCTTGGAAAAGTCAAGGCTGCAATGAGCCGTGATTGCACCATTATATTCCAGCCTGGGTGACAGAGTGAGACACCCTGTGTCATAAAACAAACAAACAAAAAAGGAGAGTGGGAGGTGGGATACATATTTATATATGTGTATGTAGGACAGTTGTAGAAAAATACCAATTTTTTGGTGATTTAACTTTTTTGACAGCTCTGTCCATGGCAAATTTTTCTCCTTGAACAACTTGGCTAGTAATACAAGTTTAGGAAAGCATATTAAACTTTTTTTGAATTCTTGAGAAAATTATATACATGCGACTGTTTTCCTTTAGAATGACTGCAAACTCTGAACCCCCTTATTAGATTAGATTTAGGCTATTATAATCTCTTTGGGACATTTATTCTAAAGGAGCTGGAAGCTATAGTGGCCTCTAGTTTTCCTGGGGATATAAAGCAGCTTAAGGTCTCCTCTTTCTGGAAATTACCCTAGGTGCTGTATTTTAGCTTTCAGATTGGTTCATTTTTGAGTTAGTAAAATTAATACAAATAATAATAATAATCTTTTTGTTTGAATTGTTTTTTGTTTTGGAATTCTGAAGGTTGACCCTGATAGTCCTTTACACAGTGATCTTCAGATCTTAAAAGAAGAAGAAGAGATAGGAGACATTTTGCTTATGTTTTAAGGTAAGAAAATTTTTATGAGACTCTATATCCTATGAATGGGGGTATATATTTGTACAAGTGTTTTGGAAAACAGTTTCGTAAAGTGGAAGATACTCATACCCTATGGTTCAGGAATCTCATGGATATATACCACACAAGAAATGAGTACATATGTGCCAGGAGACACAGGAATGTTCAGAGCAGCATCATTTATAATAACCCCAAACAGAAAATAACCCAAATGTTCATTCCAATAAAATGGAGAATTGTGGTATTCATAAAATGGCTTACAGTCATGTGGGACAAGATGAGTGAATCCTGAACGCTATGTTAAGCAAAAGAGACCAGATCCCCAAAACCTATTTTGTACAATTTCCTCTATATAGAGTTCAAAAATAGGCAAAACTAATGTTGGTTAGGGCATACATTCTTAGCGCAGGCAATATCGCCTGCAGTGGAGTGAAAATTGGTCCTTAGAGTGAAAGAAAATCTGACCTATTATAATGGTCTGCTGCCCTCCAAACAGCCATAGAACATAAAAGAAAACTGAGGAACACTTCTTTATGGATTCATACTTGGGCAGTAAAACTATCAAGAAAAAAGAGGCGATTACACACAGGGTAGGGTAAGGAGTCCATCTAGGTGGGAGGTAGGGAGGTGTGAACTGAAAGGTACATCTGTGGGCTTCTTGGATACTGGCTGTAATATATTTCTGGACTAGGTTGGTGGTTACATGAGCAAATAATTTAGAATAACTTGTTAAGGTCTACCTTAAGGTATATTTTATGTACTTTTCTGAATGTGTTATATTTAATAAAGTACTTTTAAGATACTAAAAGGTTACAAAAGAATAAGAATGGAATCTAGAAAAAATGTTAATGGTCTAATATGGAATCTAGATAAGATGTAATGTTTTAAAATCTATGGCTATATGAAGTATTTTGATGAAGCACACAGACGTAAAAGAATACTTTGTTGTACTTTAAGGATGGTAGTAGTTTTCTAAAAGCTTCTTACTTAGCTTTTACATGTGCGTATTTTTGCTTGGGGATATATCTTATGATTGAACTGTCTTGAAATGACCCTAATGTTAGTATTTTCTCTCAGTTTTGTTATCATAGAAACTGTTGTGGTTGTCAACTGAGTTGTCTTCCTGAAGCATGAATCCAGTATATATTGACTGAAGTTGCTAATGGCTACTTCTTTATGGATTCATATGGGTGAATGAATGAAGCACACAGGCCTACAACAAAAAACACACACACACACAAAACAGGAAGATACCATTTTTTTAAAAAAACATTAAATCATATGAACATATGCGCAACACCAAACTTCAGAAATAGAACCTTTGGCTGGGCGTGGTGGCTCATGCCTGTAATCCCAGCTCTTTGGGAGGCCGAGGCAGGTGGATCACCTGAGGACAGGAGTTTGAGACCAGACCAGCCCGCATGGCGAAGCCCCATCTCTACCAAAAATACAAAAATCAGCCAGGCATGGTGGCAGGTGCCTGTAATCCCAGCTACTTGGGAGGCTGAGGTGAGAGAATCACTTGAACCTAGGAGGCAGAGGTTGAAGTGAGCCAAGATTGCACCATTGCACTCCAGCCTGGGTGAGAAGAGTGAAACTCCATCTCAAAAAATAAAAAGAAAAAAGAAATAGAACCTTATCAGTACCTGTAGCACCCTCTGTGCCCCTCCCTTGTCATGTCCTCTTTGGGAGGTATCTTGAAGGGAATATGAAATCTTGGCCAGGAAATTGGAGGATTTGTGACTGCAGGTGGTGTTTTCATTATTTTTTCCTGCTCTAGTTAGAACTTCAGGGAGGGGATGATTTGGGAGGTAAATGGCTGAAATGCTATTGGATTTGTGTTTGTGGCCCATGGCTCCTGATACCAGACAGAAGGGCCTTTTCTGGGGTTGGAGTATTTCTTAAGAGGCCTGGGAAGAATGTGATTGCTTTGAGCTAACTGTCCTTCTGAAGAGGACCTTAAACTGAATTGCCAAGTTATTAGTATCGGGATTCACAGACTTTGGAGATTAGCAGGTATGACTCAGAAAGATTTACAGGAAAGAGCCAGAACAATAGGTTTATGGCCTCTGATGTCCACAGTGACAACCTGAGAGTCATGAATAATAAGCAAAATTGAACTTGAGATACAGTATAACACAAAGATGGGAGTGACTGCAGGAGGAAATGTGCCCTGGTCAGCAACTTGGTAAATCCAACTTACTGTACTTTTAAGGAAGTCATTTTCCGATGTTACAGGCAACATCAGAATTACTGAATTGAATTCTGAGGTAGCACTTTAAGAAAGATCTACTTAGATAAGGTTAGGTTCATTTAGAGAATAATAGCCAGGATTGGGAAGAGATTCTTTTCCATGTCCTAGGATAGCTGGTGAAATTGTGGATTTGGAGAGGAAAACTTGGGGGTTCTGGTTCATGATAGATTGTCTTAAACTATTTGAAGGAGTATGTATATGGAAGCATTAGTTTTTATTCATTTTTGGTGAAGACAGGGCATAAAACTAGAACTAATAAGTCAAATTACAAAGAGGTGATTTTCAACTCAATGTAAGGAAGTGACTTGTAACTATTTAGACCCATCTGGTGATGTAGTCTTTGAAAACTAGAATGTTCTTCATCTTTAAGAATAACTTAGAAGGCTGAGATGTCAAATGGGAAATCAGATAATTTCATGAGATCCTTGTAGATCCTGAGAGTCTCATTCTGAGTTAAAATATACTAAGGTAACTCAAACTTAATTTTACCAGTCACCCTCAACCTTTATTTTCCCCTCCCTGAAGAACTCTTTTTATTTCTGTAAAATCTTGATTCCTGAGTTCCAGGGTACAGAGCTTATGGAATAGAGTCCCCAGGTTTTGATGCAGAGGAACCTCTTTCTCCTGTCTGAAAATATCCTTTAGTATTTCCTTTAGTGTGAGTCTGCAGATAGAAAAAATCCTTGCTTTTTATTTCATCATTGAAGAGTATCTTCATTGAGCGTAATTCTCTAGATGGGCAGTTTCCTTCTTTCAGCACTTCGCAGATATCATTCTCTTATGCCAGCTTCCATTGTTTCTCTTGAAGTGTTTATGGTGGTTAAATCTTGTGAAGTCTTTGATCAGTTTTGGGAAATTCTCCACAACCATATCTTCAGCTCTTGCTTCTGTCCCATTCTTGTTTTTCTTCCAGTGCTCTACGTATGTGATAAACTTTTCAATATGTTGTCTTTTATTTTCTCAATTTTCCACCTTTTTGTCTTTCTGAACTTTTTGCAGTTTACTGAATCTGTCTTCTGCTAGGTTACTGCTGTGGTTAAGCTTATCCATTACGTTATTAATTTCAGTTTTGGTAGTTCTAAATTGCAGAATTTCATATGGTTCATTTTATAATTTGCATTTCTCTGCCAGGTTTTTAGTCTTGTCCCATCTTTCCTTGCTCATGTTCAGCAGTTATATTGAACTGTGTCTGCTAACTCTGTTATCTTGATCCCTTGTGGTTTTGTGTCTGTTGTTTGCTTCTCTTGTTTTCTGTTGTGTCATCTTTAAGTCTCATGTGGCTTTCTATTTTTAGTGATAGACATTATATATGGAAAAATTGTAGAGCTAATTTGAAGCCTTGGATGATATTCTTCTCCAGAGAGGATTTACATTTCCCCTGCCAGGGGCTTGGAAATTAACAATCAGGGATTGAGATGATTAAATCTGGCCATCATTCCCTGTCGGGGCAATTTGCAGTTTGTTCTTCAGGTTCCCAACCTAAGGAGTGGGAGACTTAACAGGGCCTCTCCTCAGTGGATGCTGAGCTCCAATGTTTATCTCCCTGTGAGCTCTGTGAGGCTGTGAGTTCTAGCTCAGCTTGTTAACCTCTTCTTCTCTGCTGTCATTGCAAGAAAACCCAAAGGGTAAAAAAGAAGACCCTGTTCTCTGGTATTCCCTTTTCTCAGCCCTGTAATCATTACATTTTGTCCACCTTTCTAGTTCTCAGTGAGAGGATTGATCTAAGTTACCTAGTCTATCATTATTGCAATGGTTCCTTTATATAGTTCTATTGAAGTGAAGCCCCTTCATATGTTACATAAGTTTACCACAACACTGTTCTGTTTGGGCCTGATTTTAACTTCATTTTTATTTGCTTTGGTTTTCATTTCATTTTTTCTGTACTAATTTTACCTTTATGACTCTCACCCATTATCTGATAATAAATGTACATATTCTTTTATAGATTATTTTAAAATCTTCTAAATAGTATATAGTATTAACAATGTTCTTAAAATTAATTAAGCTTGCTTATTTGCTTTTTAGGATAACTTTCCATTTGATCCTCCATTTGTTTGAGTGGTGTTACCTGTTCTCTCAGGATCATAAGTTTAAGTGATTAAGTGTTTACTTTAAATGCTTTTTTTTTTTTTTTTTAGTTTAAAAAAATTTTTTGTAGAGATGAGGTCTCACTATGTTGCTCTGGCTGTTCTTGAACTCCTGGGCTCAAGTGATCCTCCCACCTTGCCCTCCCAAGTTGCTGGGATGACAGGCATGAGCTGCTGTGCCTGGGTTACATTTTTTTTTTAATATAGTATGCACCAGAATCATTTGGAGAGCTAGTCCCAGGGTTTCTGATTCAGTAGGTCTGTGGTGTTGCCTGAGCATTTACGTTTTTAAGAAGTTCCCAGGTGAAACTGATACTGTTGTTCTGGGGCCTACATCTGGAACCACTGGTTATAAAGCATTATGTTGTTGACAGGTAGAGATTTTAGTGTTATATATATGCATATATACACATATATATACACACACACATGCACATATTTACACATACATACATATATATATATATTCATACATACTTTTTAATCATAAAAACCAAAGGTTTTTCAAATGTAAATTATGATTGAAGGTTTAGAGAATGTTATGATTACAGAGTGGTCCCCACATACCTGTGATCCTAATTAGTACTTCTAGGAATAATCATGGGAAATCTCATGGACCTATGGAGTTGGCTGATTACTTCTAGAGGTGATAGTTGCAGTGTAGTAGAATCAAATGGTAATTGTCATGTAGTTTTACTGAAATTTGTATTGCTTCTTTTTTGTGATTGAAAGTCTTACAGAAGTGGGGAAAAGTCACAGTTTGCTAGGTTAGTTATGAAATGTTCTGTAGACCCTTAAAGTATGAGCAATTGAAAGTAACCTGAGGATTTTCAAACACTCAGCTGACTAATTCCATTACTTGACATAATCCACCTTATGGTGATTAAAATCTAAATATCTCCAGCCCTTACTTTGATCATTTCTATGGTTGAGATAGTAATAGTTGCATTTAGGGTAAAAATATGAGTGACTACTTCAGACTTCAGAACTTTCTCCAGAAGAGCTTTGTTGCTAGTTATTTTTAGTTGTATTTGCTTTACATACTTATGTATGTGTTTTGGGGGCTAAGATCCTGTTAAGAATCATTCTGAATAATCAGAATACATATTAACTGTGGTGCTGATACTACGGAATAGTTGTCTGGACATGATATCCATGTGTAAAAGTTCAGAGAAACAAGAAGTGTGGGTTTAAAAAAAAAACCTTAGTATTACATGTGGATGTGCTGAGCTCATTTTGAGTTTCCCCACACAGTAAAGGAATATTGATTTTATTATTTAATTACTTAATTTTATTGAGACGGGGTCTTTCTCTGTTGCCCCAGGCTGGAGTGAGTGGTGCAATCACAGCTGACTGCAACCTCTGCCTCCCCGGCTCAAGCCATCCTGCCACCTCAGTTTCCTAAGAAGCTGGGACTACAGGTGTATGCCAGCATACCAAGCTAATTTTTGTATTTTTGATAGAGACAGGGTTTCACCATGTTGCTCATGTTGGTCTCGAACTCCCAGGTTAAAGTGATCCACCCTGCTGAGACTGAAAAAGTATTAGGATTATGGGTCTGAGCCACTTTGCCCAGCCCAATGTTGTCTGTTAAAATTTTTTATTTATTTACTTATCTTTTGCTTTTCTGTTTAAATTTTTAAATTTCTATTTTTTTCAATATTGTGTTTTAAGAGTTTACTTACCTGACGCCTGCAGCCTAATCTTTGCCAAATCTCCCCAAATGTTCTGTGAGTGCTAATATAGTGGTATGGTAATAGATATTTGTTTTGTGGGGATTGCAAGGTTTTGGGGAAGCCAGCTTCAAAATGTCTTTTACCAAAGGACTTCTTGGAGCCTTAATGCCATTTTCTATTTTTCCCAAATTTGTTTATTAGTGTTCCTGACAACATCTCAGAGGATGGTGTCTTCTGGCTTACTCTGGGAAATGCTGCTCTGTGAGAAATCTGAAGTTCTGAGTGATCCCCATGCATTTTCTGCTGCAGAGCAGGACATACTGAAGTGATTCCTTCATGAGCAGATGTCAGAGGTCTCCCTTTGTCAGCTTGTTACAAAGTTGATCACAAATATACTATTACGGGGAGTGGAAGTCCCAGGTTGGGTGTGAAGCAGAGTTGTTTAGAATTGTGTACTATTTTGTTAACTTTAAATCTTCTCTAGGCTGTTTTGGTTTTGGCAGTAAAATTGCTATAAAAAGTACTTCTCTTGGCATACAACCTAATGGTCAATTTTGGAAGTTCAGTGTTAGGTAACCCAGCCAAATACTTATGTATACAAAATAAACAGAAGACTGAAAAATAGTAAATGTTTAAACTTTGTGTCTCTTGCTCACTACAGCGGCCTATAACTAGCCACCAAGCCATAGTTCTTTTGTTTGTCATAGTTGAATTTCAAAATGTCTTTGTAATGAAGCCCTTCCTGATTGGGGAGAAAGGACATAAGTATTGTGCTTTAGTTTTATGTGCTGGTTTATAAAATTGTGTATGTTGACTCAATATCCCCATAAGCATAGGGAAAGGAAAACAGGTCATTTTTTGTTCAGAATCTTATTTGAGAAAAAAAAAATGATCAAAGAAAAGATTTGCATAAAAATCTGCAAATTCAGGATAAATGTATGAAAACATTTTAAAATGTGATTATAAAATAGACCAGTATAGCTTTTCAACATTTGGTTGTAAGAATCCCAAGAATGTAAGTTTATGATCTTAGTATACCACCTAGAATCGAGACGAATACATGAGGTTATGAATCATGCCATTTTCAGTTTTAAAATATGTTACATAGTTTCTTCATTGATTCTTTTTTGCCACAGTGTGTTATGGTCCTCATTATTTGGATGAATAATTTGAATAATAAGTCAGCTTGTGACTTACCTAAATAAATCTTCTGAGTCCTAGTAAAGTGTTTTTCATTATATGAAATGCCAGCTATATAAAAGGAGATTAAAAGTACTAAGAACTGTAAGTTCCACATTGATTATCATAGGCTAACCATGGGCCAGGCACGGTGGCACACACCCATAATCCCAGCACTTTGGGAAGCTGAGGCGGGTGGATCACTTGAGGTCTGGAGTTCGAGACCAGCCTGGCCAAGATGGTGAAGCCCCATCTCTACCAAAAATACAAAAAAATTGCCAGATGTGGTGGTGCATACTGGTAATCCCAGCTACTCAGAAGACTGAGTCAGGAGAATTGCTTGAACTCGGGAGGCAGAGTCTGCAGTGAGCTGAGATCGTGCCACTGCGCTCCAGCCTGGGTGACAAAGATAAACTGCATCTGAACAAAAAAGAAAAAGAAAAGCTAAGCATGGACTTAATTTATCTGAGGTTTAAAGCTGCAAAGAGTTGCTCTTCATGAAGTAGGTGGGATCTCAGCTGGGCAGTGAAATGTGACTGGGGTTTGGTCAGCTGGGGGAGGTTGCAGGAAAATTATTTACGTAGGTGAAGAGTAAACAAAATCAGGTATCTAGGAAAGAGAACGAGGAATTCAGAGTATACGAAACCAATTTGAGCTATAACACAAGGAGGGTAGGATTCATGTAGAAGAGTTGTAGGAAATATTGCGGATGTAATATTTTGTACTCAAACAGTTCTGTGGATTGGTGACAGATTTTTTTTTTCAGGTAAGTAAACTATTACCCCTGGATATTCATCTTTCTATGTAACTGGTTGAGAAATGGGAGTAAGAGTAAAGAAACTGTTTTCGAATAAATCTGGTGACAGTAGAAGAGAATATGAGACACATTGTGCTCACAGAGCCTAGAAGAGTGTGACGGTAGTTGAGGGCCATGCTGTTGTCTTAGAGTGAAGTGAGGAGAACTTACATTGGTGTGGTAGTCATGGGAGTGGAAGGAGGAATGAAATGTGAAAGCCCATTGGAGGCAGAATCAAAATGGCTTGGTCTTCATAGTCAAATATTAAGTAAGGAGGAGGAATTATTGGCTGACTTAGGAAGAAGTAAAAAATGTGAAATACCAATAAAACACCAAGCTTGCAATTTTAGTCAGGGTAAAGCTTAAGCATTGTGTGATTCTAGATAGATTATTGAGCAGTTTTGTTCCATATATTTTATATCCCATATCTTTGAGCTATGATCCTATTGTTTATTTCTTGACATACCCAAACATTTTTCAAACTATTGTGGTACAGCTTTTATATGATAAGCCTCACCCTTTGAAGTGTACAGTTCAGTGGTTTTTAGTATATTCAGAGTTATGCAGCCATTACCATTAGCTAATTTCAGAACCTTTTCTTCTCCCCAAAAAGAAACCCCATACCCATTAGCAGTCGCTCTGTGTGCTTGTCTCCCCCGCCGTTCATCCTGGCAATCTCTGATCTAATTTCTGTCTCTGTAGATTTGCCTATCCTGGACATTTCATATAAATAGAATCATACAAAATGTGGCATTTTGTGACTGACTTTTCTTTGAAGTGATTATAAAGCAAATGCCTGAAGAGGCAAAGCTTAGGATAGTGTTTGCTGTACAGCTTTGATAACTGAATTTTTTTAAGTTGAAAATATTACTATGTCTGTATATGTGGCATATTATCCTTAGATGACCGTTACTTCAATTATTAGAATTTTTTTCCCTAGTATTCTTGAACTGTCTCAATATTCAGTAGGAACCCTTTGGAGACAAAGAGCAGTAAGAATTTGGAACACATATTGATGAAATGAATGCCATTTAATACAGTAGTAGAGTTGACCACTTTTATGTGTCAGTGCTGCTGAAAGTGTATATTAAAGAAAAGTTTACTTATCTTACTTATGTAGTGAAGGTACTAGAACTACTTCTGTCTTCTGTTTAGATTTCAACAAACATTTGCATAGGTATTATGCAGTTGTACAAATGTACTGTCTTTTGACCTGAAAATGCAAAAACTTCCTTTCTTCCTACTTTCTGAGACTCTGCAACCTTAAAGGAAGAGTGGGGTACTTTAAAGGAAAGGTGGTGTTGGTTGGATAATGGGTGACAATGTCTACCATATACTTCCTTTTCCCAAAACAAGTTCCTGTCTACCATCAGCATCTCCAAAATTTGAAGATCAAGTGTGGTGTTAACTCATTAACTAAATGACTAGACTTTGAGCAGTTGTGGAACCAAAATCTGAGTGAGTGCCTGGATGTTCTAATTCTGTTAAATCAATGAGTGCACATTATATACAATACTCTCTTAGCCCAGTGGCAGATTTAAGGAGTGAGAGAGAGATTTCAAATGTTTCAGAAATCAGATACACAAAGAATAAAAATTTGTAATCCCATGATTCTTTACCTGAGTTTAATTTTTCGGAGAGTTTTTCTTTTAGATTTTCTTTTCCTTCCATTAAACTTTCACTTTGAAAGCTCCCAGGGTTTGAGCAAAGCAAGTGGGAAAGCCACTTGCTTGGATTCTCTAGGGCAAGGGAGTTAAAGAGGACTTCTTTCCCTCATTTTATTATTGAATAATGTCATGATAACAATTATTAAGGTGAATGGTCTACAGTAGAAGTTTTTAGATGCCTTCTCTGCAAAATAATTTGGTTTAGTCAATGCAAGGATGCCTTTGGTTAGCTGGAACAGAAGATGCGCAGGCTAGAGTGGTCTTGGCAAGTCTTCTGGGGGGAAATACAGCATTTGGAAGGGTAGGAAGCAGAAGGAATCTCAAGCAAGGGAAAGGTGTGGGCAGAGCCCCGGAGGACAGAACCATTTGTGGTGGACTTGGTGTCCACATAGATCTAATCAGTGGTCTTAGCTTTTGTGTTTTCAAAATTACCACAGTTTTTGTTCTAAAACTATCATTCCCTTGATTTTACTTTAGGTATGCTATCTGTGTATTTTGAAATTTAAAATAACATTAAAGGAGAAATGAAATTATTTTGTTTGAGAAAGAATTAAAAGGTTAAAACATCTTGATCTAAATAATTTTCTAATGGGAGATTTGGTACATCCCCAGAAGTTGTCTTTGGTTCAGAGAACAGTCTTCAGACCTAGAAAGGACTTGAGGAGTCCCAGAGAGGAGCCGCATGGTGTGAACCATTCGATTCTCACAACAGAATGGATAAGAACAATTTTAACCATGAAACCTTGCAGATGTTCATATTTTGAATAGGGTAAGATCAGTGCTATTGTCAGAGGAAAAACTCCTGGCCATCACAGGTTGAGAGAGAAAGTTTCCATTGTAAAGAACACTCAAATGCCATTTAAGGAAATGGGTTCTTCTGCTCTGATTCTTTGGAATATTTAGGGCCACGTTTTTAGTTTTTGACATCATAAAAATTTCAAAGTATTCTGTTCTGATTGCCATTTCAAACAATTGACTAGAATTTCAGAGCAATTACATAAGAGTAATACCATTAGAATTTTTAAATTACTTATAGTCCTATATGCCTAACAAGTATGTTCATGCTTACGTGTTCTCTTCTTGTCTTTACTGTGTGCATACTTTCTTAATAATGCCACATGGAAATTGTTTAAGCAGGAATACTTCTCAAGATAATTTTGTATGTTTCCTTTTTTCTTTTTAAGGTATGTATTGGGTGGAGGAGCATTATGTATGGAACCTCTCACAAAATTGGTGATTATTTTATTATTATACTCAATTTTCACCCTCAATTGAGTGTTTTGATTATGTAAGTTAGATCGTAAGTAGACTGTTCTCTTAAAGACATTTTAGTGTTTTTTTTTTTTTCATAGCTTCTACTTTCAAGAATGAAAAAGGTATCCCAGCAGTTTGGGAGGCTGAGGCAGGTGGATCACGAGGTCAGGAGATTGAGACTATCCTGGCTAACACGGTGAAACCCCGTCTCTACTAAAAAATACAAAAAAAATAGCCGGGCGTGATGGCGGGTGACTTTAGTCCCAGGTACTCGGGAGGCTGAGGCAGGAGAATGGTGTGAACCTGGGAGGCAGAGCTTGCAGTGAGCTGAGATGGTGCCACCGCACTCCAGCCTGGGTGACAGAGCGAGACTCCATCTCAAAAAAAAAAAAAAAAAAAAAAAAAAAAAAGAATGAAAAAGGCAAACCAGTAAAATAACATTGTACTTGGTGCTGAATTTATGCTAGGATAGGCATTAACAGTGACCTTTATTTAAGGTTCTAATTTGTTCATGTTGGGCACTTAGAACATTGGTTTGTTGTTTTTTTGTGAGATTCTGGAAACGTTCCAATTTTACCTTTTCCCTTTGACTCCAGACTTTTTAACACTGGTCTGCTACTGTTAAGTTATATGCCATTTGGTTAGGCCTTCTCAAGTGGGAACCAGGAACGCTGCTGTGTTCTAAAGATGTTTTGTTCTTCCTGTAGAGCTGAAGCAGTGCCTACTCGATAGAATTAGCCATCATACAAATAAAACACACCTGAGACAAAGGCAAAGCCAGAGTGCAGCTTGGAGCAAAGAAGGTACTTTTATTAAGAATTTTACATAAACCATAAGATATATTTTGTGTTACTTTGTGAGTCTTCTTCCTGTCTTAATTCTTTTTGAGAGAATTCATTTCATTTTCATTTGGTTTTTTTCTCTTACAAAGATGATCTATAGAAAATATAGAAGTTTAAGAAAATTAAATTTACTAACTGATAATCACTTAATGATTTAGTATCTGATTGTTTAGTCTTTATTTACTGTAGAGAAACATGTCTACAGTTGTAAATTTATTATTGTTATGTATACCCTAGTAAAAGTTATATGTACTTTGAAGTTTTGCAAAATTGAGTTCATGTTATAGAATTAATTCCTGATGAACTTTTATGTGCTAGACACTAGTCTTTTTATTTATTTATTTTTACTTTTTTTCTTTCCCTCTGTGCCTATGCTTACCAAGTCTTTTTATTAGCTCTTTCAATCCTCTTAATAAGGATTGAATACCTCTTTAAAAGAGGGTATTAATAATATCTGCATTTTATGGATGAGGCAACTGGAAGTAGGTAACTTGTCCAAGGTCACAGGTGGCAGAACAAGGATTGGAACCAGACAGTCTGACTGCCCTAGGCCCAACCAAGAGGAGCTGAGAGCAAGCCATGGGGCAGAAGGATGTTGGAGGCTGGTTTTCTGTTCAGTTAACATGAAATGCAGCCTGTAACCTTAATTCCAGGACATTACTGAGAAAGCCTTCCAAAGCCAGAGGGTTTTTTGTTTTGTTTTGTTTTGTTTTCCATGACCATGACTTTTGAGCAAAAATTTGGTTTCGTTTAAAGGCAATATGGTGCTCCAAGAAACTTCCACTCACACTTATGGAGGGAATGGTAGTTGAGCTAAATAGTGAAATGCTGTAGCACACAGCCTTTAGGGCAGCTTCTGACCTATTTCTATGGTCAGGAAAGACACCTGTCTTTCCCTGCTGCCCACAGCCTCTAGTTATTCACCTTCAGAATTTCCTAGTCTGTGATCACATTCAGATGAGAGATCCGTTTTGTTTTTTCCAGGGTAGCAAGAAGTGAGTCACCACCTATACTAAGCAGTCTAGTCTTCTGTATATAAATGAGCAATGGTGGGGAGCCAGATTTGAGAACCTTGTGTAATGCTGAGATGCTCCAAGATAATCCAAGAGAATGTCAGGATTATGCATGGTGGTAAAGTGCTCTCATGTTAGTTGTACCCACAGCTCTCATCAGAAGCAGACACAGATACTTTTTATAGGAAAACATCTCTAACTTAAGCCTGTAGGATTCCCAAAGATTAAAAGCAGGCAAATATGAATTCAGTCAAATCACAGCATTCAAGTAGTCTCAACACAACATATTTGAGAATTGCTAGAAACAATGAATATGTTTCCCAAAGACTAGGTTTTGGAATTATCAGATACAGAACACAGACTTCAAATATTAGAATTGTGAGAAAATAGTTACATGTGAAACCTAATATAAAAGAAGGACTCATTAAATTGAGCAACAGAAAGACCACCAGGAATGATGAGGAGGACCTGAAAAGAAAATGGATGAACTAGAACTTACAGAAATAAAATATATAGCTGGATCTGGTGGCTCACACCTGTAATCCCAGCACTGTTTGGGAGGCTGAGGTGGGAGGATGGTATGAGCCCAGGAGTTGGGGAGACAAGCCTGGGCAACATGGTGAGAACTCGTTTCTGTAAAAAATACCCCAACACCACCAAAAAAAAAAAAAAAAAAAAAAAGTAGCTGGGTATGGGGCACATGTCTATAGTCCTAGCTAGTCAGGAGGCTGAGGAGGATCACTTGAGCTCAGGAGACAAGGGCTGCACGTGCATGCCACTGCAGTCCAGCCTGGGTGACAGAGTGAGACTCCGTCTCAGAATAAAATGAAATAAAGAAATAAAAAATGTAATTGTTGAAATAAAAACCTCAGTGGATGGATTAGACATCAGAAGAAAGAATTAATTGGTTAGACAATTATCTCCCAAAAGTGAGTCAGTATGTTACACAGAAAGACATGAGGATAGATGATAGGGCAGAAGTTGGTGGGGTTGTAGGGGGAGGGAGATCAGAATGAGGTCTAAAATATGTCTTAGTGGAATCCCAGGAGGGAATATTAAAATTATATTAGAAAGTGAGAGAAATAGAAATTCTAAAGGTGATAGAAGGAAGTCCACATAAATCAGTCACAACAAATGTAAATGGACTAAAGTTACCAGTTAGGTGGAACTAATAAAAGAATATCCAGCTGTTTTAATCCATCATATTTAAAATATAAGGATATGAGAAGATTGAAAGTTTTTATAAAGGAGAGAGAGTGATAAAGATATGGCAGTATACATTAACCAAAAACAAGTGATGGAGCTTCAATATCAAAAAAGGATTTTGGAACAGAAAGCGTTATTAAGAAACTTGATGCTGACTGTTAATTAGGAGGATGTAGCAATTTTCATATTTTATGTACCTGTCAAAATAGCCTCAAAATGCAGGAGAAAAACTGATAAAACCACAGGTAGAAATTGACAAGTCTGCCAGCATATTTGGAGATTTCACCATACCCTGCTTACCATAAGTAAGTTACACGGAATGCCCATATGTAGATTTGAATAACCAGTGAATGGACATGGTGTAATGGACAAATATAGACCTTTGTACCCAATAATTAGATATTGTATATTCTTCTCAAGCATATGTGGACTGTGGGTGAAACATTAATTATATATTAATTCATAAAGCAAGTCAGAAGATTTAAAAAACAATTGGTACCATCCACACCATATAATTTATAATTTAAATATGAAGCAATTAAGGTTAGAAGGCAATAATGAAGAGATTAAAAAAAAGCTACATGAATTTGGAAATTAAACACCCTTGTAATTCGTGGTTTAAAAAACTCAATACAATTTTAGAATGCTTAGAATTGAACCATAGTTAAAATATGAAACTTCTCTCTATTCCTCTCTCTCTCCCTCTCCCTCTCTCTTCCTATCTGGAAGAGAAGGGAGCTAATTGAAGAAGCTAATCTTTTTCAATGAAGAACACCCCAAATACTGAAAAGAAGAAAAAGGACAGATGGCATTTCATGGTAATCCCTTCCCCCAAGAGTGTAGAATGTTTCTTTAGCTTCTTTGATAGTTTGTTTATTTATTTATTAAGTACTTACTATAAACCAGACTCTGCTTTAATTTGTGATGAACAACCTAGAGATTAAGTCCTGCCCTATGGATTTTATATTAGAGTGAGAAAAACAGATAGCTAAGTCTGGAGCTCAGGGGTGAGGCCCAGGTTGGAATTATAGATTCACTTGACCAAGGTGAAACCTGGTGTGCCCCCTCCTACTTCACATCCCCAGACATACTTCTAGAACATTTCTGTTCTATTCTTGTGTATAAACTCTTCCTTTTGAGCCTCTCTCCATTGATGCATATCAACCTCTACTTGTCTTTTGTTGATTTTGAGGCCACTTGCCCATATAACTTGGAGGATATTGAAGAAGAATCATACCGACCTGGTTCTGCTACCTAACAGCTGAGTTACTTTGGTCAAGCTCTTGGACTTCTGAGGCTGTTTCCTAATTTCAAAAGTGGGTATATGATGTGTTAGGCCCTGGTGGGTTGCAAGGAAGAGGTACACACATATCACCTTTGATGATGATGGCGGAATATTAACTTGGATGGAAAGTCATCCAAACAGCGATATTGTCTCTGGCCCTAGTAATTTCAAAACCTCACAGAATATTAATTTAGCAGTATTTAGGATAGGGTTTGAGCTCTGAAGACCTACAGTGTGGTTATTTGTTCATATGGCTGTTTTCCATACTAGACCATGAACTCCATGAGGGCAGGGTCTACAGTTTCATCTTTCTATCCTAGACACTCAGTTCCGTGCCTGATACATAATAATAGAGGCACAAATGTTTTAAGAGTTGAGGAATTTTCAACTGTTACTGAAAGAATAGGAAGATATAAAGGCTTCTCAGAGACAGTATCATTTAAGCTGATTTTGTTTTTGTTTTTGAGATGAAGTCTTGCTCTCTCACCCAAGATGGAGTGCAATGGCGTGATCTCAGCTCACTGCAACCTCTGCTTGCCAGTTGCAAGTGATTCTTCTGCCTCAGTCTCCTGAGTAGCTGGGATTACAGGCATCCACCACCACACCCAGCTATTTTTTGTATTTTTAGTAAAGATGAGGTTTCACCATGTTGGCCAGGCTAGTCTCAAACTACTGATCTGAGGTGATCCACCCACCTTGGCCTCCCAAAGTGCTGGGATTACAGGCATGAGCCACCATGCCCAGCTTATTTAAGCTGATTCTTTAAGGGTAAGTAGAAATTTTTTCCAGGTGAATAAAACCTTGAGCTATTATTCCAAGCAGAGACCAGTAGGTGCAAAGACATAGGGATATGGAGATGTAGAAGTTTACCAAACACTGCTAGATTAAAAAAACAAAAAGGAAACTATCAAAATCAAAAATTCAGATTAAAAATCACCTTAAATACAAACTATGAATGGGCTTGGCCAGAGGTCACATCGCAACTGAGTTAACTATGACCGTAGACACTCAGTAATGGATGGAAGTTTTAGGGAAAACACGTAACATTCTCAGGTTGTTGGCAGAGTATCTGGAACAATCTACAAATACGGGCATTGAATTCTGGGAATAATTACACTGTAGTGATATCATTTCCTTCTCTGCGTATGAAGCATGTATGTATTGCACACTGTTCAAGGTGCTGAAAATCAGACTCTTCTCGAGCAATCAAGGAAGATGGATGGGTGAGCAACTGATTATCATGTGACAAGTGAGGTAATAGAGATATGACTAAGATGGTATCTAAACAAGAAGAAAGGAATTATTCATAATATATGGAGTTCTGGGGAAATATTTCTCAAATGAAGCCAGCCGGGCCGGATGGCTCCCACTTGTAATAGCGGCACTTTGGGAGGTGGAAGTGGGAGGATCTAGGAGGATCTAGGAGTTCAAGACCAGCCTGGTCAACAGAGCAAAGCCCTGCCTGTTTCTATATTTGAAAAAAAAATAAATAAATTTTTTAAATGACATGATATTTGAGCACTCTGGAGCACCATACAAATATAGGACAGACTGAAGGAATGTATCTGGCTTGAGTTAACATTTGTTGAAATTTTATATTGCAAAAATAGTACATATTCACTGTTTTGAAACTAGGAAGAATTGATAGGCAAGGAGGGCTGTCTACAAAGCACTCCATAGATCCACCATACTGAGACAATGCTTAATGCTTTGATGGATTTATTGTATACTATCTATGCATATGCATGCATTATATACATACGTATGCATGGTTAAATAGAAATATTTCTCCTTGGTGTTAATCCATTTATTGTTATGCAGTAAATCCCCAAAGAGCACATTTGCTTTGCCCAAGGGAGTCTTTTGCTACATACTGCTGCACATAATGAAAACTAAAAAATTGGCTAACTTTTCAGCCTTGTGACTTTGTGGTGATTCAAATAGAGGCTTCATCAAAGGCAGATTCAGAAATGAACTTAGTGTGTGGGTGGTTATGCTTGGCATTATTGTTTGTAATAGTATGATAGGGATGACTTCAGTGTCCACCAACAGGGAACTGGTTAAGTAAACTGTGGTACATCCAAACGATGAATACTGTGCGGTTGTAAAGAAGAATGACAAAGACCTCTGTACTCATGTAGAAGAACTCACATATATTGTGTGTGTTTTAAGAGGAACAAGGAATGGTATAGTATGTATGGTATGCTACTTTTTGTGTTGAGAGAGAAGAGTAGAATAAGAATATACGTGTGTATTTGCAAAGATAAATTCTGAAATGATATATAAGAAACCAATTAAAAGTGTTTGGCTGTAGAAGGAGAATAAGACTGTGAATGGGATTTGGCCACATACTTTTATAGGTAGTTATATTTAAAAATTTTCTGAACCATGTGTTTGTACACATGACCCTTTTAAAAATAAGTGAATGAAGGAATGAAGTAGGATTATGAGAAAGAGATAAGAACAAATGATCTAAGGGGCTGCCCATTTTTTAGTACCTAGTGAATATTAATATAAACAATAGCAGCAAAAATTGGAAGAGTAGCCCCAGGAGGGTAGGGAGTCAGCCTTTCCTTTGTCTTTTCCTCAATTTCATATATTAAACAAAATAATCTGAGAATGATAAAACAATTTGAAATAAAAAATGTCTCCACATCTCTTAAAAGGAAGCTAGGGCAGCTTTCTGTAGCGCACTTCCCGAAAATGGGCTGATTTACCTCAAGAGGCAGGGATTCTAGCCTACATGGGATACATACAGGAGAAAAAAAAATCAGAAAAAGAAAAGAGATTTAAATATAAATAAATGAAAATCACAATTCTCCCTCATTATAAAGGAAATCATTCTTTTTGTAATAATTTGGATGACAAATATTAAGAAAAATCTTTAATTTGCCACTCAAAACATTGTGGCTTGTTGCTTTTTATATGTTTTTATGCACATAAACCTTTTAAAAAGTAGAATCGTAATATGTAGTCTTTTGTCACTTACTATATTTTGGGCATATTTCTGTGGCAGTAAATGTATCCTGGCACCATCATTTTTAATAGCTGCATGTATATTAAGTTAATCACTGCCACCCCAGAGGTGAATTTTCTTTCTTTTTTTTTTTTTTTTTTTTTTTTTTTTGAGACGGAGTCTCGCTCTGTCGCCCAGGCTGGAGTGCAGTGGCGGGATCTCGGCTCACTGCAAGCTCCGCCTCCCGGGTTCATGCCATTCTCCTGCCTCAGCCTCCCAAGTAGCTGGGACTACAGGCGCCCGCCACTACGCCCGGCTAATTTTTTGTATTTTTAGTAGAGACGGGGTTTCACCGTGTTAGCCGGGATGGTCTCGATCTCCTGACCTCGTGATCCGCCCGCCTCGGCCTCCCAAAGTGCTGGGATTACAGGTGTGAGCCACCGCGCCCGGCCGGTGAATTTTCTTATACATACATTTTAATGGGCTTGAGCAAACATTTTTGGACTAAATTCATAGAAGTAGAATTTCTGGAGGAAAATAATTTTTAGGGTTTTTAATAGAAACTTTCAAATCATTCTCCAGGAAAAGTGACTCAGGTTACACTCCCACCAACAAGGACAGAGCTCCAGGTTCCCCTTTCCATTTGTCATCTTTCCTGCCTTTATACAGAAAATCTCATTGTTTTCATGACATTTCTTTGATTTCTTGTGCTTTTGAATCTTTGTATATGCCATTGGCCATTTTTATTCTTGTGAGACATGCCAGTTTCTCCATTAACCATTTCAGTTGAAAATCATTTGTTTTTTTTCTCAGTAATTTTAAAGATTTCTTTATAGACTAAGGATGCAAGCATTTTATCTGTCATTGAGGTTACAAAAACTTTCTCCCAGTAAGTAATTTGTCATTTCATTTTTTCTTCTTTTCTTTTTCCTTTCCTTTCCCTTTCTTTCTTTCTCTTTTTCTTTCTTTTCCTTGTTTCGTTCTTTCTTCTTCTTCTTCCTTCCTTGCTTTCCTTTTCTTTCTTGCTTTCCATTCTTACGTTCTTTTCTTTTCCCTCCCTCCCTCTCTTTCTTTCCTCTTTCTTTTTCTCTTTTTCTTTCTCTCTCTTTTTCTTTCTTCTTTCCCTCTCTCTCTTTCTTCCTTTCCTTTCTTTCTCTTTGTTCCCTCCCTCCCTCCTTCTTTCCTTTCTTTCTTTCTTTCTTTCATTAGCCAAGCTCCAAAGTCACATTTCACTTAATTTTTATCCTGCCAAATTTGAAAGCCTTTTAACTTCGTGATTTTAGTGTAAACAGGAGCAGGAGAAAATGTAATTATCTAAGTCTCGCTCTGTCACCCAGACTGGAGTGCAGTGCCATAATCATAGCTACTGCAGCCTTGAACTCCTCGCCTCAAGCAATTTTCCCACCTCAGCCTGCCAAGTAGCTAGGACTACAGCTGTGTGCCACCACACCCAGCTAATGTTTAAAAATTTTTGTGGAGATGTGAATTCTCTATGCTGCCCAGGCTAGTCTTGAACTCCTGACTTCAAGTAATCCTCCCACCTCAGCTTGCCAAAGTGCTGGGATTACAGGTGTCAGCTACTGCTCCTGACAGAGAGTTTAGTTTTGTTTGGTAGTGGTGTTCTTGGTATGTTTTCATATTTGAGGCTTTGGGCTAGTGCTGAAGTATTACACTCACCATCCGCGGTCTACAGGACTTTTGGTTTAATATTGAACAGATGGAACTGTTTAGTTCTGCATCTTTGAAGGTACACAGAATGTGCCTACCAGGAATCTGCTTTATATCCATTGAAAGCAAGAAATAATACAGTAAAACTTTGCCTGGCTAGAGTATTTGAAAGAATGGCATATTCTGCTTTAATTCTATTACTTTGGAAGTATGAAGGTGAAAAAAATTCAAAACTTAAATTTCCTGTTGAATGCAATTTGAAAATATGGCCAATGATTGCACTTTTCTTCTCTAGTAAGGTTGGACATTCTGATCTACTTGGTGTTTTATTATAGAACTGCTAGTGTGCTTGAGTCTTACATTGTGAAGATACTTTTTTAAAACTTGAGATGTAAGAGGATGTAAATGGTTTTGTAGGCGATCAGGCTGGATGAGAACGGACACTTGTAAACATACTTTTTAGACTAAATCTCTGATTGCCACTTGTTTTTCTTATGGAACTCATAAAAATAAAACACATTGGATGGAGGGTGCGAGTAGGAAGGAGATTCTTGTCTTTTAATTGCATGTCATTGTTTCATAACAAGGCAGACCATATGGCAACCCTGGCTTTGGACCTACAGAAGTAAACACATTTTACTAACTGCTGTATGCCAGAGGTTCTTGAACACCTGGAGGGATTACTGCAGCACAGATTGCTGAACCCTACTCCAGAGTTTCTGATTCACCAGGTCCAGGGTGGGGCCTGAGAATTTGCACTTATAAAAAGGTCTCAGGTGCTGCTGGTGCTGCTAGTCCATAGACTACATTTTGAGAACCACTCTTGTCTATTAAGTGTAAATTGTAGAACTCTAGAAAAAAGCTTAGTTTGGTCTGGGATAAGAAGCACACAGGTTATGGAGAAAATCATGAAAGATTCAACCCTTGATCCCAGCCTAGTGTGGATTTCAGTTAACAAGCAATACACAGTGACATAACACAATTCTTGGTTTTCATGATTGCAAGTCATAGCCAGGTATCAAGTGAGAAATTCAGTTTCATTTGCAAGGCTTAGAGAGGCCAGGTGATTCTAGAAAAATGGGCCTTGTATTTGTTTTAAACCAGTAAAGAGCTTTAAGTGCTTATTAAATTGGAAGTTTTGTGTTCCTACTTATTTTGTATCTTATTTTATTTTATTTTATTTATTTTGAGATGGAGTTTTGCTCTGTCGCCCAGGCTGGAGTGCAGTGGCGTGAGCTTGGCTCACTGCAACCTCCATCTCCTGGGTTCAAGTGATTCTCCTGCCTCAGCCTCCCAAATAGCTGGGATTACAGGCACCCACCACCACACCTGGCTAGTTTTTGTATTTTTAGTAGAGATAGGGTTTCTTCATGTTGGCCAGGCTGGTCTTGAACTCCTGACCTCAGGCGATCCACCCACCTCGGCCTCCCAAAGTGATGGCATTACAGGGGTGAGCCACCACACCCGGCCCAAAAGCTTTGTGTTTTTAAAGATATTAGACATGTTTCTTGTTTTTAAAAGAAATCTTAACAATAATGTAGGAGAATAAGACAAACATTTTTCCAAAAAAGAGAAATCATTGTGATTATTTTCTGTTATTGGAATGTCGGATACTATAGTTGGCTTCATTAATCATCAAGAATTCTATGGATTTTCCATTTATATAGGATCTATATTTCAGTTAAGGTAATACTGGTAATTCTTGTGTTCCATTTGAAGATGAAAAATATAGGCCAAAATCATAGACTTTGCATAGAAGCTGGATAATGAAGACAGCTCTGGAGGAACACATAGATACACACAGACACACATATATAAAGTATACACACATATATTTTTTAAAGTTTATTTTTTACAGTTTTAAAGCTTTTAAAGCAAAAGCCAGCCCCTCCCCTCTCCCAGATTGGGCGGCCCCTCCCCTCTCTCTTAGTGGGCGGGGACAGCAGTTGCATGGCCAGCTTTCCTTATGATGCCACAGGTCCCTCTGGACATGCTGCTGCCTGGACACGCCTCCTTTCCCTTTCATCTTTCTCACTGACCAATGGGCTTGGAGCATTAAGGCCAAGCCCCTATTCTGTGTTACATTGGTGCCCTGGTTACACCACCTGTGGTTCAGTCGCACAGCTGCCTTGTAGGTGACTGGAGGCATTCAGCAGTGCTCACTGGGATTTTGCTGATGTGGCCCCAACCCCGCCTCCCTCCCCACCCCACGATGTCAGAAAACACACAACAGGGGAAATTGGCTGCAGCCAAGAAAAAGGTAAAACGCACCAGGTCATGGCCCCCAACCCAGCCACAGATCCCCTCCGATGACAAGACCGGTGGCAGAGTCCATACCACTCCTGAGGCATACCAGACTAGGCCCCCCAACACCAGCGCCTCTGGGCTCCCCCAACCAAAGTCTTGTCAGTCAGCCCCACCCCTTCAGCAAGCCACTCAGTCCTTGCCCTTGCCAGTCACCACAGGGTGACTTTGGGAGGGTGACTCCTGGGGCTCCCTGCTCCATACTCGGACCTCACCTCCTGCCACCCCAAGCCCAACCTCCCTGGGCTCTTTGGGCTTGTGTCTCCCAGGAGCTGGGTCCCCCAGCCCCGGGCCCCGCCCTGGCCAGTCATCCCTGGGTGACTTTTTTGACTCCCGGGGCTCCCTACTGCAGACTCGGCCCTCCCCTCTTGCTGCCCCAAGCTCGACCTCCCTGGGCTTCTTGGACTGGCATCTCCGAGGACCTGGGTCAAAACCCTGTGTTTCCCTCCCCCATCATGGAGCGGCAACTTGGGCATCAAGCCGATGTGGTCCCCTCCCCTGGGAGGAGTGGAATGTAGTGATGTCACAGTCCCACGAGGAACTGTCATTACTGCTGCAAGACCGGCCTTTGATTTTACAACCCAGTCCCCTAAGTTTTCTCACCCCATTTCTGGTTCCTCTGGTTGCAGCACAAATTTCCAGCTGGAAGGGGAGTGGGGACTATGGGACTTATGAGCAAGAAGTTTCAGGCTGCTTTACACCGTGAACAATGTCTAATTCACAGTGTGAAAAGCTTACACTTCCTGTGAGCTCAAAACATTGACAGTATCTCTGGGCAGCAATGGGAGAATGGGTTTGGTTTGGTTTTCTCCCAGGCTTATACCTTCCAGAGAGACTTTAACATATTTTCTGAGTTCTCCATGGTTCTGGGACCAGACTGACCTTCAGTCAGTGGTCTCTGAAGTGAGATTTGCTCATCTTCTGTGGAATAGATCTTGGGAAACTGAACTTGACAGCTTGAATCTTCCTCATATCATCTCAACCTAGGGTACTTTGAGTGCCACAGGATAAATGTGGGACATCTTTCTGAAGCATCATTTTCCCTTGATTCTCTTGAGAAAAAACATTAATGTACTTAGGGATGACAGACACATAGGTTTCCAAGTGTATACCAGACTTCTCTCTGAAATGAGGCTTGGGTTGTCCTCTTTCTGATAAATTCCCAGATTTAACAGAAAAGCTGCCTTCTGCCATGAAGACACATTGATATGAAAGTGTGGGAGGTACTGGTGTGCTTTTTCACGCTAGCAGACCTGTGAGGATGTATGACTCTAAACCACACGGCCTACAGTTCCTGCCTGCTTAATGTTTACTTTTCTACCTCTACCCCTTGTTTTGGTCCCTGGCAGCTGCTGATTCATGGAAAACTCCAGAGCTTGGAGTCAGAGGACTGAGTTTCAGTTCCAGTTTTGACATTTTTTTTTCTATCCATGATATCAATCCCTCTCAATCACTAAATGACTGTGACAACACCTTGTCCAATTGTTGGTGGCATTAAACCAGATGGTATATAAGAGTATTTTGTCAAAACTGTAAAGGAGGATGTGGCTGTAGGGGCTGATCATTCTCATGAGTGTTACTGCTCTTTTTTTCCCACAGTTAAAAGAATATTGGCAGAGGAAGAGCCCTGGCATTCCAGAAGGAGCTAACAGGAAAAAGAAAATCAATGGCAGTAGCCCTGACACAGCCACTTCTGGTGGTTACCACTCACCTGGGGATGTGAGTCTTGGCGGGCCAGGCTCCTGGGGACAGGGGGCCCAAGGGGCAGTAGAGGGTAATTTTTAAGATTGTGGATGGACTGTTGGGTACTGGTTAAGAATTCTGGGTTTGAATCCTGCCTCTCCATCTGCTAAGGATTGATTAGGGATTGATTAGCATATGATTTAGGGTAAGTTGCTTGAGGTCTTTGGGCCTCTCTTTTCACATCTGTATAATAGAGGTGGTATTTTTTGACTTCCATTTGTTAAATTTAAATCAGATTTATTATTGTTGCTTTTATGTGAATCCTTAGTATATGGCCTGCTGAAAACACCCAGGACACCCAGAAAATGGTCATTGCTGTTTGATTTTCCTCATCCTCAGTCTCAAGAGGAAGCCAGGCTAATGAGAAGAGCCACTTGCCATCAGGCTGTCCCTTTAGGAGTCACTGAAAGGGCCCCACGGTGGGATGGTGGGGAGATAAGAACCATGACAGAAGTTGGCACAAAGGAGTTATGGGACAAAGGGTCCAAGATAGGCAGAAAAGAAGCTTTTGCCAGTTGATGGGGGAAGAAAGGAAGTCAGAGGGCTTAGACAGTGAGGGGGGACAGAACATCTCCATATGCACTCTCATCTCTTGCAGTCAGCAGCAGGTATCTACAGGGAGGGCCCTGCATCATCTGCTACCCTGGAGGATCTGGAGGTAAGAGGCCCTGGGCTGAGGTGCAGTGACCCTGCAGGCCAGCCCTCCAACCTCCTCCCACAGCAGGGGCTTGTTGCCCCTCTGCCAGCTGAGACAGCCTACACGCCCCCACCAGCCCTAATGATTGTTTTCTCTACCCCTCCCCACAATCTTCCTCCAACTCCTCCTCTCTGCATGCACCTCAGAGCCAGTACCAAGAACTAGCAGTAGCCCTGGATTCAAGCTCCGCAATAATCAGTCAACTCAGTGAAAACATCAATTCACTGGTAAGAGTCCAGTGGGGTCCCCTGATTCCAGCTGGTCAATCCTGGACTCCAGTTTCCTCTTGGGGCCCTGAAGAAAGGGGCTAGGGGCCCCTGATGCCAGGACCAGTGGGGAGCTGGGGCACCCAGGCCTCACCTGGAGGGACCCCAGAGCACAGAACATGCAGCGTGGCTCTTCTCCACTGCCCTCTTTGCTGACTCTCTCTTCTCCAGACACCCCTGCTCTAGTTGTTGCCACACATGCCCTGGGTTTGTCACCTCTCAGGGAAGCACTAGCCTGACTGGTTGTCAGGGGCCCATATTTCTGCCCTGCCTCAGTCCCTAATTTGCTTTTTGAGTCTGGACAAGCCATCTCTCCTCCTTAGGCTCGTGTTTCTGGAGGAGGTAGAGAGTATCAAAGGTCACTGTTAGCTCTGAAAGAGATTTAAAGGCCCTTAGAATGGAAACCTCAGGGCCAAGGGCTCCTGTCTGTTCTTTGCTCTCTTATATCTCTGCTATGAAGATCTGTTCCTGGCCTGTACATGCTCAGTAAGTGTTGAATGAATGCACCTTTCTAAATCACAAGCTGGCAGAAGGGAGGTGGGACTTTCTCAAACTCTGTCTCTACAGGTTCAGCAGCCCCTCTCTCCAGGGCCCTCTCCTCCCTGTGCTTTGGGCACGTTCGCACATCGAAGGAGGAGAAGAAGCATGAGATACATCGAGTACAGAAGCTTGGGTTTACCAAAACCAGATGGGTAAGATGGGGCTGGCATGACCTGGGAGGAGGACTGGCATCAGAGGGCTGTGGGGGTGACTTAGAATGCCCCAGGGAGGTGGGTGGATGGAAGGGCTTTGAGGCAGAGGGAAAGAGGTCTGTGCCAGGAGACAGCAAGTCTTGTCATCTCCATGAGCCTCAGTGTCCGCATCAGTAAAGAGGGAGGAATGCCCATTGTCAGCCACCCACAGTGCTCTCTATGTGAAAGTGACTTGGAAGATTAGCTGTCATCCGGGTGTGAGGAGTCATTAGCAGTGAGGCCAAGTTTGGGAAGCCTGAGAGGAGGAGCTGTCCAACAAAGGGAGGTTTTTTTTTTGTTTTTTTTTTTTGAGAGTCCAGAGGCCCTTATTGTCTGCTTCCTTTCTCAGCTGAACCCCTGGCCCCAGAGCCCCCAGCAGGGCCCTCTGAGGTGGAGCAGCTACAAGATGAGACCAACCACCTAAGGAAGGAGCTGGAGAGTGTGGGAAGACAGCTCCAGGCTGAGGTGGAAAACAATCAGATGTTGAGTCTCCTGAACAGGAGACAGAAGGAGAGGCTACGTGAACAGGAGGAGAGGCTACGTGAACAGGAGGAGAGGCTACATGAACAGAAGGAGAGGCTATGTGAACAGGAGGAGAGGCTATGTGAATAGGAGGAGAGGCTGTGTGAACAGGAAAAGCTGCCAGGGTAGGAGAGACTGCTGGAAGAGGTGGCGAAGCTGTTAGAACAGGAGAGGTGGCAAGAGGAGCAGGAGAGGCTGCTGGAGAGGGAGAGGCTGCTGGACAAGGTGGAGGAGCTGCTGGAACAGGAGAGGCTTTGGGAGCAGGATGAGAGACTGTGGCAGCAGGAGACTCTGTGGGAGCTGGAGAGGATGTGGGTGCTGGAGAGGATGCTGGAGCTGGGTTGGGAAGCCCTCTATGAGCAGAGGGCGGAGTCACACAGCGGCTTCAAGGAGCTGGTGCGTTGCCCCACCTGGGGAGGCTGCCCTCTTCCCTAGCCCTCAAGGCCCTTGTTTCCCCACCTGTAAAATGGGGCATTGTAGCCTTCACATGAAGTGGTACTTCTAAAGGCACCTGTGAGACGGAGCCCTGCTCTGATGGCTGTGGGAGACAGGGTATGATTTTTCTAAACTGCCTCCACCCTTCCTGGTGCCATGGGAGGCAGACACTAAGTTCTGGGGTCTCCAGTTTTAGTGGGTGGCCACTGATTGTTTCTCTCTGTCCAGAACAATGAGAACAAGAGCGCAATGCAGTTGGAGGAACAAGTAAAGGAGCTGAAGAAGCCGGGTGAGCTGAAAGAGACGGTAATCTCCGACCCCTCCAAGAAGATGTGAGAGGCAGGCACCAGCCTCTGGGGAGGGGATGTGCCAGGCCAGAGGCAGCTGCAGCCTGAGGGCAGGTGACCCCAGCACCCTCCAGTGCAGTCCTATGACTGTTTCTGCTTCCGGCCCTCTGACTTTTAGAGGTGGGTAGCCCTGGGCTCCTCCCAGGTCTGGACATCATCATCCCAGCTAGAGGCATGGAGCCCCCCAATCACAGAGGAAGAGGCAGTGGTATAAGAGGCTCCTTATGTTGGGTGTGGTGGCTCACGCCTGTAATCCCAGCACTTTGGGAGGCTGAGGCAGGACAATCACTTGAGGTCAGGAGTTTGAGACCAGCGTGGCCAACATGGTGAAACCTCATCTCTACTAAAACTTTTTTTAAAAAAATAATTAGCCGGGCCTGGTGGCGCATGCCTGTAATCCCAGCTACTCGGGAGGCTGAGACACGAGAATCACTTGAGCCCAGGAGGTGAAGGTTGCAGTGAGCTGAGATCACACCACTGCACTCCAGCCTGGGACACAGAGTGACACTGTCTCAAAACAAAACAAAACAAAACAAAACAGAAAAACAAGACTCCTTAGATTCAAACTGGATTCTGGCCTTGGTTCCACTGGTCATAATTCAACTACTTTGCATCTCTAAGTCTCTGTTTCTTTAACTTCAAAACGAAGTTAGCCTTTTCCTTGCAGAGGTGCTGAGGATTAAATGAGATAATACGTGGAAACATTAGGCATGTAGCACACTTAGCAGATGGTGGTTGGCTCCCCCTGCTTTTCCATCAGTCTTTGGTCTACAGTTTAAATGCTGGGAAAAAGGATGTGAGATTTGAGGCTGGGGAAGGAGGCATGGGGTTCCAGGCAAGGGAGGCAGTCTCTTAGGGCTGGAGCAAGGGTCCACGGCCTGGGCAGGCCACAGAGCCCCACGGTGCCCTTGCTACCCTATTAATGGGCCAGGAATCTGGAAGCCAGCCACCACATGCCCTCATGCCCAGGGTCTTCCGGCAGGTGAAGCTGAAGAGCCAAGAGGCTCCAAGTCTGCGGCAGCAGCAAGACCAGTACCTGTGTACCGCTCTAGGAGCCCTGATCCCACAGGAGCTTGGGTGTGCGGACAAGCAGTGTGGTGAGTAGAGCCCTCAGGTGGGGTGGGCAGGCAGGAGCAGGGGAGGCTGGCACTGTGCTCAGATTCCCACCCCCCTCCCTCTCTCTGAAGATCTTAGTGAGGTGAGCCTCACTGGTAGCGTGGAGGCTGCACCAGGAGAGGACAGGGAGGGTTCTCTCCATGACAACCCCACTGCACAGCAGATCCAGCAGCTCCTTCCTCTAATGCAGGACTCCCCAGGAGCACCCAGGCTTGGGTGGAGAAGCTGTTGGTACAGGAGAGGCTGCAGGAGGAGCAGGAGATGCTGCATGCCATTCTTTTTGGGCTGCCGAGAACAGGGAGATAAACATCACCATCATCTAAGAGCTGGTCAAGAAATTAAAAAAAAAAAAAAGTTAAGGGGTTAGTCTCCCACACAATTCATTTACTTCATTTGAAAGTTAGAGCCACTTATGTTTATTTGTGTTTCTAATTTATAGTTTAAATTTATTTGTGTTTCTAATTTATAGTTTAAATTTATTTGTGTTTCTAATTTATAGTTTAAATTTATTTGTAAAAAGTTAAATGAGAGTGGGTCTTTCCCTCATGTTCACTCTGGCATCCTTTAGCATTTTTTAAAATTTGATAATTATAGGATGTTAGCATGCATATCAAGTTTGCCCTTATGTGGTGGGAGTTCAAACACCCAAAGACCCACTATGTGCATACAACTTTTCTTGCTGGTTTGGGATAGGCTGCCATGCTTTTTAAATGTTAGTACAGCATGTATATTCATTACGGAATTCAGATAAAATTTCCTTATGTTCTGCTGTTATGTTTGATCAAATCCTAATCACAGTGAGCTCTTCATTAGCTCAATATGTGGTCTGCCCTCAAGTGCACGGTCTATTACTTTGTAATATGCCACTGTGAGTACTGACATTTACAGTTGTTTAAAGGTGAAGCACTGGAAACAGCTTTTCCCCCTTTTTCTGTGTATTGGGGATGGGAGTAATAACATTTTGGGGAGGTTTTTAAATCTCCCAAAAGAGGAAAGTGGCCTGCTCTGGTAGGTGTGTGCAGGATAGAATATGTTTCATTTGTTCCGGTGCCAAGAATGAGCACTGTACTATGGTAGTTCCCTTAGGATTTGTATGTGCTCTGGGCTCATGAAGATACTGCCTCATGAGCTGTGGCAGTTGTACTCTTTTTTGACGACATGAAAAGGGATTATTTCTGAGGAATGAAAGGCTCCCATCATGACTGTGGATGTGGAAAAACTTTTCTAGCTGAGAGCATTTATATCTACAAACATTTTAAAGTCAGAGTTCATGTTCCCTGTTTTAATCACATGACTACATGTCCCAGTACACAAAAGGGCACTGGTTGGCATTCTCCTTATTGTATTTAGTAAAGATCAGAAGAAATCCTTTAAGAGTTTAAATGTCCCTGGAACAGGCATACAGGCTCTAGTCAAGAATGAATTTGAGTGAAGGAAAGCTGTGTGACACCTGGCATTCCTCTATGTTCATATAGCTTATTTGAGGCTAGAAGATGGATTTTACCATCTAGACCTCTCTGGCTAATAGCTAGTGTTCAACCGTCTGACATAGGAATTTACTTATTTTCCTTGAATGGAGAACACTTTAAAAATAATAACAAACATTGTTATAAACTAATATAGCGAGAGTACTTAGTTGAAACAAAAAGGAATTTTAGTAGACAGTATTATACTACATTTGAAAATCAAGGAGCAGTTTATGCAACTTAAAATGTTTACAAACTGCAGCACAATCTACTGTTTGTGAATGTCAAAGTGTCATGAGGAAAGTGTCTATACAATCAGTTATATTTCCTCACAAAGTTCTTTATGAAGAGTGAAATATGTTTTTATACCTCTCAGTTTCAGTTAGAGGCATATTTTTTGTAATATTTATGGCTTAAAATGGACTAAAGGTCCTGTTCTTGCCTTTTCTGAACTTGCTGCTTTTGCATTCTTTGAGTTCAGTTTAAAGACACTTACTTTAACTCCATTTTAAACCCTCGGGCTAGAAATCATACCACTGTTAATTAGCCATGTTATTTGGTCTAACAGTTTTTGTTTATCATTCTGAAACTGAGCTTATCTAATACATTGATAAATTATTTCAAAGGTATTTTTATAGTTCAAATCACTTCACTTTTACCCTGACACATAAATGACTAGGAATGACCTTCAGATAGCATTTAGCAACTGTAACCAATCTGACAATAATGTGTTCATCAGGTACCTCTGGATTAAATCACATACTGGCATATTTAAGCTGAATGTCAGTCTGAAATATAAATATACTATATTAATTCAAATACCACTCTTTGTGTAGGTATTTTGTCATATGTTTAAGAAAAAGCTAAAGAGAATGGAAATCCTATGACAATAACTCAAGTCTTTCTTCAAAGTGCATGCAGTCTTTTGCAGTACCTCATTCAGCCAAGTATTTGTTCTCTACCTCATTCAGTATAAGGCAGCTTTTAATTTGCTTAGAAGGCAACATTAGAAGGTTAGAGTTCAGCAGGAACATAGAATTTAAAAATGTGACTTCAACTGAATAAATTTGAATTTCTTCAGGGAGTAAAGAATCAAAACACCTATTTAAAGACTGCAAAATATGATAATTATTTTTAAAGTAATTGATTAAACCTGGTAGGTTTTCCGGAAATGAAAAACAATCAGTTCTAAAACCAAAGCTGATTTTTAGAAAATGTGAAAATGTAAGCCAACCCTATCCATAATAGATTCTCTAAAACTTTATCTTACAGTCACTTTCAAATAACTATTCAAAAATGTAACTGCTATATTAATGTCTTAAAATAATTTAAAACATTTTAAAATATGAATACTGTTGTTTAAAACAAAGAATGTAGGGGAAGGAAAGTAGACAAAGAAATGCCAATTCCAGTCCAAAGCTGTATTTGCCAAGTTTTCTTAGAATGACTTTTACTGATTTATGAATTCTTATACACAGAATGCATAATGGAAATACTGATTTTTGTCTAAAGTGGCATTATTGACTGCTTTTGTGATGCTACTATAATGTAATACATTATTAAATTGTTTCAAGGTGCTGTTTTGCCTAAAAATTTTGTGTGTCTTGAAAACTATAGTATTGGGTATTGAGACTCTGCAAATTCTGGGTATGCTTGGCATGAGATAATCGGTTTTTATTCTTACAAAATTGTAACTATGTAAGTGTGTTTATTAAAAGAACACAAACTAAAAAAGTGACAGGAATTTAAAAAAGTTGTGGGATGAAAAAGTTACGGGATAAAAAATACTGTGGACAAGTTGTGGCAAAAAAATTGTGGAAAAAAAGTAAAAAAAGTTTTATGAAATTTTTTTTCAAAACATCCTGAAAAAGAAGTTACAGGACTTAAAAAAACATCATGGGATAAAAATAAAAATAAATAAAAGAAGGCCCCTGTCAGCATACGCCTGGAGAAGTGGGTCTGGATTCTTCACCCCTACCATGTCCCTACAACCCCTTCCCTGTCACTCCTTTACCATTAGGGTAGCAAGACAAGACCCCTGTCTAATGGAGGGAGACAAAGAGACCCTTTACCACCTTGACCAAGCCTGAGTCCTTACATTTCTGGATGATGATGTTTGTTATGTAAGAGCCAGAGGTTGGTGGAGTTGGTTTGTTTGGAGGAGGTCTGATGGCCTCCTTACTCTCACCAAAGCAACTTTTCCCTCAGGGGGGCTCCCATCTTCTTACTCAGAGAGGCAGCTGAGGCGGGACAGTGGAGATAACTGTAGATGAGGTGAGGGCACAGGCTGCTGGGGGTGGCCCCCCTTCCCCCGTGTACATACTGTATCTGTGTAACATTCTGTATCGTACCTACCGGAGGTTGCAGCTGGCATATGAGGAAGAGGTTCTTATAATTGTTCACGGCTGGGAAACTTATTTATTGCTAGCATAGGAGCAAGGAAGGAGGCGGGGATGGGGTCATGGCTCCCTGGTGATGGTACTCGGTTTTTTTTTTTTTTTTTTTTGCTTTTGATTTTGGAATAAATGGATTTAGCCATACTGCTCGGCCTGGTATGTTCCTGTTTCCCTCACTGGGTCCTGCAGTTTGTCCCACTGAATGAGGAGCCCCAGAGTGTCTCAGAATGTCCAGCTGGGCTGTTGGGGACCTTCCAGGCCTGTTACCTGTATGCTGCCTGGTGACACCTGGTGGATTTCATGGGGACTGCCATGTCACCTACGGAGTACAGTCTGGCCCTGACAGCCAACTGGTTGAGAAGCCTGATGTAGCTGTGGCAGGGAAGGCAGATACCTGCGCCCAAGGGCACTGACTTCCATCCACCCTAAGTGTCTTCCGTTCTGTCCCCCTGCCTCCCTCTCCTGTCTGCACCAGGTGGCCTGTCTGTCCCTCCAGAGTGCCGGCTGCCCCGCAGGTTCCCTCCAGGCTGAGTTCAGGGCCCTGTCCCCTAGTGGCCAGAGCTGGCTTCACAGGGTGAGATCCAGCTAAGCTCCAGGGACTTTCCAGGAAAAGTGTCCCTTGAAAAGGGTGTGACCTTTTCACTGCTCCCAACAACACCTTAAAAATGGCTTGGCTTTTTCCGTCCCCTGAGGTCCATAGAGAACACAGCCAGCAGAGGACACATTCTCTGTCATCCAGAAATGGGTTTCTCAGCCAAGGGACAGCAGGACTGGTAGAGGCTGTCAGGCCACACAGCTGCCTGCACAGCACCGCCATGCTTGGCCAGAAGGGTGGGAGGGATGGCGGGGGCTAGCTGTCCGCAGGCCACGCATGTCCCGGAAGCTCAATGGAGGTGGTGCACGTTGGAGGGGCGATGTCAGGAGACAGCTTCCTCTTGCTGGTCCACAAGACTCCGCAAGCACAGCACGGGGACTGATTCCCAGTGCTAGAGCTGAGGCAGTTGGCCACGTATATATATGTATATATGTGTGTGTGTGTGTGTGTGTGTGTGTGAGAGAGAGAGAATTTATAGCTATTTATAGAACTGGGCAGGGGCATACCACAGAGGGGGCACAAGTTTTCAGCAATGGTCACACCTGGATGTGTCAGCTCACCACTACAACAGACTAAGTCACAGATGAAGGGGGCTGGCTTTGGGGCTGGGGGAGCCACTGTCAAGTCACAGGACACCCACCCAGGCAGGCTTGGAAAGGGAGGTCTCTGAGAAGAGGAGGAATCTGTTTAGAGGTCGAAGTGGGGCCTGGGGCTCTCAGGATGGGATGGACTTGCCTGACCCGATCAGCTGGTAGTTGGAGAGAAAGCAGAGAGAAAACGGGTTAGAGAAAAGTCAGAGCTGGTGAGGCGAGTGCAGAGTATGGGTGCGCTGCAGAAGCTGTGGGAGGGCCGGGGAGGGGAGGGCGTAGCTGTGGGCATGGCAAGGTTCCTGGAAAAGAGGGGCTAGAAAGGAAAGGGGAGGAAGATGGAGGGAGAAGCCAGAGCTTCATAGGTAGTGCCTGGGGACTGCGGCGGCCCTCCCCACCCCACACACGCTGGCGTCTCTCATGGCACCCAGGCAATCCACCCATCCACCCACAGTTCAGACCAATGCCAGCCCCCTCGGGCTTCCCTCTTCTGTGGTCCCCATGTCTTCCAACCCACTGGCCCAGGGCCACCTCTTGCTTGGAGAGCCCCATCCAACAGCCACCAAGCCTGATAGAGAAGGAACACTGAACCAAAATGGTGGATCTATAAGGGACGGCTGGCTGGAGTGAATGCCAGAGGCCCCTCTGAGCCATCAGAAAGCCCAGGGTCCTCTGAGGGAACCTGGGGAAGGCAGGGAGGGCAGGTAGTTGGATGCCATTGGCCATAGACTTCTAAGTCTAATGGGAGCCTCAACTGGTCAGCGGGGGGCTGCAGGTTACATAGGTGTGGCTGGGCCCTTCCTGCTGGGAAAAGCAGAGGAGGGAGACTCCGTTGCAGGAAAGGGAAGTGAGCTCTCTAGGTGGAGCTCAGCTGGGCCAGCATGCACTGGGGTCCCCTTGGCTGAATAGCACTGGCGAACCCTAGAAGCAACAGGCCAAGGTGCATGAGCCTGCTGGCCAGCAGTAGTGCTTCAGCAGGGGCCAGGGACCCTGCCTTCAGTCACATGCTAGCAGCTATCATGGTACCTGGGAGGGAGGGAAGGGGGCTGTGTGTCCTTCCATGGCCTATGAAGTGTGTTGTGGGATGACCATGTGTATAGGACTCTCAGGCTTTTATCCTAGATCACCACTGGATTGCTGACAGATAGAGGATGTGGGACCCTGACTACCACCCCTAATCTGCAGTGGATTTGGCTCTCAGCACTCCCAGGCTGGGAGCTGGATCCCTGCCCTGGCAGCATGACTCAGACCACACGAAAGGTACGGCGTGCCCAGTATGATGTTCCCAGGTCTCTGGCCGCCTGAGTCCAGCCCCTCACACAACCCCCTCGAAGCTCCCAGCCCCTACACCATAAACCATGAGCTCTGTGCCCTCTCTGATGGTTCCATGTCTGCCAGGTTGGGCATGGAGCCCCCAGGCTCAGCCATGGAGACCTTGAGAAGTGGCACTGAGTCCCATGGCTCACAAGGAGGGAAGTGAGACAGCCAGCAGCACAAGGACAGAAAAAGGAAGGAGCAAGTCTGCAGCTCCAGAAGGAAGGGGCAGGCCTGGGGGTGGGGGACACACACGCACACACCGGAGTGTGCACACACATGCTGTGAGGCCCCACGGCCCGCATGCACACGCTAACACACATGCCCACAAACAACACGCATACGTCGCCCTCCCCACCACCTCCCGGTGCCCAGCACCCTCACCGGCCGGCACGTGCTGCATGGATCTGGGGCGTGCAGCCACTCGGCACACTGAAGTACATGCGTGGGCAGAGTCACAACACAGATGCTCACCCGCACACAGAGGCATGTGCACCAGCTCCCTGCACACTCGTGCCTGGCGTGCTCAGAGGACCACCCATGCTGCTCAGGGAGACAGGGCTTGCTCACTAATGTCCGGCTGTCATTTCTCCACCTAAGAGCCTTCCATGGCTCCCTACTGCCTACAGCATTGAATCCCAAAAAGTCATACTCTTTGGACTTTGAAGGTTCTCCACCCGGTGCCCCACCCTCCCCACAGAGCTCTTCCTCATTCTGTCTCTGTTCCCTGCTTTGGCCAGTGGCTATCCTCAATGTGACCCACACTACACTTCTGCCCACACTGCAGCTCTTTACCCAGTTACCCTCCAGTTCCTCACAACGTATGCCTATCTCAGTCATGCCCCGGACTGCATTGAAGCCAGGCTGCCTTGAAGAAACTCTCCCAGACTGCCCTTTTCCCCAAGGCAGGGTCATGATTTGCCAAAGGTTTCGTGTGTGTTAGCAAGACTGGAGTCGGAGCAGGCATCAAACTTTGCATCCCATATGTCACACCTCACCATAGACCTGGGTGCCAAATAGCCTGAAGAGTCTGAACTCATGTTGGCAGTTAGCAAAGTGCTCCTATGGCCACATCTGCAGTTAACATAGTATCCCTATGGCCACTGTCTCCCTTGATCCCCACAGCCATCCTAGGAGAAAAGCAGAACGTCATCATTTCATAGAAGGGATGCTGAGGCTCTGGGAGGGAAAGGGACTTGCTTAAAGCCCCAGGGTGAAGCAGCATCTCTGGACTCCCAGTCCAGTGATCTTGCCCAATACTATGCTGCTTCCCTCTACCCATCTAATTTGGTCATCAGCACGTCATAGGGCAAGCCCCAATCCCTGCTTCATTTTTGTATATGGGCGCTGGACCTACAGCCCCACTGTCCAGCCATTTGGAAACAAAAACAGATGCTATTGTTCTTCCTTAGAGAACGTGGCCAGTAGAAACAGGGCACACTGGAAATCAGAGTGAATGTTCTTGAAAGAGGGTCATGGGTCAACCAGGCCAAGCCAAAGGATGCGGTAGAACCATTTTCCTTAGAAATCTTTGGGAGTGAAGTAGTCTTCAGCCACTCTCATCCCTGCCCTTGCAGCTACCACTACCCCATTAGTTTAGACAGGGTTAGGGATAGAGGGTGAGTGGTCCAGGTGTGGAGAAAAAATCAGATTGCCTGTGGCCCCCAGGCTCCTTCCCCAGCTGCTTCTGTCCTAGCTGAGGCCTGGGTGCCATTCTTACACTCTCACAGTCGTGTGCTTGCACCTGCACACATCACACACCTTGCTGGTCACACAGTCACAGCCTGGCCTCTACTCCTGTGGTCCAGTGGCTGGACACCCCCTGAGATGGCTCAAAGGAGTCAGGACTTGGAAGTGGGGACATCCGGGTAGCTGAAGGAAATCCACACACCCAGACTCTCAGACCTGAGGTAGGCTCCCCAGGGGCTGGGATAGGAGTTGGACAGAATGGAGGATGGAGGACAGTGAGAAGAAGAAAGGAAGAGAAATGCAAAGTGTGGCAGCCGCCAAGAGTGAAAACCCACCAAGATGGAAGTGCCATGCACATACTGGACAGAAGGGGGCAGGTGGGACAAGCCCCACAGCCCCCTCAAAAACGACCACTTCCAGGAGTCAGTGCTCCCTGGGGGGCAGGCTCCGCCAGCCCTTGGCCACACGTGGCTCTGGCACCCATGGTCCCAGTGCCTTGGATGGAGGCGGCCAGGTCTGATGCTCTGGAATCCAGTCCCATTTCCATCCCGGCCACGCCCATCCGGCAGCCTCTTTGGTCGCATTCAGCCCCTACTCACCTGGAGACCCCGGGTGGGGCATGAGTGCACCTGGTGGGGTAGGGGCCGAAGGGATCAGGGGAAGCCTCTAGCCTGGAGGGTACAGGGCACGCTTCCCCAAGGGTGGACCTGGCAAGAGGAAGCCCAAGAGCTGGGCCCGCCACCCAGGCCGGGCTAGGGACATGGCAGGGTCTGGGCATCCTGGGGCTGGACTTGGGTGACCTGCAAGGCACAGGGAGGGGAGAGATGGGCGGCTCTGCCCCCCTGAGGCCCCGCCCCAGCCCCGGCCACCCCCAGAGACAGTCGCCGGAGCTTAAGCCCCGCCCCCAGTGGTGAGAACATCCCAGCTCCACCCCTTACTCCAGGTGGGAACCACCCCATGAGGGAGCGTGCCACTAAGCCCTGGGCACTCCTCTGTGTGGCCCGGATGGGGGACTTTGGGGCTATGGGGGCCAGTCCCTGGTACCTGTGTTCCTCAGGGACACTCTGCACCTGCAGCCAGGTGTCATCCACAGGCGGGGGCATGGGCATGCTGACGGTGGTCCTGTTGATGTCACCTGTTGATGTCATTTGCCTCCTTCAGCGCGTGGTGCATGCACAGCATCTTGTCGCGCTGCTGTGCCTGCTTTGCCAACTCCTCCATCAGTGTGTTCTGGTCCCCACATGAGTACAGATTGGCCAGCGGCTCCGAGATGATGAACTCCGTGGTCTGAGAGTGGACAAACAGGGAAGAAGGTTGGGACCTGCTGCCTGTGCCACCCTGGCTGCCTTGCTGGGCCCTGCTGGGACTGTGTGCTGGACTTGGAGCCCCTTGGAGTATGGCTTTTTACACGGGCTTCTATACCGCTTCAACTGGAAGATCCCCCTCCCCACCGCCTTTTCTCACTCAGATGGGGACACTGAGGTCGAGAGGAAAAGACACCTGTCCAATGTCACAGATCTGGGAGGGGACTTAGGACCTATCATGCCAAGAAGACACCTGTCTACTCAGTTTTCTTTTTGGCAGGGCAGGGGGCAGTGATAGGGTCTCGCTCTGTCACCAGGATGGAGTACAGTGATCACTGCTCACTGCAGCCTCCACCTCCTGGGCTCAAAGCAATCCTCCAACATCAGCCTCTCACGTAGCTAGGACTACAGGCACGTGCCACCACCAAGCCCAGCTATTTGTAAAATTTTTGTGTGGAGACAAGGTCTCACTATGTTGCCCAGGCTGGTCTCGAACTCCTGGGCTCAAGTGATCCTCCCGTCTCGGCCTCCAGGAGTGGGAGTGAGACAAAACACAGGGTCCTGAGCTCTGGGGAGCAAGCAGTGTCCTCTGGTGACAGAAATCCTGGACTTGCCAGCAGAAGTTTTGCCTCTTACTCGCCATGTGCTCTGAATACAGTTACCTGCCCTCCAGGAGCTTCAGTTTTCTTACCTGAAAAAGGACACCTGACCCCTTCCCAGCCCAGTTCAGTGTTGTGGGACAGGGCTGCTGTCAAGACAATACCCAGTCCTGCCCTCCTCCTCCCTGAGTGGGCCAGGTAGCCCATGTAGCCTCTTCCCGGCTTTCCTGGGTGGCACTGCCAGCCTGGACCCCTGGTGACCATTCAATCTAGTCCATCTTGCTGGGGCATGGGGAAGCTCTGAGTAACGTGGGACTATAGAGTGCAAGAGGGTTGCTGATGGTCTGGTCCCATGCCCTCCTCATTCCTGGGCATTCTTGACAAAGGATCCCAGCAACTGAGGGTATGCAGCAGCTGTAGACACCAGCCTGATGAATATCTCATTGTGGGGAGGGTGCCATAGCAGGAGTGGAGCTCTGGGGAAATAAAGAACCCAGGTCTGGGAGGTACTGATGTGAGAGGCCCAAGAAACCTTGGCTTTGCACTTGCTGAGTACCATCTGCACCTCTCAGGAGGGAGACTGCCAGGCTCAGGAGGTCCTTGCCCAAGCAAGGGAGCTTGAAAAGGGGGCTAGGTGTGGGCTCTGCCATTTTCAAGGGCTGGCAGTGGGACCCCTCTGGAGGTACTTGAGGCAGTGCTGCGTGCCGTGGCTCCTGAATGACAGAGTCAGCTCTGCGCCCCACAAGACCACTCCCTACCCAGAACTCACTGTGATCATGTGCTGGGTCCAGATGCTCACGCAGTCTCCTGGTGGGAGCATCAGGTGTGCTGCCTGCCCAGGACGGCCCACAAAGAGTCTGCCCTGCTCTGCCCTGCTATGGAACAACTCCCGTTCTGCCTTTGGGGAGAGGTGTTCATTTAAACAATGACTGGGCTGGTCCCCATGGCACAATTACCACACAGAGTCTGCCACTACCCATGGCTGAGAGCTCTAGTTCTTCCCTGAAGCCACCAGGACAGATGAACAGTGGCTTCCCCCTTTTGGCTGACTCAGCTGCCTTTCATCAGCTCATCTGCTCCTAGGATCCACTCTGCCTCTGGCTGGCACCTGATCTGAGCCCCAGGCTCACACCTCTGCCCACAGGCCCCAGCAGCTGCTTCACCTCTGACTCCATCCCCCACCAAGCACTGCCCCTCACCAGCTACTGGGGTGCCACTAGTGCCCCTACATGGTGCTCCCTCTCTAGACCCTTGGGTCCAGCTGTAGCTTCCTTCTGGAAGCCACACCCCAAGACCCCAGCCCTGCTCTAGGGACCTGTATCCCCAACTTCCTGCATCCTTCTCCCTCCTTCTGGGAACATGAACTTGCCCCACCAGCCTGATGACTCCTGGAGGGCAGGACACCAGGGCCCTGGACCATGGCAGGCCCGGGAGTGTCTGCTGACAGTGATGCTGGAGCTGGTGCCCATGTCCACATGATGTCCATAGCACAGTGGCCACCTGAGGCTGGGCGCATCTGAGTGGTGACTGCAGAGTGGGGCCCTTACCTCTCCCTGAGTGAAGTTCACCAGGTCCTCCCCTGTGAACTGCCCCCAAACTCACATTCCTGTTCTGTGCCTTTGCCAGGAATGTTCCTTTTGCCTGGAATACCACTCCCCATTCCCTGCTCCAGATGGCCTGTGCTCTTCAGAGCCCAGCCCAAACACTGCCTCCTCCCATGAGACCTTCCTGATGCCAGATCTGCTGGCTCACCGTGGGCCCCACGCTCAGATGCAGACCAGAAGGGTCTCCGAAATGAGCAGTGTGGGAGAGTAAGGCTGAGAGTGGGCAAGGACTGGCCTGAGGTCACAGGGCATGTCAGTGAGATCTCTGGAAGGCCTGTGGCTGGTCTGTGGGGTTCTGTGGGGTTCCTGGATGAGCAGAAGCCCTTGACAGACCCTCCTAGTCCTGGTCTGGGCTCTGAGAAAAAAGCAGGGTACACAGGGGTCTGAGGGGCAGTGGCCTGTCTCCACGGCCAGCAATCCCAAAAGTTCAGGACCCGTGATGCCTTCCCAGGGAACTGACTGCAATGCAGATTCTCGGGCTCCACTTCAGAGATTCTGTAGGGCTGGGTGGGGTCCAGGAATCTGCATGCTCAGCCATGCCATGGACATGAGTGGGCACCACCTCTAGAGGCACACACAACTCCCCGGAGGATGGGTGTACAGCAAGCTCCCCAGAAACTCTTGGGAACACAACATATATGGGAGCACATCTGAGGCACGTGCACACACGCAACCTGGGACCACCACAGGCACAGCCCAAGTCACATGTGTTCCCGGCAGGGAGGCTGGGAGGAAGGCCCTCTACCTGGTCCACACCCCCACTCACCACCCCCAGCTCCTCACCTCCAGCTGGTCCCTTCTGATCTCAGCTGCCTCTCCCAGGAAGATGTAGATCTTCTTGTGCCAGGCCAGCTTCAGTGGGGCTAGTGGGCCCTCTAGGGCAATGGTCACTTGTAGAGTGCACCGTGTGCACTGTCTGTGTGCACTGGCCCCACATCCATTGAGAAGGCCCCACATCCATTGAGAAGGCCCCACATCCATTGAGAAGGCCAGGGTGTTGCGGGAGCTGAGGCTGCCATTGTGGCCAAAGAGAACGGCCCCAACCAGCAGGTCCTTCTGGGCGAAGGCTGTGCTGGCTGAGTGGCCTGGAGCAACTGTCCCCAGCAAGGGCTGTCTGTGATGTGGTAGTGGACCTCATCCCCACTGCGGATGTCGAGGTTGGTGCCCAGGTGGAGCTCGGCCATATTGATGGTACCCTGGTCTCCTTGAGGGACCTTGAGGCCGGAGCCATTGGCCACATAGAGGTAAGGCTCCAAGGCCTGCACCTCCAGCACCAAGATGGCCTGGTGCTGCCTGTCGGACACATGCAGCAGGATCCAGCCATGGTCAGCCTGAGTGCGTGAACAGGACTCGCCTCTTCCTGAGGCCCCTCCTGGATGAAGCAGAAGATGGGCTGCATGGGCTCATCCGTGGCCATGATACTGCCAGACAGGAGGTCCTTGTGGGTCAGCACCAGCTGGGCATCCACAAAGCCTGAATCAGCATTGCTGAAGGCCATGTTGTGTGGAGTCAGCAGCTGCCACCTACCCCAGGCCACATGGAAGACGCAGCTGATGCTCTGCACAGGGGCGTGGTCATTCACAGTCTGGATGGCCACTCAGAAGACACCCCGTACCTCCTCCCAGGCCACATCACCACTGCTCTGGTCCTGGTGGCAGCAGCAAATGGCATATCATCTTCCGTGATCTTGGAGTCATCATGCTGCTAGACCGGCTGGCCATGCAACAGATCTCCATTGGTGAAGGAAGTCACCATAGTGGTCTTGTCCTGTGCCCCACACCAAGTCAACCTCCCATGGCGGGGCCACTACATGGCCTCATAGAGGTACCTGGCACTGTTGAGGCTCTTGACGAAGAGCTGGTCAGCAGAGAGGACACACCCACCACCCTCGGGCACCAAGAGGACATTGGTGAGGACAGGCATGTCTGGGTCACCGCCAGTATGGATGGAGAAAGTACAGAGTGGGGAGAAATATAGTGGAGCTGTGACATGGAAACAGAAGGTGTCCTCCACTGCCACTGAGGCATGTGCCATGGCCCTATAGGTCACCTCTCCAGCCTGTACATCATCCTGGGTGAAGCCCTGACCATCTGACAGTGTCGTGCCCTGTAGTTGAAGGTTGCCTTTCCTGGGAGCCTGAACCACCTCAGAGTGGAAGGTTGGGGGGCTTGGGCCTGCCTCTTCCAGGGTGGCCTCCAGGTGGGCTGTGGTGAGGGCCTCTGCTGGGTGTTGAGTGTGCAGTGGCCGCAGCTGCAGCATCCACACAGTGGCTCTCTGGATGGTCACTAGGAAGGACAGATTGCTCAGGATTTCCCAGCTCACCTGCACCTGCAGATCCAGGTTCTTCACGGTGTCCTCGGCATAGTGCTGTGGGTTAGTGCTCAGGTACCTCATGTGGCCCTGCTCCACATCCTGCTGGTGGAATGACTGTGTGGCCCACCACTCAGCACCCTCCACCCCACCAGCCCCCTGCTTCTGCACCTCCCTGAACTGCAGGCCTCTGGTGACACAGAACAACACAGTCACATCCTGCCCCACGGTGCTGGTCTCCACCGACAGGTTGGTAGGCAAGATGGGCATGGCAGAGTCCTGGGCCAGATGCAGCCCTGTGCTGCAGTGGATCTGTATGGCCGGCTGGATGGCCACCACCTTCAGCATGGACGGGGGGCTGGCCTGCAGTCCATTGCTGACCCGGAACGTCAAGTCCTATGCAGGGCCACTGCAGTGGACATAGACTAGGCTGTCGGCCTCCAACTCCCAGCAGGAGAACTGGGTCACCGGCTCCCCAGCCTGGTCTCAGTGCTCCACAGGGAGGCCAGAGGAGGTGCCAAGGAGCTGGAAGGTGAGGCCCTCACAGGCAGAGTCCAGGTCATAGGCCTGGAAAACCTCAGGCCCCAGAGGCTTCTGTGTGTGTTCCAGGATCACCATAAGGCTGCCACATGGGAAGATGATACGGGGTGGGTCATTGACAGGGTTGACCTGGATGGGCAGGAGGTCAGTTTGGCCCCTCCGCAGGCATGAAGGCATGGGCACCCAAGCCATCACCAACACCTCCAGCACCAGGGCCATCATGGATGAAGCAGACCTTGCAGTTCACCATGTCCAGGAGGGTGAACATTTCTCATGCCTGGGCACCCAGGATGTCCAGCTCGAGTTCACTGTAGTGTGCCCCTCAGGTCACGCTGAACAGCACCTGGGATTTATGCAGTTCAGCCTCCATCAGGGCCAGCATGGGCTGCACATGCCACCACTCGGCTGTGCCACCCTCGGTCACCACCACTGGGCTGATAGTCAGCAGCTGGGTGAAATTGGTAAAGACAGGAGGCAGCCCTGGCTCAAGCATGCATGGCTCAGCTAGATCCATGGACAGCCAAGCCCTGGGGGCCAGGGTGGAGAAAGCTTCATAATGGCCATAGGTATTGTCCTCATACTCCTCCACCTCCTCCAGTCTGCAGCCTGCCGCCATGTTGTGTGTCAGCAAGGCTTCCCGAAGCCCCCACCTCTGGCCATTGACACTGAGGTCTTCCATACAGCCAGCCCAGCAGGGAGGCATTGGCGGCCCCTGGTGTCAGGCCTCAGTGGTGTTCCTGGAGGGGATGAGAGGCCTCTGCAACCAGCTCCCCAAGAAGGAGACTGTCACATGGCTCCAGGCAGCTGAGGACTCCTCGGTTCAAAGTACGTGTGGGGTACTGGTCCATGGAGATTTCTAGCTGGTGAGTGTTGATGTGGATGCTGACCTTGAGGGTCTGCACGTCAGCCACAAGCACACTGTTGAGGAGCAATACAGTACCCTGGCCCTTCTCGACCATGAACCACAGGTGGCCCTCAAATATGTCCACATGGATGAAGTCCCCATGCCAGCCCGCTGCCTGGAAGGTCAAGGGTGCCTGCCAGATCTGTGTGGTGAGTGCCAACTCCAGGGTTCCTTTGTTCTGAGTGCCCCAGGCAGGGAAGGCAGCCAGAGAGTGGGGCCCAGAGAAGCCCAGGGCCACATCGTCACTGGTGGAAAACTCTTCAGCACAGCCCTCATGCATATCGGGGGTCAGAGGCCGGAGGAGGCTGTGGCCATTGAGAGTGGCTGCATGGAGGCAACCCCTCAGGGGATGGCTGGTTCCCCTCAGGTAGGGCAGGCCAAGGCTCCCAGTGTTCCCAACAAAGAGCCCATAGGGGACCTCTAGGGGGGCTCCCAGGACTACAGAGGAGGCATTCAGAAACCCATTGACTGACAATGTGGGCCAGCCCTCTGAGACAGTCAGAACTGTAGTGTAGGGGATGGAGTCACTCAGCAGCATTTCTGCTGGGATCTGCAGCCTCAGCTCCTCCTGGCCCAGGACAACCCTGACCTGAGGAGAGACAGGGAATGGGAGATGGGGGGCAGCACTTTGAATCCATCATTTCCCTTATAAAAGCACAGTGGGTTCCCCACAGTTGGGTCCCCAGAGCAGAAAACCTAGGACAAGGGCCTCTGGTGCCACTCCTCTTGCCTTCCTGCCATCTCTTTATTCATCCTCCAAACACTCACCAAAGGAAACTCTGGGCCAGGCCTGGATGGGCTCTGGGGACCCTGATGTGAATCAGATGTGGTCCTTGCCCACAATGAACTGACATATAGCAAGATGCTCTTCTAGAAACCCAACCTGTATTTTTAAATTCTCCTCCTCTTTCCTTGAGAGAGAAGCACCAGAAATATTGTCTTGGAATCTAGATTTCACCCCTGGAATAATGGGTAACTGAGAATCCCTTGATCAGTCCCCCTAAGTTTGGCAAAGTTTCTTGAGGTCACTGAAGGAAGCCAGGCTAACTGTTCAGGGATAGGGAACCCAGGCAGATGCTCTGTGTTCTGAAAAAAAAGCTCCCTGTCCTGTGGGGGAGGAAGATCTCAAGGAGAGATGAAGGACATAGTTCTGTCACCATGACATTGACACAAGAAATGGCTCTGGTGTGGTGCTCCCAGGTGCTAGAATAGGTGATGGCAGAGTACGGGAACTGCAGAACCAGAACACTAAGAACCATGATCTTGGAATCCTGGTATGGTGCATCTCTGTAGGGATGTGGCACCACTGTACCCACAGAGCTCAACAGCCATCAGTGCCAGACTGCACCACATAGGTGTTCAACAGTGACACTTGTGGCAGTGAGCAGCAATGACAGCAGCAGACTGACCAAGCCCTAGTCCTCTTCCCACTGGGGTGCGGAAGGAGATGGCTGCCCCAAATTTGTTAATTTTTTTTTTCTTTCTAAAATAGATATGGAGTCTCATTGTGTGGCTCAGGCCAGTCTTGAACTCCTAGGCTCAAGTGATCTTCCCACCTTGGTCTCCCAAAGTGGTGGGATTATAGGCATGAGCCACTGCACCCAGCTTGCCCCAAATTTGCACTAAGACCCTGGGTTCTTAAACTCTTTATGGTATGGGGGAAGACTCAAGAAGGAGCCACAAGACTCCTTGATAATAAAGCTTGTGGTGTCTTGAAGGATGAAATGGAAAAATGAAGCTGAGGCAGTACTGGTGCTGTTACTGTCATGGACAGACAGTGGTGCTGCAGAGAAATTGGTGCAGTGCCACCGGGAAGCACAGGGGTCATGGGGGCCCAGGAGGGGGCCTTGCCCAGGAGGAGGGGATGCCCACACTGAAACTTCAAGGAGAGGCTAGAGTTAGGCAGGTGCAGGGAATGGGTGGGGCACACACCTGGCAGGAGGAGTGTGATGACCAAAGGACTGGCAGCAAGTGACCATAAGATGGCCAGGAACTGAAAGCAGTTCAGTGCAGTCAGAGCACAAAGGCCAGTGAGGGCTTGTGGTGGGAAACATGGTTGGAGGGAGCTGGTGAGCAGAGCCAGTTCATGAAGGATTTACCATTTCTGAGCTGCTGCTGCCCATCCCACAGTAGAGAACTTGAAACCCCAAGAAAGGTGACTTACACAAGGTCACACAGCCAGCTGGGGTTCACTCAAAGCTGGACAAGGAATCTCACCCTCACTCACCTGCAGGTGTCCAGAGTAGAGCTGCAGCAGGAGGTGGTCAGCTGGGCCTGCTGCCAGGAGAAGGAGGGCTTCGGGTTGGGACGTGGAGAACTGCAGTTGCAGGTCTATGTCAGTCAGAGCCATGGCCACAGTCACCTCCAGGTGGTTCTCACCAAAGAAGGAAGCTGTGTGAGAGAGGGAGCTGTGGTCAAGGCTCAGATTCTTGCCTGGAGGAGGCGAGGTGCTGCAGGGAGGGATGGGTGGGTTGCAGAAAGGGGTCCGTGCTGGTGCACCCTCATGGTTCTGCTATATGTTGCTGTCTCTGAGCACTGCCCAGATCCCCACATTTCCTTGGTCCTGGCACCAGAAGGCACAGCCTCACCTTGTGTCCAGCCCAGACCTTGACTTTGCAGGAGGTCAGACCCAGAAATTCCCAGCAACTCAGGTCTCCTTCTTGGAGGTTCCTGGAGCCAGAGGCCTCTGCCAGTTCTGACTTGCATCCCCTGGGCCCCAGAGGAGTCTCCCTCCCAGGTCTGGCTCCCCGACCTGGCTGAAAGGGAAACATCACTGGCCTGATCACCTGGCTTGGTGGTCACAGCCCTGAGGAATGGAGTTTCTGGAGAATCACCCCCAGGCCAGATTGATCCCTGCTCAGATTCCTTCTCCTAAGTGCCCTTGTGCTTGGGCTCCTGTGCAGCAACTGCTGTGCCATGCCTCGCCTCCATGCATTGGCTGGGGCCATGGCTGGTATCTGGGGGTGATGTCAGTGTGGCCCACCTATCCCCACTTCTCCCTCAGGCCATTCTTCCAGCTGCCATTGAGGGTGGGGGCTGGAGCTTATTGGCCTGAGTTTGCCAAGGAGTAAAGGCTCTGAGGCCAGATGGGGACCATATGCAGTGTCAAACCAAAGTGGGCCCACACTTCCTCCATTACCCCTGCTGTTGCTTCCTGCTGGAGAGCTATTCACAGTCCCCACTGAGCAGTCAGATCCGGCCCCATTGTTTCCACCTTGGCCAAGGAACCAGGGATGAGAACAGCTGAGCTCCCAACTTCCCCAGGCCACCACTCAGTCTGAGGCTGAATACAGGGCCTAGGAGGGGCTGAGGGTCTGCTGGGCAGGCCAAAGATGGCCTCTCCAGGCAGAAGGCCATGTCTGGGCTTGCCTGGGGTTAGTGGTTCTTGTGCAAGGCCCGTTCTGTCCCACACTGGGACTCCTCCTCTTTTGAGTTGCTGCTTCCTCCAGGCAGTTTCCCCAAATTAGCCTCCCTGACTTCCAACCCACTGCCATAATTTCTGGTCTATGCCTTTTGTGGTGACAAGAGCCAGATATAACTTTGACTTTGCCTGCAGTTGTCCAGGGCTGGGGGGCAGACAAACACAGGTTAAAAACCGTGATTCATCCCTGTTGGGTTTCCCTCAAACCCCAAGAACAAGCACAGGCTGATGGCCTTGATGGGGTGATCCAGCACCGGCCTCACATGCACTGGTCCCTAGCCAGCCTGAGCCAGCTGCCATCTGCTCGAGGAAGTAGCTTCAGCCATTGGAGGAGTTGGAGGTCTCTATGCCCTAAGGGCAGCCAGCCCCACCTGGAGGGATATCAAGGAAAGATCCCGTAAGAGCCCCTCGGGTTGAGTTAAATCCCCTCTAGTTATCCCCTCCTCCTGCCAGCACTGCTGGCAACACCAGCACCTTGGCTGGGAAGCTAAGGGAATCAAGCAAGCCCCACAGACCATCTGTGTGGGGGTGGCCCAGCAGTCTCAGCAGGCACAGCACAGCTTGGTGCCAGCAAGAGACAGACCAGGGAACTGCAGGTGGTGACCTACTGGGGTGCCTTATCTGCAAAGACATTGATTCCTAAGAGCAAAACACAGCACACTAAAGTGAGGGAGGCCATAGCACAAGGGGTGGGGACACATGGCCCTGCAGGATGGAGCCACCACAGTCACCAGCTGGAACGGCTCACAGCAGTGGCCAGGAGCCAACTGTTGAATTTTCAGGAATTTTGAGAGCCATGTGATACTGCCCACAGTGGGAATATTTATACCAGGAAAAGAGGCAAATACTGAAAATCAGGGTTCCCTCTCCCCAAGAAAGCCCATTGCTAAACATTTACCTACCCAGCACCCACAGGGAAGGGGGCACATCTCCCTGTGCCTACCCACCTGTGTTAGTCAGGGTTCCCTAGAGGGATAGAACTAATAGGAGATATAGACAGATATAGATATAAATATAGATATATAGATATATAAAGGGGAGTTTATCAAGTATTAACTTACACAATCCCAAGGTCCCACAATAGGCTGTCTGCAAGTTTGAGGTGCAAGGAGAGACAATCTGAGTCTCAAAACTGAAGAACGTGGAGTCCGATGCTAGAGGGTAGCAAGCGTCCAGCGTGGGAGAAAGATGAAGGCTGGGAGGCTAGGCCAGTCTTGCCTTTTCATGTTTTTCTGCCTGCTTTATATTCACTAGCAACTGATTAGAAAGATGGTGCCCACCAGTATTAAGGGTGGGTCTGCCTTCCCCAGCCCACTGGCTCAAATGTTAATCTCCTTTTACAACGCCCTCACAGACACACCCAGGAGATCAATACTTTGCAGCCTTCAACCGAATCAAGTTGACACTCAGTATTAACCGTCACACCACCCTTGCACTAAAGGTATACATACACCCACTAAGGCATGGTCAACATCAGGGATCTGGGCCAGACAGGAACTGAAGCAGATGGTTGGCCCTAACCACTGAACCACCTGCCTGTGGCCCCCTCCCAGCAGAAGAGAGTAGAGGCTGTTTGGCCAGAGTGGAATGGTGGCAGGAAGCAGAGGTATTTTCTGGAGTGCTGGGGTCTGAATCAGTCCATTGAGGCTGGGCCCTCCTGCTTCCTGTAGGGCTAAGCGGGAGAAGCTCACAGAGGCTGCCTTGTGCTGCTGGAGCGCATAGCCAGGGAGGCCCCCACCCCAACAGAGGCCTCTGATGCCTTGCTGGCCAGGGCTTTGGAAACTCTGACAGCGCTGCTTCCCTCATTTCCTAATCTCCTTTTTCTGACCCTCTTACACTCTCTGAGGGGCTGCAGTTGCAGGAACCCAGAATCTCTGTCTTGGAGGTGGTGGGGCGGTGGGGGGCAGTTGAAGAGGGGCTTTGAATGGAGAGGGTCTGCACAATAAAGATGTAATAAGCTAGGAGTCAATCCAGAGGACTTCCTGGAGGAGGTGATGGTGGTGTAGAGTCACAGAGAGGGAGGAATAGGCAGTCTCAGAGGACAGCAGCAAGGCCAAGTGAGAGACTGGCAGAGTTATACAGGTCCCCGTTGGGTGGGGTGAAGAGGGTTCATGCTCCCTCACCCCGCAGAGCCTCTGGCTTATCACAGGATAAGAGCCAGCTAAGCTCCAGAGGCTTTCCAGGAAAAGTGTCTCTTGGAAAGAGTGTGACCTTTTCATTGGTCCTGACAGCACCCTAGAAATGGCTTGGTCTTCTCCCTCCCGTGAGCTCCACAGAGAACACAGCCAGCATAGGACACATTCCCTGTCATCCAGAAATGGGTTTGATTCTCAGCCAAGGGACAGCAGGACTGGTAGAGACTGTCAGGCCACACAGCTGCCTACACAGCACCCCCATGCTTGGTGGGGGGTGGGAGGGATGGCGGGGGCTGGCTGTCCACAGGCCGGGCATGACAGGGAGGCTCACTGGAAGTGGTGCACTTTGGAGGGGCAATGTCAGGGGAGAGCTTCCTCTTGTTGGGCCACAAGACTCCACAAGGACAGCACGGTGACTGATTCCCAGTGCTAGAGGCGAGGCAATCGGCCATGTGTAGGTGTATGTGTGTGTGTGTGTGTGTCTATATACACACACATATATGTGTATATATATATGAGGGTGTGTGTATGTGTGTGTATATATAAATTATTTATTTAGATGGAGTCTTGCTCTGTTGCCCAGGCTGGAGTGCAGTGGCACAATCTCGACTCACTGAAACCTCTGCCTCCTGGGTTCAAGCAATTCTCCTGCCTCAGCCTGCCGAGTAGCTGGGACTACAGTCACCTGCCACCACATCGGTCTAATTTTTGTATTTTTAGTAGAGATGAGGTTTCACCATATTGGCCAGGCTGGTCTCAAACGCCTGACCTTGTGATCTGCCTGCCTCAGCCTCCCAAAGTGCTGGGATTACAGGTGTGAGCCACAGCACCCAGCTATTTACAGATATTTATAGAATATGACCTCAACTATTTAAACATATCTGTAAGGGTATAAGTACTTTGATAACAAAGAAGCAATACATACTGATAGAAACTAGCTATCATGTCAACAGTGGTTATATTAGGTAGAGAAATTATGTGAGATTATTTTTTTTATATTTTACTAATCTTCTCAATAACGGTTGCTTATAAGTTTTATAATCAAGAAAAAAGGTTTCTAAAGTTTTTGCAAAATGGAAAGTTATGCCTCTTTATATACTAAACACAAAAACAAAACTTCCTATTTGAATACCTTTGACTTTTACTGCAGACTTACAGACCCTTGAAAGAAAAGGCAATTCCCTCCCACTAGTTCTGGTGTCATTCTCCCCATCTCTCCCTTCACTTCCACCTTGGTCTTTTTTCTACTTCCCACCTTGGCTAGTGGTCTCCACCCAAAATGCTTGCTTGGCTTAATGGTTAGAATTCAGGGAAAAAGAGATCCCTAATTGCTAATCTAAACTAAGATTATACAAGTGGGAAATAATAAAGAGAAACCAGGTAGTAAATAAGATTTGGAGGACTTAAAATACCCAGACTTTAATTCCTCTAAGTTTATAGTTTTTAATCATGTTTTTATATAATATTATCACTTAACATTTAATTTCTAAATATAATGTTTATGAGAAAAAGAGAAAATAGCTTGGTTTCTTTCCTCACCGAACTGCTGTTGTCCTTAGTATCTTCTAGACGTTCCAGAACTGATGTCAGATTTGGCTCATCAGAGTCCACAGACCTTATCGGTGAAGAAGATGAATAGGATTCCTGTTTAAACCAGAGACACCTATGTTAAATGTTTACATACAGACTAACCCAAATATGCGATTAAACCACACCACTAAATGGCAAGATGACCATGGATTGAAACAAAATGTATGGGGGAAAAGGCAACACATTAAAACCCATGTGAGGAGCTGGACTTCTGAGACAGCCATTCTCCTTGCATAGCACTGTCTGCTGCCACAGCTCATAGAAGTCAACAATTTTCTTTAAGAATGGTAGGCAGCCTCTAAATGGCCCTGATCACCATCACCTCCTGCCATTCACACCCTTGTAAAATTCCACCCCTGGACCTAGTGACTCGCTTCTAACAAAGAGAATACAGCAAAAGTAACATCACTTCTGAGGTGAGGCTACAAAGAGACTACGATGCCTGCCTTGGTCACCCTTCTCCTGCTCTTTCCATTGCTCCCTCTGATGGAAGCCAGTTGCCATGTGATGAGGTGCCCTATGGAGAGGCCCACATGACAAGGTATTGTGAAAGGCCTCTGACCAATAGCCATCTAGAAACAGAGGCCCAGTCCAGCAGCCTCTGAGATGAATCCTGCCAACCTGAGCTTGGAGACAGATTCTCTCCCTATCCTGCCTTGGGATGATCACAGCCACCACCAGCATCTTCACTGCCTGGTGAGAGACCAAGCCAGTGAACCCAAGGTAAACTAGACAGAATCCTGACCCACAGAAACTGAGATAATGTTTGTTATTTTAAGCTGCTAAATTTGTTACAGAGCAATAGATAACTAACTCAAACACCATAAAATTCTAATATTTTATTCTATCACACAAACCAAGTAATACCAACTAAATGCCATTACTATACATATATTTTTGTAACACAATTACATGTGATTTTTTTAAAAAGCTAATGAACTATGCATTATGTGCTTTCACCCACTAACAGACATTCCCGCTGTTACTCTGTACTGTTCTCTATTATAAATTGGGGAAAAACCATTATTATTATATATTAGCTTCAGAATAACTAGGTTCAAGTCACAGAAAACAATTTTGCACAAACAACTTTAGGCAACACTGCTTTGAAAACTGTAATCTGAATTAAAGCTGAAGCCACAGAAACCAAATATTTACTGAAGGTTCCTTTTTAAGAAAAACAAGATGGGCCGGGCACGGTGGCTCGCGCCTCTAATCTCAGCACTTTGGGAGGCCGAGGTGGGCGGATCACGAGGTCAGGAGATTGAGACCGTCCTGGCTAACACGGAGAAACCCCATCTCTACTAAAAAAATACAAAAAAAATTAGCTGGGCGCACTGGCGGGTGCCTGTAGTCCCAGCTACTCAGGAGGCTGAGGCAGAGGAATCACTTGAACCTGGGAGGCAGAGGTTTCAGTGGGCTGAGATGTCCACTGCACTCCAGGCTGGCGATAGAGCAAGACTCCATCTCAAAAAACAAAAAAAAAAAAAAGAAAAACAAGTTGTATTGGTGGAGGACATCATTAACAGTATATCTCTTCAATAATGGTTTATTTTACTATTCTCATTCTTCTCATTCCCCTCTTACTGTGTTCCAAATCTCTTTACAGGCTAAAAGAAACTCTTCAGAATTACTTCTATTCTTTTTTTTCTTTTTTTTTTTTTTTTTTTTTTTTTTTTGAGACCGAGTTTCGCTCTTGTTGCCCAGGCTGGAGTGCAGTGGCACGATCTCAGCTCATCACAACCTCCACCTCCCGGGTTCAAGCAATTCTCCTGACTCAGCCTTCCAGAGTAGCTGGGATTACAGGCATGTGCCATCATGCCCCACTAATTTTGTATTTTTAGTAGAGATGGGGTTTCTCCATGTTGGTCAGGCTGGTCTCGAACCCCTAATCTCAGATGATCCGCCCACCTCAGCCTCCCAAAGTGTTGGGATTACAGGCATGAGCCACCACACCCAGCCAATCCTATTCTTAAAGAACACCACTTACTGAGTATTGCATTTTCTTCTATAAATTCTTCAGCATACACTGAGAATACACCATATGGACTATTTTTACGCTTTTAATTTTGTTTTTTTTTTTTTCTTTTGGCTAAGGAAATTGCAATTAGATTTAGGACTTCATTCTGTTAGGTTAGTATTTGTCTAGTAAACTTCAGCATAAGCAAAATAAAATATGTGTTGTTGCTCTGGACTGAAACCCCTCAAAACCATATTTTAAAAATTACAAAAAAAAATTAACTGAAATCAAGTTTTTAAAAACCTTGTAGATGAAAAGATATGATATCTAGTACGTCTAAGTACCTTTTTCAATGGTTCCCAAAGTGCGGCCCTCAGACCCCCAAGTCCAAACTATTTTGACAGGAATACTAACATGGTGACATTTGCTGTAAGTGTGCAAATACAATGGTGGGTAAAAATGTTGGTACTTTAGCACAAACAAAGGCAGTAACACCAAACTACTAGTAGTCATGGTATTCTTCACTATGCACAGGAAAGGTTTAAAAAGGAAGGGCGGGTGGGGCATGGTGGCCTACGTCTGTAATCCCAGTGCTTTGGGAGGCTGAGGTAGACGGATCACCTAAGGTCAGGAGTTTGAGACCAGCTTGGCCAACATGGTGAAACCGCATGTCTACTAAAAATACAAAAATTAGCTCGGTGTGGTGGTGCATGCCTGTATTCCCAAATACTTAGGAGGCTGAGGCAGGAGAATCACTTGAACCTGGGAGGCAGAGGTTGCCTTGAGCTGAAATTGCACCTATGTAACTCCAGACTGGGCAACAGAGCAAAACTCCGTCTCCAGAAATAAAAATAAAAAGGAAGGGCAACAAAAGGTCAGTTTCATTTAAGAATGTCTATGATAAGGTTGGGAATTTTGGCTCATGTCTATAATTCCAGCACTTTGGAAGGCCCAGGCAGGGGGATCACTTGAGCCTGGGAGTTCAAGACCTGCATGGGCAACCTGGTGAAACCTCATCTCTACAAAAAATACAAAAATTAGCTGAACACAGTGGCTGCATGCCTGTAGTCCCAGCGTCTTGGAAGGCTGAGGCAGGAGGATTGACGGAACCCAGAAAGTTGAGGCTGCAGTGAGCTGTGATCATGCTACTGCACTCCAGCCTCGGTGACAGAACAAGGCCCTATCTCAAAAATTTAAAAAAAAAAGAATGTCTATGATGAAGCAGTGAATATTCTACTAAATCTAAATCCTTGAGTATATCTTTTTAATATTTCAAGTGATGAAATGGGAAGTATACATGAGCATTCCTACAGGCTGCCTGAGAAAAAAAACACTTGAGTGACTAAGTCATGAAGTTAATTAACCACTTTAATGGAATACCATTTTTACTTGAAAGGCTGACTGACAAAAAATGTTGTTTTAACTTGCATTTCTGGAAGATATTTTCTCAAAAAATGAGATGCTGTCATTTCAAGGAAAACAACAGACAGGCTATAATAAAATTCAATAACAAAATTACTAATAAAATTCAAGCTTTTGAAGAAAAAATCAGAATTTTAGAAAACCTATGTCCACCATTGCTTTCCGAAAGTATTCTGATGAGATTGATGGTGGTATTGATGAATGTATTTCGATACTGTACAATCAAATGTATCAATATGTAGAAGATCTTATTGAACCACTATTTTATAAGTAACCAATGCACGATGTTGTAATATCATGCAAGGGTGGAAGATCCAAAGTTCAAGAAAAACGAAGATTTGATGGAGTATCAAAAAAGAAGCCTAGGCAACATGGCAAAACCCTGTCTCTACAAAAAATACAAAAAGTTAGCCAAGTGTGGTGGTACACACCTGTAGTCCCAGCTACTCTGGAGGCTGAGGTGGGAGGATCACCTGAGTCCCCGGAGACTGAGGCTGCAGTGAGCTGTGATCACACGACTACCTTCCAGCCTGGGCAACAGGACAAGACCTCATCTCAAAAAATATATATATATCCACAATGATCTAAAATGGTTATCTGTATGAGATTGGCCTTTGTTCACATTTTTTTCAAGAAAATATCACACAATAAATTGAATGCAGAAGCAAACTGACATATCAATTTGCTAATGACATGTCAAACATCATGCAAATGACATATCAAACATCAAAAAAATTTGCAAAAGATGTAAGACTGTACTACTTTGGGTTTAGAAATTTTCTTTTCATAAAAGCATTTATAACAATATGTGGTGAGCTTTTAAAGAATATTTTAAATATTTCTGATTTAATTTCTAGTGATAAATACAAATAGATATACCCTACATAAACCAAAGCTCCTTGGGCCCTCAATGTATTTTTAAGAGTGTAAAGGAATACTGACCCAAAAACTTGGAGAACTGCTGCCTTCCCCTCCACTTTCTTCCTTCCCTAGAATCTCTTCCTTGGAAGAAACATCCCTTTGCCATTCTATATTAACTTACATAGTTCCACTGAGGCAAGTTTTGCTACCTCCCTCCCATCTTTCCACCTCTCTTTCAACACAAAGCCTGACCAAAGGATTCTACCAGCCCACCCCATTTCCAGTGATTAGCTGTCAGGTGGGCTAAGCCAAACAAATCTGGGTTTTCCCTGAGACTAGACCTCTCTTTCTGGGAGAGATGGAATCACAGGGACAAGGTTGGCCACCTTGGGGTAGTGAGAATTCATCCTGCCTAAACAGGGAGAATTCAAACAAGTTTCTCGAAATCCAAACTACTTTCTAGAAAGTCAAAGATAATTATATTTTTTGCCATGACTGTAAGAATGCCCATTTCATTGCACACTTTCTAACATTTTTACCAATCTGATAAATAAAAGCTGGTACTGAGATGAAAAAAAGGCTGGGCACAATGGCTCACACCTGTATTCCCAACACTTTGGGAGGCTGAAGTGGGCAAATCACCTGAGGTCAGGAGTTCAAGACCAGCCTGGCCAACATGGTGAAACTCCGTCTCTACTAAAAATACAAAAATTAGCCAGGCATGGTGGCATGCACCTGTAATCTCAGCTACTCGGGAGGCTGAGGCAGGAGAATTGCTTGAACCTAGGAGGTGGAGGTTGCAGTGAGATCACGCCATTGCACTCCAGCCTGGGCGACAAGAACAAGACTTCATCTCAAAAAAAAAAAAAAAAAAGAAAAAAAAGTTCCCATACAATATAATTTCTTCCATCTCTGGAAACAAATTCAGCAATGAGAACTGAAAGTCACCACGTGGAAGGTTTCAAGGATTTAGGTCTACCTACTCATGTCTAAAGCATTAGTTAAGTTACAAAAAAATACGCACACACAAGTGCACGCACACACACACATACCCGTATGCATTCAGTACCAGAAAACATGACTGACTACATGGTACAGTCATCCAACAGAAAGCACACAATAACTGAAGGCAATGTAGAGGAGTAAATTATAACATGGATCTACAATACTGTTGAGTGAAAAAGCAGATTACAAACAAATATCTGATTTTTAAGGGAGAGGAAACATATACAAGCACAGGAGAAAAGAGCAGATGACTGGAAAGATACAAATTTCTGACAGTGGCACCTGCTGAGTGGTAGAATTACATAGGTAGTATTTTCTAGTTTTGCCTAAAAGTTTTCTAAATTTCTTAAAATAAGAAGGTTTTGTTGTTCATATTACAAAATATCCATCACCCCAGGAAATTTAACCTTCGGCACAAACTCTACAACATGTTCAAAGTTTGTTCAGTTTAATATTTAAGAGACAATCTATTTTGAAAGACATTTAAAATGACCAATATTTAAACCTATGCATTAATATTTTTCAATCACGTTTTAAATTTTGTAATTTTGATAAGTTTTAGATCCATCTTGAAAAGATAAATTTTCTGTTTGTCTTTAAAATATTACCTACAATATGCCTGTTTTTAAACAGTTAATGGTGCTCAAAAATCACAATATAAATTCAGGCAGTGTTCCTTATATAGAATGTGTAAGTGCTTCTAATACTGCTCTTTTTCACCAGTTATGAAAACACAGAACAATTATCTAAGCATCTAATTATTCAGGTCCTTTGTTTCTCCTCCATTCTGCTGGTTTTATACTAATTTCAAGGCCTGTGAGGATGAAGTTGTCTGTGACAGCTACCACAAAGGTTACTATAAGCAGACAAATTTCCAGCAAGTTTATCACCACTACCATCCCCACCATAAAACGGTCTCAAGCAAGGGCAACACAATTGAAGGTTAGTCAAGACAACCTCTTTACCTGTCACTGCTTAAGAAAAGGATTTTTTGGTCTTATTTAGAAATAACTTTATCTATTTTTCTCCATAATTCCACCGAGACCAATGTGTGCCTCTATCTCAAGCACCAGCAAGCAAAACTGCCTGCCAGTATGTTCAGTTTTTGTATCTTTCCAAATGTAGGGCACAGCTATCTTTTGATATCATAATTTTTTGAAAACTGATGCACAAACTTCTTCTTGAAAGTTCAGCCAGGTGCAGTAGCTCACACCTGTAATCTCAGCACTTTGGGAGGCTGAGGCAGGCAGATCACGAGGTCAGGAATTCAAGACCAGCCTGGCCAACATGGTGAAACCTGTCTCTACTAAAGCTACAAAAATTAGCCAGGTGCGGTGGCAGGTGCCTGTAATCCCAGCTACTCAGGAGGCTGAGGCAGGAGAATTGCTTGAACCTGGGAAGCAGAGGTTCCAGTAAGCCAAGATTGCACCACTGTACTCCAGCTTGGGTAATAGAGTGAGACTCCATCTCAAAATAAAAAATAAAAAAAAGAATTTCAGATATAAAGCAGTTGTAATTCTTCTGAAGGCTGCTTATGGGACACATTACTTTCATACTTTGCTGTTCAATAAATGTGGGGTGGAGAATAAAGTAAATTGAAAGAATTACCATATAAAATAAAATTCGAAGTCCTCTGACAACAAAAGAAACTTAAAACACACACACACACACACACACACACACAGAGCTTTCCCTGCTAATCATTTTACAACAACCAAGTAGCTAACCCAGAGCCCACAAAAGCAGAGTAAAAATTCTAACACTCGGTAAAATAAAAATGCACATATATCCCTGTCATCTAAAAAAAAAATGCTTAAGTATTCAAAGACAGAAAGCAATTGTAGCTACTGAGAACATCATTGTAAGCAAACTGAGGCAGAGAAAACTACCGTGCTGATGAGGATTGGAAACACCTAAGCTGCAGAAACCCACTGGATGGTTTCCTAGGTTCTGAGTTGGCATTATCTTTCAGAATGATCTTCTAGAAGAGATCACATAACACTGTTACAAAGGATCTGGAGAAAGGGACCCTGGCTTCATCACTCTGGCTCTCCAGTCATGCTTTACATTTTCACTTCTTACACTCTCTTTCATAGGAAGTCAATTTACAGGCTTCCATCAAGCCCTTAGAGACCTTTTTGTACTATCCATGACAAGTTCTTGATGTTATGTCTGCACTTTTGACAAATTCTTAGCAGTTAACTTACAAGGCAGTTAAGATTTTTTTTCAAGCACAATATAGGTAGAATAGGCTCATACATCCAATAAAACAAATATTTACTAAGCATTTATTGAGTGGAAGATAAAAAGCACAAAGCATAATTATAAAACATTCTCCCCTGCCACCATAAAAATTTTTTTAAAGCCTTACAGAATACAGCATAACATAACCAAAGCAAAAATAGTGAGGACTAAAGAGGGGAGGAAGGGGAAATATCAGCATGAATTAAATATGACCCAGAAGAGCCTTGATGGTCAGACACGTAAAGACAAATTGGGTAGGGTTAGCGGGTGGCTGTCAGGGGCACATTCTACAGGGGAAAAACAGCTGATACAGAAGCCTGAAAGGAAAAGCGGGCAGAGCACCTGGACAGGACTCTTACCTGCTGCATCCAGGGTACAATGCGCCTTTCCAGAACACAGCAGCGACCCGGGATAGAGGGATCGCTCAAACAGCACCAGAGGCTGCATTCCAACTTTTCCTCCATCAACGAGTCCGTTTTCATTGTTAGTTTCTCCTTAAACACGATTGGCTGAACATGCGGGAACAAGGAAAACCTGACTGAAGAACGAGGCATTTAAGCTTAAGGGCCTTGGATCCGGGCGCGGTGGCTCAGGCCTGTAATCCCAGAACTCTGGGCGGCAGAGATGGGTCATTTGAGGTCAGGAGTTCGAGACCAGCCTGGCCAACATGATGAAACCCCGTCTCTACTAAACAACACAAAAGTTAGCCAGGCGTGGTGGCGGGCGCCCGTAATCCCAGCTACTCGGGAAGCTGAGGCAGGAGAATCGCTTGAACCCACGGACTGTCAAGAGATGGAGGCTGCAGTATGCCGAGATCGCCCCACTGCACTCCAGCCTGGGCGACAGAGTGAGGCTCCATCTCAAGAAGCTCCTGCCACCATGCCCGGCTAATTTTTGTATTTTTAGTAGAGACAGGGTTTTACCATGTTGGCCAGGCTGGTCTAGAACTCCTGACCTCAGGAGATCCAGCTACCTCAGTCTCCCATAGTGCTGGGATTACAGGAATGAGCACTGCACCCGGCCAAAAAAACGAAAATCTTAAAGGCCTTTCCCCTTCCCTCACTGGGCTCAAACAACAGCGGGAGCCACCCTGCCACGCCCCGTCGCGGTCCAGGGGAGCAGGCTAGCTGACTGAGGGCGATCATGGGCCCCAAAAGGGCTGCGGGCGACGCGGGCTCCCACCTCAGGGCGCAGCGACTGGGGCGAGAGGTGCCAGCAGCCCCCAAGCCAGCCCCGTGGCAAGGAGCCAGAGAGACGCGCCCTCCCCCTCCTCCCACGCAAGCCTCACGCAGCGGGGCGGGCCAGTCGCGGGAGAAAGGGGCGCGCTCGCCCCGCCTGGGGAACCGGGGCCTCTCCCGGGCAGGCTCCCCTTTGTCCCGGGACTCTGGGCGCCTCCTCTCCGCCCTCGCCCTGCCCCGTGAGGCCGCCACTGGGCGCCTCAACGTGATGTTGCAGTGGAGCATGAGCTGCGGCAGCGGCTCCTGGTTCTTGTGGAAGATAGAGTCCAACAACTTCAGCTTGGCCTTGAACCCTCACACGGACATTTTATTCTCACCTCTGGCAGGTGGGGCGCGAAGGTGAGCCCGTCGGGAGCCGCTGTGACGGCCGCAACCACCCGCGGGACCTCTCGGCGGTGCTCTCCCAGCTCCGCCTCTCCCTGCTGCCTCAACTCTAGTCACAGTAGGGCTGGAAAATGGCAAGGGGCACCAAGGCCTCTGCGGGGAGCTGTGTGGAGGCCTGGGCGGCTGCTCCCCTTCTAACAGACTCCACCGACAGGAGGCGCTGCTCCTGTCAAGCCGCAGCTTAAAAGGGCAACAGCACCACAGCCCCCGCTACCGCCTGGGAAAGGGCTGCCCCCAGCCTGCTCCCGTCCCTCTCGCCCCTCACACCCGTCACCCCTCACCCCTCAAACCGCGCGCCCCCTGCGCACCCGTTTCGGCGGCTGCAGGAGTCCAGAGCATGCGCCCGCTTCCGGCTGCCCCCTCCTCGCCTTGACCCAGCACTGTTGGACCCATCTGGTCCGTTCTTCACACTCGCGGACTGGAGGCTCCGGGCAGCACAACCACCAACCCGTGTGTGTGTTGGGGTGGGGGTGGAGGCAGAAAACCACCAACTCGTGTGTGTGTGTGTGTGTGTGTGTGTGTGTGTGTGTGTGTGTGTGTTTCCCAAGGGAACAGCACTGCTGAGTTCAGGCTATCTGCTCATGGACTGTCAGCAAAATACAGTCACAAGAAGGCTATGTGCTGTTTTGTCTCTTGCAGTGATGTCATGTTGCTCATGTTTTATGTTTTTCAGAGTTCATTAGTTTCTGTTTGCTCTCAGTTAATATCCAGCTCAATAGATTGTGTAAGTAGAATACCCCCAAACTGAAAGTCACCTACATAAAATATAGTGAAAAATATGTCACCCACTTACACTATAGTTGAAAATATGTACCCATTAGTTTTGTGTAGCCAACACTGGATAATGGGTAAGGGCAAAGGATCCCAGGGCTAGACTGCCTGGGTTCAAGTTCTGATTTCCTGCTGGCTGTGAAATACTTAACAGCGTTCAGCCTCTGTTTCTTTTCTTTTCTTTTTTTTTTGTTTAGCTTAATCCCAAATGTGATAGTAAGTCTCAGTTTCTTGATCTGAAAAACAGAAATTATTCAATGACAGTCTATGTGAAAACTTTAAAGTTTTCAAAGCCACTATCTAGCTTAGGAAAGTCCTCAGCTTTAGGGGTTAAAGTTTTTAAAACCACTGCCTGGTTCAGGAAAGCCCTCAGCTGTAGCCATTATTAGCTATGATGATTATTGTGCTGGCTACACATGCATTAATGAGGCAGGAAAATGCTGAAGGATAACAACCAAGTATCCAGATTATCTCATCAGACCGAGACAGATGCATATGAGTGCATGATCATGTTTTAGCTCAGATCCATTTGTCTAAAAGGCTCTTGAACCCAGGAGTATCAACTTTGCTTTGCAGTGGAGCCATCGCTTTTGTTAATCAATGAAATTGACATAACGATCTTCTTTTTTTTTCCTTTTTAGCACCAACCATGTGCCTAGAGCTAACTGTGTTAAGAACAGCATGCTTCAAGTGGCTGGAGTGAGCAATTCAACTTGTGGAGGAATGAGAAGTGATAGTGTTGAGACAAGCAACATAAAACCCGAGCGTAAGGTAGAAATCGCTGAAAGTCAGGCAAAGGAACTGGCATCCAGTAATAAGTCAGGCTTTGCCAGCCTCTAGCCCTACAGATGGCTCTTTGCAGAGGAAAAAATTAATCCAGGCCCAAGGGCACAGATCCTAAGGGAATGCTAGCAGCTCTAGGCTGTCTATGAGAGTCCAGAGATGCTGCTTCACCCTGGGGCTTTAGGCAAGTCCCTTTCCCTCCCAGAGCCTCAGCATCCCTTCTAGCAAATGACGTTCTGCCTTTCTCCTAGGATGGCTGTGGGGATCAAGGGAGACAGTGGCCATAGGGATACTATGTTAACTGCAGATGTGGCCGTAGGAGCACTTTGCTAACTGCCAACATGAGTTCAGACTCTTCAGGCTATTTGGCACCCAGGTCTATGGTGAGGTGTGACATATGGGATGCAAAGTTTGATGCCTGCTCCGACTCCAGTCTTGCTAACACACACGAAACCTTTGGCAAATCATGACCCTGCCTTGGGGAAAAGGGCAGTCTGGGAGAGTTTCTTCAAGGCAGCCTGGCTTCAATGCAGTCCGGGGCATGACTGAGATAGGCATACGTTGTGAGGAACTGGAGGGTAACTGGGTAAAGAGCTGCAGTGTGGGCAGAAGTGTAGTGTGGGTCACATTGAGGATAGCCACTGGCCAAAGCAGGGAACAGAGACAGAATGAGGAAGAGCTCTGTGGGGAGGGTGGGGCACCGGGTGGAGAACCTTCAAAGTCCAAAGAGTATGACTTTTTGGGATTCAATGCTGTAGGCAGTAGGGAGCCATGGAAGGCTCTTAGGTGGAGAAATGACAGCCGGACATTAGTGAGCAAGCCCTGTCTCCCTGAGCAGCATGGGTGGTCCTCTGAGCACGCCAGGCACGAGTGTGCAGGGAGCTGGTGCACATGCCTCTGTGTGCGGGTGAGCATCTGTGTTGTGACTCTGCCCACGCATGTACTTCAGTGTGCCGAGTGGCTGCACGCCCCAGATCCATGCAGCACGTGCCGGCCGGTGAGGGTGCTGGGCACCGGGAGGTGGTGGGGAGGGCGACGTATGCGTGTTGTTTGTGGGCATGTGTGTTAGCGTGTGCATGCGGGCCGTGGGGCCTCACAGCATGTGTGTGCACACTCCGGCGTGTGCGTGTGTGTCCCCCACCCCCAGGCCTGCCCCTTCCTTCTGGAGCTGCAGACTTGCTCTTTCCTTTTTCTGTCCTTGTGCTGCTGGCTGTCTCACTTCCCTCCTTGTGAGCCATGGGACTCAGTGCCACTGCTCAAGGTCTCCATGGCTGAGCCTGGGGGCTCCATGCCCAACCTGGCAGACATGGAACCATCAGAGAGGGCACAGAGCTCATGGTTTATGGTGTAGGGGCTGGGAGCTTCGAGGGGGTTGTGTGAGGGGCTGGACTCAGGCGGCCAGAGACCTGGGAACATCATACTGGGCATGCCGTACCTGTCGTGTGGTCTGAGTCATGCTGCCAGGGCAGGGATCCAGCTCCCAGCCTGGGAGTGCTGAGAGCCAAATCCACTGCAGATTAGGGGTGGTAGTCAGGGTCCCACATCCTCTATTTGTCAGCAATTCAGTGGTGATCTAGGATAAAAGCCTGAGAGTCCTATACACATGGTCATCCCACAACACACTTCATAGGCCATGGAAGGACACACAGCCCCCTTCCCTCCCTACCAGGTACCATGATAGCTGCTAGCATGCGACTGAAGGCAGGGACCCTGGCCCCTGCTGAAGCACTACTGCTGGCCAGCAGGCTCATGCACCTTGGCCTGTTGCTTCTAGGGTTCGCCTGTGCTATTCAGCCAAGGGGACCACAGTGCATGCTGGCCCAGCTGAGCTCCGCCTAGAGAGCTCACTTCCCTTTCCTGCCATGGAGTCTTCCTCTTCTGCTTTTCCCAGCAGGAAGGGCCCAGCCTCACCTATGCAACCTGCAGCCCTCCACCAACCAGTTGAGGCTCCCCTGTTAGACTTAGAAGTCTATGGCCAATGGCATCAAGCTACCTGCGCTTCCTGCCTTCCCCTGGGTCCCTCAGAAGACCCTGGGCTTTCAGACGGCCCAGAGGGGCCTCTGGTACTCACTCCAGCCAGCCATCCCTTATAGCTTCACCATTTTGGTTCAAGCAGTGTTCCTTCTGTCAGGCTTGGTGGCTGTTGGGTGGGGCTCCCCAAGCAAGAGGTGGCCCTGGGCCAGTGGGTTGGAAGATGGTGACCAGAGAAGACGGAACCCTGAGGGGGTTGAGCATTGGTCTGAACTGTGGGTGGACTGCCTGGGTGCTGTGACAGCACCCTCCCTGTCCTCTCCTGGTGCAGCCTCCACGCTATCAGTGAGGCTCACCTCACAAAGATCTTCAGAGAGAGGGAGGGGAGTGGGAATCTGAGCACAGTGCGAGCCTCCCCTGTTCCTGCCTGCCCACCCCGCCTGAGGGCTCTACTCACCACCCTGCTTGTCAGCACACCCAAGCTCCTGGGCGATTGGGGCTCCTAGAGTGGGCTTATCAGCAGTGTTCTGGGCAATGGTCAGAATTTGCCATGCTGCTCATTGTGGTCGCCCACAAGCTGCAACACCTGCCCCTGCAGCTCCAGCAGGTTCACCTGGAGGAAGGGGTGTTAGCTGTCATGCCGGTGCCAGCACCGACATTCACTCCCACCCCCACAGAGATGTTGCACACCCTACCTTCATCTCCTCCTGGTCCTGGGCCAGCCTGACGATGTCCTCCTCTCCCAGTGCTGCGTCTTTGGCACTGCCCCCTGGCTGATGTACTTTCCTGCAGGAGGACACGGCTCAGATGCTGGGGCCCCTCAGATGGCCCTGCAGCTCCCCCTGCCATGCCCTGGCCTCTCGTTTACTCATGGTGTCTGTCTGTCCTGAGAGGTGGATGAACTGAAGCTCTAGTTTCTCCACCAGCTCCTTCAGGTCCATCTTCTCCTTCCATAAAGTTGCTGTGGAGCCAAAATAATGGGGTCACATGTCAGGAGTCACCTGCCTTGTCCCGACCCCACCCTTGTTGGCCCATGCCAGGACTACTCACCTGCAGCTTCTCCATGGCCTCCTGCAGGGCCCAGTGGGTGTCCCCACACACAGATTCACCCCCAGTCTCTGGGGCTGGGGCCGCTGCCTCTGGCTTTTTCTGGGATGAGGCCACTGGGTGAGCCAGGGGCTGGCAGCACACGCTTTGCTCCTCCTGGGCACTGGCTCCAGCGGAGTTGAAAAATGCCACCTGAAGGCAAGAGGTGAGTACTCTTGTAGGGGTATACACATAACAACCAGGGCAGGGAGATGGAGCACAGCCCCTTCCTTTTGGGCCTCACAGAGTGCACCTGTTGGTCACAGGTGAAATGGTGTCTGACCACTGGCTCCCGGAAGGAGAGAAAGTCCACAGAAGTCAGAAGGCAGGGAAACCAAGAACATAAGGGGGTTTCAGAGGGACTACAGAGGAAGGTGGCAAAGTAGGGGCAGGGAAAGTCAGGCTCACCATGGCCTCCCGGCTCTCCAGGTCCCCTGGAATGTTCAGCATGGGCCGAGGTGCCTCCTCCTCATTGTCCAGATGTCCTCCTCCATATCCTGTGGGAGGTGGCCAGAGGGGTCCTCAGACAACCCAACAAGGGAGGTACAGTGGGCCCACCTCTGCCCCTACACTCACTGTGTAACCTTGAGCCAGCCCCTCCCCAGAGGGGAATGCGCTGTTCTTTATTTTTAAGAACCAAAATCTTGCTATATTGCCCAGGCACAGTCCCACTACCGACTGGTGCAGGAATTCTGACCTGCTCCCTTTCTGACCTGGGCCAGTTCTCCCATCCTTAGGCAACCCGATGGCCCCGCTCCCAGGAGGTCACCATACTGATACCGAACTTAGTACGGACACCCAGTTGGCATAATGACCAGCTGTCTTAAAGGTCTCTTCCAACTCCTCAATCCTACGCTGCTAACAGTCCCCCTTTCCTCCTGGGGCTCTCTCCTCTTCCTCTGAGTGGTCTCCCATACCTTCCCCAGGGAGAGCCATGAGGCTCAACTGGGCTTTAGCTGCTGTTTCTGCTGGCTGGTAGCTTCCAGGTTCTCCTAAGGGGCCAGGAAAGAGGGTGAGAAGGTACAGAGGTTGCCAGGTTGTCCCTCTTGGAGCCCTGTCCTCAACAACTCCCTCCCCTGGGTCTCCTGCAACTTTTGGTGGGCCATCTTAGCCACCGCTTTGCCCTGAGCTTCCTCCTGCTGCAGCTGGTCCATGAGCCAGGTCTGCAGCAGTAACTGCCTGTGCAGCACCTCCTTCTCAGAGGCCAGCTGCTGATAAGCAGCCACCTGCTACTAAGCGACCACGAACTGCTGCAGGTGACACAGGTACTGGTCTTGCTGCTGCTGTGGACTCTGAGCCTCTTGGCTCTTCAGCTCCACGTGCAGGAAGACGCTGGGCATGAGGGCATGTGGTGGCTGGCTTCCAGATTCCTGGCCCATTAATAGGGTAGCAAGGACACTGTGGGGCTCTGTGGCCTGCTCAGTCCCCTGGCCCCTTGCTCCAGGCCTACGAGACTGCCTCCTTTGCCTAGAACCCCATGCCTCCTTCCACAGCCTCAAATCTCATGTCTTTTTTCCCAGCATTTAAACTGTAGGCGACAGACTGGTGGAAAAGCAGGGGGAGCCAACCACCATCTGCTAAGTGTGCCACATACCTAATGTTTCCACGTATCATCTCATTTAATCCTCAGCACCTCCACAAGGAAAAGGCTAACTTCCTTTTGAAGTTAAACAGAGACTTAGAGATGCAAAGTAGTTGAATTATGACCAGTGGAACCGAGGCCGCAATCCACTTTCAATCTAAGGAGTCTGGTTTTTCTGTTTTGTTTTGTTTTGAGACAGTGTCACTCTGTGTCTCAGGCTAGAATGCAGTGCTGAAATCTCAGCTCACTGCAATCTTCACCTCCCGGGCTCAAGTGATTCTCGTGTCTCAGTCTCCTGAGTAGCTGGGATTACAGGCATGCACCACCAGGTCCACTAATTATTATTATTATTTTTTTAATTTTAGTAGAGATGAGGTTTTGCCATGTTGGCCATGCTGATCTCAAATTCCTGACCTCAAGTAATTGTCCCACCTCAGCCTCCCAAAGTGCTGGGATTACAGGTGTGAGCCACCACACCTCACCAAGGAGCCTCTTATACCACTGTCTCTTCCTCTGTGATTGGGGGGCTCCATGCCTCTAGCTGGGATGATGATGTCCAGACCTGGGAGGAGCCCAGGGCTACCCACCTCTAAACGTCAGAGGGCAGGAAGCAAGAAACAGTCATAGGACTACCCTGGAGGGTGCTGGGGTCACCTGTCCTCAGGCTGCAGCTGCCTCTGTCTTGGCACCTCCCCTTCCCAGAGGCTGGTGACTGCCTCCCAACCATTATTAGATGGGTCAGAGGTTACCGTCTCTTTCAGCTCACCAAGCTTCAGCTCCTTTACTTGCCGCTCCAACTGCAGTGCACTCTTGTTCTCATTATTCTGGACAGAGAGAAGCAATCAGTGGCCACCCACTAAAACTGGAGACCCCAGAACTTGGTGTCTGCCTCCCATGGCACCAGGAAGGGTGGAGGCAGGTTAGAAAAATCATACCCTCTCCCACAGCCATCAGAGCAGGGCTCTGGCTCACAGGTGCCTTTAGAAGTACCATTTCATATGAAGGCCACAATGCCCCATTTTACAGGTGGGGAAACAAAGGCCTTGAGGGCTAGGGAAGAGGGCAGCCTCCCCACCTTGAGGGCTAGGGAAGAGGGCAGCCTCCCCAGGTGGGGCAACACACCAGCTCCTCAAAGCTGCTGTGGGGCTCGGCCTGCTGCTTGTAGAGGGCTTCCCACTCCAGCTCCAGCATCCTCTCCAGCTCCCACAGAGTCTCCTGCTGCCACAGCCTCTCATCCTGCTCCTGAAGCCTCTCCTGTTCCAGCAGCTCCTACCCCTTGTCCAGCAGCCTCTCCTGTTCCTGCAGCCTCTCCTCCTGTCTCCTGTTCAGGAGACTCAACATCTGATTGTTTTCCACCTCAGCCTGGAGCTGTCTTCCCACACTCTCCAGCTCCTTCCTTAGGTGGTTGGTCTCATCTTGTAGCTGCTCCACCTCAGAGGGCCCTGCTGGGGGCTCTGGGGCCAGGGGTTCAGCTGAGAAAGGAAGCAGACAATAAGGGCCTCTGGACTCTCAAAAAAAAAAAAAAAAAAAAAACCTCCCTTTGTTGGACAGCTCCTCCTCTCAGGCTTCCCAAACTTGGCCTCACTGCTAATGACTCCTCACACCCGGATGGTAGCCAATCTTCAAAGTCACTTTCAGATAGAGAGCACTGTGGGTGGCTGACAATGGGCACTCCTCCCTCTTTACTGATAGGGACACTGAGGTTCATGGAGATGACAAGACTTGCCATCTCCTGGCACAGACCTCTTTCCCTCTGCCTCAAAGCCCTTCCATCCACCCTCCTCCCTGGGGCATTCTAAGTCACCCTCACAGCCCTCTGATGCCAGTCCTGCTCCTAGGTCATGCCAGTCCCATCTTAACCATCTGGTTTTTGAGTTTGAACAAGTTCCTCCCAAGCTTCTGTACCCAATGTATCTCATGCTGCTTCCCCTCTTTCAATGCGTGGACCTGCCCAAAGCACAGAGGGGAAAGGGCCCTGGAGAGGGGCTGCTGAACCTCTAGAGACAGAGTTTGAGAAAGTCCCACCCCCCTTCTGCCACCTTGTGATTGAGAAAGGTGCATTCATTCAACAAACATTTACTGAGCACGTACAATTCTTCATAGCAGAGATATAAGACAGCAAAGGACAGACAGGAGCCCTTGGCCCTGAGGTTTCCATTCTAGGGGCCTTTAAATCTCAGAGCTAACAGTGACCTTTGATACTCTCTACCTCCTCCAGAAACATGAGCCTAAGGAGGAGAGATGGCTTGTCCAGACTCAAAAAGCAAATTAGGGGCTGAGGCAGGGCAGAAATACGGGCCTCTGACAACCAGTCAGGCTAGTGCTTCCCTGAGAGATGACAACCCCAGGGCATGTGTGGCAACAACTAGAGCAAGGGTGTCTGGAGAAGAGAGAGTCAGCAAAGAGGGCAGTGCAGAAGAGCCATGCTGCATGTTCTGTGCTCTGGGGTCCCTCCAGGTGAGGCCTGGGTGCCCCAGCTCCCCATTTGCCCTTGGCATCAGGGGCTCCTGGCCCCTTTCTTCAGGGCACCAAGGGAAAACTGGAGTCCAGGATTGACCAGCTGGAATCAGGGGACCCCACTGGACTCTTACCAGTGAATTGATGTTTTCACTGAGTTGACTGATTATTGCGGAGCTTGAGTGCAGGGCCACTGCTAGTTCTCGGTACTGGCTGTGAGGTGCATGCAGAGAGGAGGAGTTGGAGGAAGATTGTGGGGAGGGGTAGAGAGAACAATCATTAGGGCTGGTGGAGGGTGTGGGTTGTCTCAGCTGGCAGAGGGGCAACAAGCCCCTGCTGTGGGAGGAGGTTGGAGGGCTGGCCTGCAGGGTCACTGCACCTCAGCCCAGGGCCTCTTACCTCCAGATCCTCCAGGGTAGCAGATGATGCATGGCCTTCCCCGTAGATACCTGTTGCTGACTGCAAGAGATGAGAGTGCACATGGAGATGTTCTGTCCCCCCTCACTGTCTAAGCCCTCTGATTTCCTTTCTTCCCCATCAACTGGCAAAAGCTTCTTTTCTGCCTATCTTGGACCCTTTGTCCCATAACTCCTTTGTGCCAACTTCTCTCATGGTTCTTATCTCCCCACCATCCCACCCTGGGGCCCTTTCAGTGACTCCTAAAGGGACAGCCTGATGGCAAGTGTCTCTTCTCATTAACTGGCTTCCCCTTGAGACTGGGGATGAGGAAAATCAAACAACAACCATTTCCTGGGTGTCCTGGGTGTTTACAGCAGGCCATGTACTAAGGATTCACATATAAGCAATAACAAATCTGATTTAAACTTCACAAATGGAAGTCAAAAATACCACCTCTATTATGCAGATGTGAAAACAGAGACCCAAAGACCTCAAGCAACTTGCCCTAAATCATATGCTAATCAATCCCTAATCAATCATTAGCAGACGGAGAGGCAGGATTCAAACCCAGAATTCTTAACCAGTACCCAATAGTCCATCTACAATCTTAAAAATTACCCCCTACTGCCCCTTAGGCCCCCTGTCCCCAGGACCCTGGCCAGCCAAGACTCACATCCCCAGGTGAGTGGTAACCACCAGAAGTGGCTGTGTCAGGGCTACTGCCATTGATTTTCTTTTTCCTGTTAGCTCCTGCTGGAATGCCAGGGCTCTTCCTCTGCCAATATTCTTTTAACTGTGGGAAAGAAGAGCAGCAACACTCATGAGAACAATCAGCCCCTATAGCCACATCCTGCTTTACAGTTTTGACAAAATACTCTTATACACCATCTGGTTTAATGCCACCAACAACTGTACAAGATGTTGTCACAATCATTTAGTGACTGAGAGTGATTGATATCATGGATAGAAAAAAAAAAAGAAGGAAAGAAAAAGGCAATACTGGAACTTAAACTCAGTCTTCTGACTCCAAGCTCTGGGGTTTTGCCATGAATCAGCAGCTTCCAGGGACCAAAACCAGGGACAGTGGTAGAAAAGTAAACATTAAGCAGGCAGGAACTGTAGGCCGTGTAGTTTAGAGTCATACATCCTCACATGTCTGTTAGTGTAAAGAAGTGCACGAGTACCTCTCACACTTTCATATCAATGTGTCCTCATGGCAGAAGGCAGCTTTTCTGTTAAATCTGGGAATTTATCAGAAAGAGGACAACCCAAGCCTCATTTTAGAGAGAAGTCTGCTATACGCTTGGAAACCTATGTGTCTATCATCCCTAAGAACATTAATGTTTATTAAACTCTCAATAAACATTAATGTTCTTAGGGATGATAGACACATAGGTTTCCAAGCGTATACCAGACTTCTCTCTGAAATGAGGCAAAAGCAATGGCAACAAAAGCCAAAATTGACAAATGGGATCTAATTAAACGAAAGAGCTTCAGCACAGCAAAAGAAACTACCATCAGAGTGAACAGGCAACCTACAAAATGGGAGAAAATTTTTGCAACCTACTCATCTGACAAAGGGCTAATATCCAGAATCTACAATGAACTCAAACAAATTTACAAGAAAAAAACAACCCCATCAAAAAATGGGTGAAGGACATGAATAGACACTTCTCAAAAGAAGACATTTATGCAGCCAAAAAACGCATGAAAAAATGCTTACCGTCACTGGCCATCAGAGAAATGCAAATCAAAACCACAATGAGATACCATCTCACACCAGTTAGAATGGCAATCATTAAAAAGTCAGGAAACAACAGGTGCTGGAGAGGTTGTGGAGAAATAGGAACACTTTTACACTGTTGGTGGGACTGTAAACTAGTTCAACCATTGTGGAAGTCAGTGTGGCAATTCCTCAGGGATCTAGGACTAGAAATACCATTTGACCCAGCCATCCCATTACTGGGTATATATGCAAAGGATTATAAATCATGCTGCTATAAAGACACATGCACACGTATGTTTATTGTGGCACTATTCACAATAGCAAAGACTGGGAACCAACCCAAACGTCCAACAATGATAGACTGGATTGAGAAAATGTGGCACATATACACCACGGAATACTATGCAGCCATAAAAAATGATGAGTTCATGTCCTTTGTAGGGACATGGATGAAATTGGAAATCATCATTCTCAGTAAACTATTGCAAGAACAAAAAACCAAACACTGTATATTCTCACTCATAGGTGGGAATTGAACGAGAACACATGGACACAGGAAGGGGAACATCACACACTGGGGACTGTTGTGAGGTGGGGGGAGGGTGGAGGGATAGCACTAGGAGATATGCCTAATGCTAAATGACGAGTTAATGAGTGCAGCACACCAGCATGGCACATGTATACATATGTAACTAACCTGCACATTGTGCACATGTACCCTAAAACTTAAAGTATAATAATAAAAATTTTAAAAAAAAGAACATTAATATTTTTTCTCAAGAGAATCAAGGGAAAATGATGCTTCAGAAAGATGTCCCACATTTATCCTGTAGCACTCAAAGTACCCCAGGTTGAGATGATATGAGAAGATTCAAGCTGTCAAGTTCAGTTTCCCAAGATCTATTCCACAGAAGATGGGCAAATCTCACCTCAGAGACCACTGACTGAAGGGCAGTCTGGTCCCAGAACTGTGGAGAACTCAGAAAAAATTGTCAAAGTCTCTCTGGAAAGTAGAAGCCTGGGAGAAAACCAAACCAAACCCATTCTCCCATTGCCACCCAGAGATACTGTCAACATTTTGAGTTCACAGGGGAAGTGTAAGCTTTTCCCACTGTCAATTAGACATTGTTAAGGGAGTAAGGCAGCCTGAAACTTCTTGCTCATACGTCCCATAGTCTCCACTCCTCTTCCAGCTGGAAATTTAGGCTGCAACCAGAGGAACCAGAAATGGGGTGAGAAAACTTAGGGGACTGGGTTGTAAGATCAAAGGCCGGTCTTGCAGCAGTAATGACAGTTCCTAGGGGCACTGTGACATCACTGCATTCCACTCCTCCCAGGGGAGGGGACATCAGTGCGATGCCGGAGTCGCCACTCCATGATGGGGGAGGGAAATACAGGGTTTTGACCCAGGTCCTCGGAGACACCAGCCCAAGAAGCCCAGGGAGGTTGAGCTTGCGGCAGCAGGAGGGGAGGGCAGAGTCTGCAGTAGGGAGCCCCAGGAGTCACCAGCCCAAAGTCACCCAGGGATGACTGGTGAGGGCAGGGCCTGGGGCTGGGGGACCCAGGTCCTGGGAGACACAAGCCCAAAGAGCCCAGGGAGGTTGGGCTTGGGGCAGCAGAAGGTGATGGCCAAGTATGGAGCAAGGAGCCCCAGGAGTCACCCTCCCAAATTCACCCTGTGGTGATTGGCAAGGGCAAGGACTGAGTGGCTTGCTGAAGGGGTGGGGCTGACTGAGAAGACTTTGGTGGGGGGAGCCCAGAGGTGCTGGGGTTGGGGGGCCCAGTCTGGTATGCCACAGGATTAGTATGGACTCTGGCACCGGTCTTGTCATCAGAGGGGATCTGTGGCTGGGTTGGGGGCCATGACCTGGTACATTTTACCTTTTGAGATGTAGATCATATAAAAATGGAAAATCCATAGCATGCTTGATTAATGAAGCAGACTATAGTATCCAACATTCCAGGAGGATAAAATAATCACAATGATTTCTCTTTTTTGGAAAATTGTTTGTCTTATCCTCCTACATTATTGTTAAGATTTTTTTTAGAACAAGAAACATGTCTAATATCTTTAAAAACACAAAGCTTTTGGGCCAGGTGGGGTGGCTCACGCCTGTAATGCCATCACTTTGGGAGGCCGAGGTGTGTGGATTGCCTGAGATCAGGAGTTCGAGACCAGCCTGGCCAACATGAAGAAACCCTATCTCTACTAAAAATACAAAAGCTAGCCAGGTGTGGTGGTGGGTGCCTGTAATCCCAGCTATTTGGGAGGCTGAGGCAGGAGAATCACTTGAACCCAGGAAATGGAGGTTGCAGTGAGCCAAGCTCATGCCACTGCACTCCAGCCTGGGTGACAGAGCAAGACTCCATCTCAAAAGAAATAAAATAAAATAAAATACAAAATAAGTAAGAGCACAAAGCTTTCAATTTAATAAGCACTTAAAGCTCTTTACTGGTTTAAAACAAATACAAGGCCCATTTTTCTAGAATCACCTGGCCTCTCTAAGCCTTGCAAATGAAACTGAATTTCTCACTTGATATCTGGCTATGACTTGCAATCATGAAAACCAAGAATTGTGTTATGTCACTGTGTATTGCTTGTTACCTGAAATCCACACTAGGCTGGGATCAAGGGTTGAATCTTTCATGATTTTCTCCATAACCTGTGTGCTTCTTATCCCAGACCAAACTAAGCTTTTTTCTAGAGTTCTACAATTTACACTTAATAGACAAGAGTGGTTCTCAAAATGTAGTCTATGGACTAGCAGCACCAGCAGCACCTGAGACCTTTTTATAAGTGCAAATTCTCAGGCCCCACCCTGGACCTGGTGAATCAGAAACTCTGGAGTAGGGTTCAGCAATCCCTCCAGGTGTTCAAGAACCTCTGGCATACAGCAGTTAGTAAAATGTGTTTACTTCTGTAGGTCCAAAGCCAGGGTTGCCATATGTTCTGCCTTGTTATGAAACAATGACATGCAATTAAAAGACGAGAATCTCCTTCCTGCTCCCACCCTCCATCCAATGTGTTTTACTTTTATGAGTTCCATAAGAAAACAAGTGGCAATCAGAGATTTAGTCTAAAACGTATGTTTACAAGTGTCCGTTCTCATCCAGCCTGATCTCCTACAAAACCATTTTCATCCTCTTGCATCGCAAGTTTTAAAAAAGTATCTTCACAATGTAACACTCAGGCACACTAGCAGTTCTATAATAAAACACCAAGTAGATCAGAATGTCCAACCTTACTAGAGAAGAAAAGTGCAATCATTGGCCATATTTTCAAATTGTATTCAACAGGAAATTTAAGTTTTGAATTTTTTTTAACCTTCATACTTCCAAGTTAATAGAATAAAACCAGAATATGCCATTCTTTCAAAGCCTCTAGCCAGGCAAAGTTTTACTGTATTATTTCTTGCTTTCAATGGATATAAAGCAGATTCCTGGTAGGCACATTCTGTATACCTGCAAAGATGCAGAACTAAACAGTTCCATCGGTTCAATATAAAACAAAAGTCCTGGACAGCGGATGGTGAGTGTAATACTTCAGCACTAGCCCAAAGCCTCAAATATGAAAAGATACCAAGAACACCACTAGCAAACAAAACTAAACTCTTGGCCAGGAGCAGGAGCTCACGCCTGCAATCCCAGCACTTTGGCAAGCTGAGGTGGGAGGATTACTTGAAGTCAGGAGTTCAAGACTAGCCTGGGCAGCATAGCGAATTCACATCTCCACAAAAATTTTTAAACATTAGCTAGGTGTGGTGGCACACAGCTGTAGTCCTAGCTACCTGGAAGGCTGAGGTGGGAAATTGCTTGAGGTCAAGATTTGGAGGCTGCAGTAGCTATGATTATGGCACTGCACTCCAGCCTGGGTGACAGAGCGAGACTTAGATAATTACATTTTCTCCTGCTCCTGTTTTACACTAAAATCACTGAGTTAAGAGGCTTCAAATTTGGCAGGATAAAAATTAAGTGAAATGTGACATTGGAGCTTGGCTAGTGAAAGAAAGAGAAAAAAAGGAAGGAAGGAGGGAGGGAACAAAGAAAGAGAAAGAAAGGAAAGGAAGAAAGAGAGGGAAAGAAAGAAAAAGAAAGAAAGAGGAAAGAGAGAAGAAAGAGAAAGAGAGAGGGATGGAGAGAAAAGAAAAAAATGAAGAATGGAAAGCAAGAAAGAAAAGGAAAGTAAGGAAGGAAGAAGAAGAAAGAAACAAGGAAAAGAAAAAGAAAAAGAAAGAAAGGGAGAGGAAAGGAAAAATAAAAGAAGGAAGAAAAAATGAAATGACAAATTACTTACCGGGTGAAAGTTTTGTCACCTCAATGACAGATAAAAGGCTTGTATCCTTAGCCTATAAATAAATCTTTAAAATTACTGAGAAAAAAAAACAAATGATTTTCAACTGAAATGGGCAATGGAGAAACTGGCACTTCTCATAAGAATAAAAATGGCCAATGGCATATACAAAGATTCAAAAGCACAAGAAATCAAAGAAATGTCATGAAAACAATGAGATTTTCTGTATAAAGGCAGGAAAGATGATAAATGGAAAGGGGAACCTGGAGCTCTGTCCTTGTTGGTGGGAGTATAACCGGAGTCACTTTTCCTGGAGAATGATTTGAAAATTTCTATTAAAAACCCTAAAAATTATTTTCCTCCAGAAATTCTACTTCTATGAATTCAGTCCAATAATATTTGCTCGAGCCCATTAAAATGTATGTATAAGAACTCAAACAAATTTACAAGAAGAAAACAAACAACCCCATCAAAATTGGGCAAAGGACATCAACAGACACTTCTCAAAAGAAGACATTTATGCAGCCAAAAAACACATGAAAAAATGCTCATCATCACTGGCCATCAGAGAAATGCAAATCAAAACCACAATGAGATACCATCTCACACCAGTTAGAATGGCAATCATTAAAAAGTCAGGAAACAACAGGTGCTGGAGAGGATGTGGAGAAATAGGAACACTTTTACACTGTTGGTGGGACTGTAAACTACTTCAACCATTGTGGAAGTCAGTGTGGCGATTCCTCAGGGATCTAGGACTAGAAATACCATTTGATCCAGCCATCCCATTACTGGGTATATACTCAAAGGCCTATAAATCATGCTGCTATAAAGACACATGCACACGTATGTTTATTGCGGCACTATTCACAATAGCAAAGACTTGGAACCAACCCAAATGTCCAAAAATGATAGAGTGGATTAAGAAAATGTGGCACATATACACCATGGAATACCATGCAGCCATAAAAATTGATGAGTTCATGTCCTTTGTAGGGACATGGATGAAATTGGAAATCATCATTCTCAGTAAACTATTGCAAGAACAAAAAACCAAACACCGCATATTCTCACTCATAGATGGGAATTGAACAATGAGGTCACATGGACACAGGAAGGGGAATATCACACTCTGGGGACTGTTGTGGGCTGGGGGGAGGGGGGAGGGATAGCATCGGGAGATATACCTAATGCTAGATGATGAGTTAGTGAGTGCAGTGCACCAGCATGGCACATGTATACATATGTAACTAACCTGCATAAAGTGCACATGTACCCTAAAACTTAAAGTATAATTAAAAAAAAGTATGTATAAGAAAATTCACCTCTGGGGTGGCAGTGATTAACTTAATATACATCCAGCTATTAAAAATGATGATTCCAGGATATATTTACTGCCACAGAAATATGCCCAAAATATAGTAAGTGACAAAAGACTACATACTGCAATTCTACTTTTTAAAAGGTTTATGTGCAGAAAAACATATAAAAAGCAACAAACCAGAATGTTTTGAGTGGCAAATTAAAGATTTTTCTTAATGTTTGTCATCCAAATTATTACAAAAAGAATGATTTCCTTTATAATGAGGGATTACTGTTATTTTCATTTTATTATTTAAATCTCTTTTCTTTTTCTGATTTTTTTCTCCTGTATGTATCCCTTGTAGGCTAGAATCCCTACCTCTTGAGGTAAATCAGCCCATTTTTGGGAAGTGCACTACAGAAAGCTGCCCTAGCTTCCTTTTAAGAGATCTGGAGACATTTTTGTTTCAAATTGTTTTATTGTTCTCAGATTAGCCTAACTAGGAGGCACCCCCCCAGTAGGGGCAGACTGACACCTCATACTGCCAGGTACTCCTCTGAGACAAAACTTCCAGAGGAACAATCAGGCAGCAGCATTTGCAGTTCACCAATATCTGCTTTTCTGCAGCCAACGCTGCTGACACCCAGGCAAACAGGGTCTGAAGTGGACCTCCAGTAAACTCCAACAGACCTGCAGCTGAGGGTCCTGACTGTTAGAAGGAAAACTAACAAACAGAAAGGACATCCACACCAAAAACCCATCTGTACGTCACCATCATCAAAGACCAAAGGTAGATAAAACCACAAAGATGGGGAAAAAACAGCAGAAAAACCGGAAACTCCAAAAATCAGAGCACCTCTTCTCCTCCAAAAGAAAGCAGCTCCTCACCAGCAATGGAACAAAGCTGGGTGGAGAGTGACTTTGACGAGGTGAGAGAGGAAGGCTTCAGAAGATCAAACTACTCCGAGCTAAAGGAGGAAGTTTGAACCAATGGCAAAGAAGTTAAAAACTTTGAAAAAAAATTAGACGAACGGATAACTAGAATAACCAATGTAGAGAAGTCCTTAAAGGACCTGATGGAGCTGAAAACCATGGCACAAGAACTATGTGATGAATGCACAAGCCTCAGTAGCCAATTCAATCAACTGGAAGAAAGGGTATCAGTGACTGAAGATCAAATGAATGAAATGAAGTGAGAAGAGAAGTTTAGAGAAAAAAGAATAAAAAGAAATGAACAAAGCCTCCAAGAAATATGGGACTATGTGAAAAGACCAAATCTACATCTGATTGGTGTACCTGAAAGTGACGGGGAGAATGGAAGCAAGTTGGAAAACACTCTGTAGGATATTATGCAGGAGAACTTCCCCAATCTAGCAAGTCAGGCTAACATTCAAATGCAGGAAATACAAAGGATGCCACAAAGATACTCCTCGAGAAGAGCAACTCCAAGACACATAATTGTCAGATTCACCAAAGTTAAAATGAAGGAAAAAATGTTAAGGGCAGCCAGAGAGAAAGGTCGGGTTACCCACAAAGGGAAGCCCATCAGACTAACAGCGGATCTCTTGGCAGAAACTCTACAAGCCAGAAGAGAGTGGGGGCCAATATTCAACATTCTTAAAGAAAAGAATTTTCAACCCAGAATTTCATATCCAGCCAAATTAAGCTTCATACATGAAGGAGAAATAAAATACTTTACAGACAAGCAAAGGCTGAGAGATTCTGTCACCACCAGGCCTGCCCTAAAAGAGCTCCTGAAGGAAGCGCTAAACATAGAAAGGAACAACCGGTACCAGCCACTGCAAAAACATGTCAAATTGTAAAGACCTTCGAGGCTAGGAAGAAACTGCATCAACTAATGGGCAAAATAACCAGCTAACATCATAATGACAGGATCAAATTCACACATGACAATATTAATCTTAAATGTAAATGGGCTGAATGCCCCAATTAAAAGACACAGACTGGCAAACTGGATAAAGAGTCAAGACTCATCAGTGTGCTGCATTCAGGAAACCCATCTAACATGCAGAGACACACATAGGCTCAAAATAAAGGGATGGAGGAAGATCTACCAAGCAAATGGAAAACAAAAAAAGGCAGGGGTTGCAATCCTAGTCTCTGATAAAACAGACTGTAAATGAACAAAGATCAAAAGAGTCAAAGAAGGCCACTACATAATGGTAAAGGCATCAATTCAACAAAAAGAGCTAACTATCCTAAATATATATGCACCCAATACAGGAACACCCAGATTCATAAAGCAAGTCCTTAGAGACCTACAAAGAGACTTAGACACCCATGTAATAATAATGGGAGACTTTAACACCCCACTGTCAACATTAGACAGATCAATGAGACAGAAAGTTAACAAGGATATCCAGGAACTGAACTCAGCTCTGCACCAAGCGGACCTAATAGACATCTACAGAACTCTCCACCCCAAATCAACAGAATATACATTCTTTTCAGCACCACACATACTCCAAAGTTGACCACATAGTTGGAAGTAAAGCACTCCTCAGCAAATGTAAAAGAACAGAAATTATAACAAACTGTCTCTCAGACCACAGTGCAATCAAACTAGAACTCAGGATTAAGAAACTCACTCAAAACCACTCAACTACATGGAAACTGAACAACCTGCTCCTGAATGACTACTGGGTACATAACGAAATGGAAGCAGAAATAAAGATGTTCTTTGAAACCAACAAGAACAAAGACACAACATACCAGAATCTCTGGGACACATTCAAAGCAGTGTGCAGACGGAAATTTATAGCACTAAATGCCCACAAGAGAAAGCAGGAAAGATCCAAAATTGACACCCTAACATCACAATTAAAAGAACTAGAGAAGCAAGAGCAAACACATTCAAAAGCTAGCAGAAGTCAAGAAATAAGTAAGATCAGAGGAGAACTGAAGGAAATAGAGACACAAAAAACCCTTCAAAAAATCAATGAATCCAGGAGCTGGTTTTTGAAAAGATCAACAAAATTCATAGACCACTAGCAAGACTAATAAAGAAGAAAAGAGAGAAGAATCAAATAGACACAATAAAAAATGATAAAGGGGATATCACCACAGATCCCACAGAAATACAAACTACCATCAGAGAATACTATAAACACCTCTATGCAAATAAACTAGAAAACCTAAAAGAAATGTATAAATTCCTGGACACATACACCCTCCCAAGACTAAACCAGGATGAAGTTGAATCTCTGAATAGACCAATAACAGGCTCTGAAATTGAGGCAATAATTAATAGCTTACCAACCAAAAAAAGTCCAGGACCAGATGGATTCAAAGCCGAGTTCTACCTGAGGTACAAGGAGGAGCTGGTACCATCTCTTCTGAAACTATTCCAATCAATAGAAAAAGAGGGAATCCTCCCTAACTCATTTTATGAGGCCAGCATCATCCTGATACCAAAGCCGGGCACAGACAAAACCAAAAAAGAGAATTTTAGACCAATATCCTTGATGAACATTGATGCAAAAATCCTCAATAAAGTACTGGCAAACTGAGTCCACCAGCACATCAAAAAGCTTATCCACCATGATCAAGTGGGCTTAATCCCTGGGATGCAAGGCTGGTTCAACATATGCAAATCAATAAACGTAATCCAGCATATAAACAGAACCAATGACAAAAACAACATGATTATCTCAATAGATGCAGAAAAGGTCTTTCACAAAATTCAACAACCCTTCATGCTAAAAACTCTCAATAAATTAGGTATTGATGGGACGTATTTCAAAATAATAAGAGCTATCTATGACAAACCCACAGCCAATATCATACTGAATGGGCAAAAACTGGAAGCATTCCCTGTGAAAACTGGCACAAGACAGGGATGCCCTCTCTCACCACTCTTATTCAACATAGTGTTGGAAGTTCTGGCCAGGGCAATCAGGCAGGAGAAGGAAATAAAGGGTATTCAATTAGGAAAAGAGGAAGTCAAATTGTCCCTGTTTGCAGATGACATGATTGTATATTTAGAAAATCCCATCATCTCAGCTCAAAATCTCCTTAAGCTGATAGGCAACTTCAGCAAAGTCTCAGGATACAAAACCAATGTGCAAAAAACACAAGCATTCTTATACACCAATAAAAGACAGAGAGCCAAATCATGAGTGAACTCCCATTCACAATTGCTTCAAAGAGAATAAAATACATAGGAATCCAACTTACAAGGGATGTGAAGGACCTCTTCAAGGAGAACTACAAACCACTGCTCAATGAAATAAAAGAGGATACAAACAAATGGAAGAATATTCCATGCTCATGGGTAGGAAGAATCAATATCGTGAAAATGGCCATACTGCCCAAGGTAATTTATAGATTCAATGCCATCCCCATCAAGCTACCAATGACTTTCTTCACAGAATTGGAAAAAACTACTTTAAAGTTCATATAGAACCAAAAAAGAGCCCACATCACCAAGTCAATCCTAAGCCAAAAGAACAAAGCTGGAGGCATCACGCTATGTGACTTCAAACTATACTACAAGGCTACAGTAACCAAAACAGCATGGTACTGGTACCAAAACAGAGATATAGACCAATGGAACAGAATGGAGCCCTCAGAAGTAATGCCACTCATCTACAACTATCTGATCTTTGACAAACTTGACAAAAACAAGAAATGGGGAAAAGATTCCCTATATAAGAAATGGTGCTGGGAAAACTGGCTAGCCATATGTAGTAAGCTGAAACTGGATCCCTTCCTTATACCTTAGACAAAAATTAATTCAAGTTGGATTAAAGACTTAAATGTTAGACCTAAAACCATAAAAACCCTAGAAGAAAACCTAGGCAATACCATTCAGGGCATAGGCATGGGCAAGGGCTTCATGTCTAAAACAACAAAAGCAATGGTAACAAAAGCCAAAATTGACAAATGGGATCTAATTAAACTAAAGAGCTTCTGCACAGCAAAACAAAATACCCTCAGAGTGAACAGGCAACCTACAGAATGGGTGAAAATTTTTGCAATCTACTCATCTGACAAAGGGCTCATATCCAGAATCTACAAAGAACTCAAACAAATTTATAAGAAACAAACAAACAACCCCATCAACAAGTGGGCAAAGGATTTGAACAGACACTTCTCAAAACAAGACATTTATGCAGCCAAAAGACACATGAAAAAATGCTCATCATCACCGGCCATCAGAGAAATGCAAATGAAAACCACAATGAGATACCATCTCACACCAGTTAGAATGGCAATCCTTAAAAAGTCAGGAAACAACAGGTGCTGAAGAGGATTTGGAGAAATAGGAATGCTTTTACATTGTTGATGGGGCTGTAAACTAGTTCAACCATTGTGGAAGTCAGTGTGGTGATTCCTCAGGGATCTAGAACTAGAAATACCATTTGACCCAGCAATCCCATTACTGGGTATATACCTAAAGGATTATAAAACATGCCGCTATAAAGACACATGCACATGTATGTTTATTGCGGCGCTCTTCATGATAGCAAAGACTTGGAGCCAACCCAAATGTCCAAAAATGATAGAGTGGATTAAGAAAATGTGGCACATATACACCATGGAATACTATGCAGCCATAAAAAATGATGAGTTAATGTCCTTTGTAGGGACATGGATGAAGTTAGAAAGCATCATTCTCAGCAAACTATCACAAGGACAAAAAACCAAACACCACGTGTTCTCACTCATAGGTGGGAATTGAACAATGAGAACACATGGACACAGGAAGGGGAACATCATACACTGGGGCCTGTTGTGGGGTGGTGGGAGTGGAGAGGGATAGCATTAGGAGATATACCTAATTTTAAATGAAGAGTTAATGGGTGCAGCACATCAAAATTACACACATATACATATGTAACAAACCTGCACGTTGTGCATATGTACCCTAAACTTAAAGTATAATAAAAAATAAATAAAAAAGACTTGTGCACTAAAGTCAAGCAGCACCCAAAGAAAATGTATACCATTACAGGTTTGTTTAAAAGGCAATTTAAATTACATTGATCCACTAAACTAGAAAAAGCAAAATAAACAAAAAGGGGAAATAATTAAGACATAAGGAAAATGTGACAAAAAAACTCACTAAATTTAAAAAATAAAACTCAAGGAGGATTATTTCAAAAGACTAAGATAATAAAACTGTCACACCTCTGATAATTGATCGAGATAAAGAAACCTTTGAAGAGAAAAGGGCATATAGCCACATGTGAATATGATGCAAAAAGTGAAAACTTTACACATCTTTACAACACCTTAGAAGTATGGGAGAAGTGTTCATTTCTTTTAAGAATCTACAGTTATGAAAACTAACTGAAGAAATGGAAAATCTGGAGACCCATACACACAGAAAAAGGAAAAAGACAAAGACTCATCCTCCAAATTGGACATTTATTTAAACCAGGGTTTGTCAGCCTCAGCAATATTGATATCTTGGGCCAGACAATTCTTTGTGAGGGTTCTCCTGGTGTGTTGTGGGACATTTAGTAACATCCCCTCTACCCATGGAATGCCAGTAAGACCTCCCGACCGTGACCAGTTGTGACCACAAAAATGTCTCCAGATATTTCCAAATGTCCCATGGGAGGCAAAATATTCCTGCAGTTGAAAACTACTGTGTAAACTAGATCTACATCCTAGGTTTTAGAGAAAAGATGTAAAGCTTCCCAAGTTAGCCCTGCACACCCTTGATACTGAAATAAGAGCCTGAAAGGAAGCAAACAAAACTATAATCTTATTTAATACAGAAATAAAAATGCAAAAATAAAATATTACCATAGCCATTCTAACAGTATTTATTATAGGAATGCAAGGATGATTCAAAATTAGGAAAATTTCATCAGGTAATTCACAAATTATATTTCTCCATAGAATTGTAGGCACAATCATGAAAAACAAGGTAGCTCTATATGCATTAAGTCCACGTGATATTCAGTGAAAAACACAAGTTGCAGATGTCTTACAGAAAAAAACTGAACACTGAACACATATTTCCACCATCTGCTCTTTGTCCTGAGGCTCCACTAGAAATACAGTGAAGAATAAACGATATATAAACACACAATTACAAAAAAAAGAAATGGGGTTACCCACAGAAGAGAATTCACCTCCATTAGAAAATGACAGTAAACGGAAAATGGTTAATTAATGGAGCAAAGCAAAGCAAAGTGGAGGTCAGGGGGACACCGATAACAAGGAAGCTAATTTGTCCCACAGCAACCTGGAAAGGTTCTAGACTCCGACACCAGGTACCCCCGAGAGTGGGACTGATAGGCAAGACTGAAAACAGAGATCAACCAAAAGCCTATATAGAGAACACATTTTCCAGGCCCTGAAACACACTGCTCTCCCCTATCTCCTTAAGCAGAACCCAAGCAAACATATCTACCTCAGACAAGAGAATGTAGATTTCACCTCCAGAGAAATGGAGTAGTTCCAGCCATCATTTATGATTGCACTGGGAGATAAGATGGGGGGTAGAGGATGACAATTAGGAATCAGCATACATTCCCCCTAAAAGCTATCAGTTGGCAAGTCCTGGCCATGAAGAACTCCCAATTTTTTATTTTTATTTATTTTTTTATATATTTATTTATTTATGTTTTTGAGACAGGGTCTTGCTCTTTCACCCAGGCTAGAATGCAGGAAGCAGCAGGATGATCACAGCCCACTTCAGCCTCAACATCCTGGGCCCAAGTGATCCTCTTACCTCAGCCTCCCAAGTAGCTGGGACTATGGGTTGGTGTCACCACACCTGGTTATTTTTTTAATTTATTTTTTTGTGAAGGTGGGATCTCACTATGTTGCCCAAACTAGTCTTAAGCTCCTGGGCTCAAGTGATCCTCCCACGTCAGTCTCCCAAAGCACTGAGATTGTAGGTGTGAGCCACCACGTCCAGACTCCCAGTCTTTTAGTACCTCTCTCAAATATGAATGAACAAAAAAGGGAATTAAAGAAAACATACAGGCTGGGCACGGTTGCTCATGCCTTTAATCCCAGCAGTTTAGGAAGCCAAGGTGGGTGGATCACCTGAGGTCAGGAATTCAAAACCAGCCTGACTAACATGGAGAAACCCTGTCTCTACTAAAAATACAAAAATTAGCCGGGCATGGTGGCACAGGCCTGTAATCCCAGCTACTCAGGAGAATGAGGGAGGAGGATCACTTGAACCCAAGAGGTTGTGGTGAGCCGAGATCACACCATTGCACTCCATCCTGGGTAACAAGTGCAAAACTCTGTCTCAAAAAAAAAAAAAAAAAAGACTACAAATGATAAGCAACATAGAGTAGATATTTAAGGAAAGGTTTTAAAAAGAAAAATAAGACCAAAATAAACTAAGAAAAAAATTTATTAAAGAACAAAGAGATGCTAGGGAGAAGACAAAAGAGTACCCAAATCACTTCATAAAGACACTTGTGAATATATTACATGAATAAAACAAAAATAGGATATGAATAAGGAATAATCAGAGAAGAAAAAGTTCTTAGAACTCAGGGTTCATCTTGGGAGTTGGTCCCCAGTGAGCCACACCTCCCGGCATCATGTCCTTGGACAGTCCCATCCCACAGTGAATCTAGGTTGGCCCCAAGATTCACTTTAACCTGCAGAATTTGGTAGAAATGATGCTGGACCTGTTCCAGGTCTAAGCCTTAAGAACACCTGGCAGCTCCACATCTGTGCTTCTAGTAGCCAAAATAAGTACTGACTAACTCTCGGGGAAAGAGAAGCCATATGATGAGGCCAGAGAGGAAGGCCACATGAAGAAACACCAAAGCAGGTGACCTGTGGGTGAAGAAGCCATCTCAGACATTCCACTGCAGCTGAGCATCCAGATGACCAGTCCCTGACACCATCTAACCGCACAGTGAGAGATGCCAAACGAGACCAGCAGAAAAACTGTCTGGCTGTCCTCAGTTAACCCATACAGTAGTGACAGGTAGACAAATGTGTAGTTTTATTCCATTAAGTTTTGGGAAAATTGGTTAAGCAACAATAAATAACCAAAACAAAACTTAACGTTGACTGTCCAAATAAAATTTCCTAAAAGTCAAAATATAAGGAAAATGTTCCAGAACTTAACATTTTTTAAAAAATTAGAAATAATGTGAGATGCAAGTCTCAAGACAAGAGGACTAAAATCCAATTAACAGACACTTCAGAATGAACAAATAAAGTGGAAAAGAGAAAGTTAACAAAAATATGACAAGATTCAAGATTACAACTTTGAAAGAGCCGATCCATAGGCCTATCCATTCGGTATACCCAGCACAGTGAATGAAAAAAGACACACACTAAGTACAATGTTGTGCTATTTCAGCCACCAAGGAAAAGACAAACTCCTAAAAGCTTCCAGAGAGAAAGTCATGCATAAATGAGTGAAACTCAGGATGACATGAGGCTTCACCACCATGACTGGTTAGAACACAACAGCACAGACTTTGAAATTCTAAGGTAAAATTATCCTCAACCTAGAAATACATAATCAACCAAACTATCAATCAAGTGTGAGGGTAGACTATGACAAAAGTGAATAGTGATGGGGATGGGTTAAGCACCAGGCACTGTTCTAAATGATTTACATGTACCAACTCATTTAATCCTCACAGATCCTTAGAAACATAGGTACTAATACTATTACCGGTTCCCCCATTTTGCAAATGGAAAATTGATGCATAGAGCAATTATGGAATCAGCCCAAGGGCATAGAGCTAATAAGTAGTAGAACTAAGATTCAAATCTATCTCAGACTGGCTCCAAAACCCAAACACTGGATTATATTTTCTCAGAAGCTAGAGATCAGAAAATATACCACTCTATGCTTTCTCAGGGTTTTACTTGAGGACACAGTCAGGTAAAATGACAAAGAGAAAAACCAAGAAAGATGACATGGGATCCAAGAAACAATGGATGTACTCTAGGCGAGCAGATGAGAAAAACCTCAAGATGACATATGCACAGCCAAGCTGAAGAACAACCTGCCAAAATGGGCACAGAGGAGCCAAAGGCTTTGGAAGAGAAGGAGATCTCACAGAAAGGGCTACAACAGAAATTTTTTAATTAAAAATTACTATTATGAGGAAGACACTGCAAAACAAAAAGTAGCACCAAGGAAAGAAATATCCTATCCTAAATATTCTAGAAAACTTGGCTTCATGAAGTCCTAATGATAATTAGTGATTACTTATATCACTAAAGATAATATCTGAGGAAGGCAAAGTGGGTAGTATAAGAGCTAAATTCTCATGTATTATACTAAAAAGTCAATAGCTGATGCCTAAATAGGTAAATCCAGGAAGAAGTTAGGGGTAGTGGTGAGCTAGTGGAGATTTCTGTTGATTGCAGGAGATAACATTTGGGTGAGTCCTTAAGAAGCATAGACAGACTTAAGGAGATGACATTTCTAGGTGAAGGTAATTCAATGAGCAAAGACAAACAATGAAAGAAGCAAGAACATTTATGGACACCAGGAATATTCATAATAAAAAGCTGGTGTTAGGGAAAAGGGCAATTGTTTGCCTGTCATACTAAATACCAGCAGCTCCAAAGAATGAAAAGGTTATTTTTAGTATCTAAAACAGGACAAACAAAACAATTCAATAGGAACAGAAAAGCTAACTTCTAAATAAATTGAATAATTTAAAAAAATCATCCTAGTTTGACTTTTGTTTGAGACTATTTATTTTAGCTCTTGAACACTAGAGAATTTTTACTCTACCTGACCCATGGGTAGTGGTTGATCTGGCATGGCAACATCCAGGTGCTTAGGAAGGTTATATAATCTGCAGAGTCCACATATCAACCACTTCAATTGCTGATGAAGCTACAAAACACATTTCAGTAAATAAGCATTATGTTAAAGAGCCCTTAGAAGACATCAATAATGTTATGACTGCTGTAATCAATCCAGTAGGAAATAAAAATTTTGTCACTGCTCAAGTGCAGCTTACAGATTAAAAAAAAAACTAAATATTTTCAGGAGCTTCTAGCTTAAGAAAGTTACTATGGCTTGGGGTATAATCACATAACTGATACCTAGCAGAATGTCAACAATAAAGGCAGAGGAAGGAAGTTCCAGACATTGTCCAATTTCTCATTGCTATCTTGTTTTCTTAGAAACTTAAAACTTCAAACAATAGAACATTAATGAGGCCACCAAAAAAAAAAAAAAAAAAAAAAGAAAAAGAAAACCATGCACAGGCACTGTTCTTACAGATGGATTATAAAATTATATGTTCCTGTCATAGTCAGTTAAAAGTACAAAAGCAAATGTGATCCAGCAGACAGAGCCTGGAAATCTAGATGACCTTGGATATTATATCTAATTCCCTGAGTTTGAGTCTACTCATCTGCAAAACAAAGAAATGAAAACTTTCCCAGAATAGTAAAGATTAAATGAAACCTGTAAAAGACTTAATATTTAGTAGGCTCTTAAGTGTCTGTCTAAAAAAATAATAATTCACTAGGAAACTGCAAATAATAACTGTAAATTTCCATGTTTAAGTCCAAATTGTGTTGTAAGCATATTTACTTTAAGGAAGTAAGCAAGGTAAACTATGTGCACAAGTGTGGTTTTCATTGTTTAAAATGTTTTTCAATGTATAAGGTGACTCAAATGGGATCTAATAAGGCAACTCACTTCACTTGGTCAGGAACAATTTTCTGGGTGTCTCTGACCAAGAAAAGAGATGAAGAGAAAGAAGCAGGCTTACAAAGGACAGAGAAAGAAGACAAAGGATAGAATGGGTTAAGGAAGCAAAGAATAAGCCTTTCCAAAGTGAACAATGAAGCAAGTGGAAATAGGAAGGTTGAACCATAAATTAGGATCCACCAAAAATCCTCATGCTTAAAAGGAAGCCAAGCCCCAGTGTGGATTTGTTACACACTCAGTGTGTTCTGTTTTGTGCCAAGTACATAATGGAGATGAGGCAGGGTGATCTGGACATGGACCTGAACACTCTGACCTCTGGCACTGAAGGGGCTACAGGAGGGCTGGGATGAAAGAGGAATGAAAAGAAATTAAAGAACGTGTAAGCAAAAATGCAGTTGTATGTTAAAAAAACCCAATTCCCCCTAAGAAAGAAAAAGAGGTGGAGTACTTTAAGAATTAACTGTCTGTTTTTCTGAGGCTAGTGAACCTCATCTCTCCTCCTCTCCCAGGCATTGTGGAGACCCTGTTTCTCTAGCTGTGCAGCTGCAAGGTCACTGGACAGATAAACTCAAGTCATAAAACATGTTTTTCCTTGAAAAGTAAGAAATAATGTAATGCATGTCTCAACTGAATAACTGTCTTTGTTTCTTGCTTCTGTAATATGCTTCTCCCTGCACAGATCTCTCCCCACCCCACAAAATGCTTAAAAGGTAACCTGACTCTTTGTTCAGGGCTCAGTCCTTTAGATGTTAATCTGACTGGGCTGGTGCACCTAAATAATAACATATATCCTCCTCAGTCTGTCTGATTCTTAAATTATGCTGCTGCACGGGGAGAGAGGGAGCAGGGTAGTGGAGTCATACCAAGCAACAAGACAGGGTAGTGGCCAGGCATGGTGCTCACACCTGTAATCCCAGCTATTTGGGAGGCCGAGGTGGGTGGATCACCTGAGGTCAGGAGTTTGAGACCAGCCTGGCCAACATGATGAAACCCCATCTCTACTAAAAATACAAAAATTAGTTGGGCATGGTGGCCGGTGCCTGTAATCCCAGCTACTCAGGAGGCTGAGGTAGGAGAATCACTTGAACCCAGGAGGTGGAGGTTGCAGTGAGCCAAGATTGTGCCACTGCACTCCAGCCTGGGGGACAAGAGGGAGACTTCATCTCAAAAGAAAGAAAAGAAAGAAAGAAAGAAAGACAAGGTAGTACATTTTCCACAAATTTTACTCTCTTCCCCCACCACACACAGACACAAAGCATTTGAGGGATGGGAGGAAGAAACTGAGATCACAGGGAAAATATTAAGAGACATTCAGAAGGGCAGGTCTTAGAAATTTACTAGTTTGGGGGTGTCAGAGAACAGTTGTATATAAAAGAACGCTAAGACAGTTCCCAGGTTTAGGCATATGTGACTAGATAGAGTGCTAGGAGGTGGATACATGAAAATTTAAATATCATCATTTTGAACACCCATGTCACTCCAGGTGAGATTCCCTAACATATATGATATACAGACAGATATATGGGTTTGAAACTCCGGAGATGAATACAAATTTAGGAGTCCCTGCAACACAGGTCATGACTTAAGTAATGGGAGTCAAAGATTACTCAGAGAAAGCACAGAATGAGAAGAGAAGAAAGAAGTAGGACAAGGAAGAAGAGATCGGAGGAGACCAAGGCAGGGTGATAAGATCAAAACAGGAGAAGAGAATCCGATAGAAGTCTCATTCGATTATCATGTCCCTTCCCAGAGGACAGGGACATGCCTTTTTTGTCTTTTACACCCAATTATCATAGGTCCTGGTGCAGAAGACACACAGTTACTTTTTTAAATTGTGTTGTACTATTCACAGTTTCCTGTATCCACCAGGGGAGAAAAAAGTAAGTATAAACAAGTACAGACATAGATGTTTTTACACTGTATGCTAAAGGAGTCAGATTATACACAATATTTTATGCCTTACTTTTTTTACCTAATATACCTTAGAAGTTTGCACATGCTCTTATGGAAAGACTGGCTGCATTTTTTGGTCCACAACAGAACAACAGAATATTCTATTATAAAACTGTACACTACAATTTTTATTTAACCAACTCTTTATTAGTGGACATTAAGAATGGAGGAATGTTTCAACAAAGGAACAATCAACAGTATCAAAATACTGCAGAGGGGTCCATTTGGGGACTAAGAGGGGAGTCACTGGATTTGGCAACTAGGAGATAAATTTTAGCGCGACGATGAAGGCAGAATCCAGATTATAATGAGCTCAGTGAAAAAAGGTGAAGACATGCAGCTTATTCTCTCAAGAAACTAGGCTATGATAAACTGGCAGAGGCTGTAAGAGTGGGAGGTGAGTTGTTTTCTCCTTCATGTAAATATATTTACTTTTTTAAACACTAGGCCCAATTTTATATCCTACTTCATTTAACTTTATGAACATACTTATGTATATATGCATGTATGTATGTATGTCATGTGATGTTTTAGACACTGAAAAATAACTCATTTCTGCTATTATAAAACTGATATCTTTAGATGTTCAGATGCAACTTCCTAAAAGGAGGTAGCAGTAATGGAGCTATGTCTATCATTCTTTCCATCAACCCCCTTGCTGGAGATGTAAACATGTGTCCATCAAGCCTTTAATTTTTACCTCTTATCTTCATGGCTCTCCATATAAAACTTAACTCTTTTTTTTCTATTTGTATATGTATATTTACATGTATATCTATATTGAGAGAGAGAGAGAGAGAAAGAGTCTTGCTATGTTGCCCAGGCTGATCTCAAACTCCTGGGCTCAAGCAATCCTCCCACCTTGGCCTCGCAAAGTGCTGGGATTACAGGCATGAACCACTGTGCCCAGCCTCAGCCTTAACTCTTAAAATATCTTCAAACCAATATCCTTTTGTTCTAATTTTTACGAATAGATGTGTTTAAACAAACTGTAACTTATTTTGACAAAAATTGGAGTTAAGACTCAAACTTCCTCAAATAGTTCTCCTAAAACCATTTACAGAATAATCTCTCTTTTCAGTATTAAGTTAAAATACCACCTTTTCCTTACACTAAATTCTCATTTGCATGACTCTGGCTCTAAACTTCCATTGCCTTTATCTGTCTGGTCCAGGGCTAGTCCACAATATTTTATTTAATATCTGGTTGAAAGAGTCTATACTTTATGAATTTTTATTATTTATTCTTCTAAACTAACTTTAGAGTCGTTTTTGTCAAGTGTCAAAAATAAATCTGCTGGAATTTGTACTGAAATTTGTGTATATGTATATACACACTATATATAATGTAAAATGTATATATACAATTTATATATAAGTATATATAATATGAAATGTATATATACAATGTATATATAAATATATATATAAAATATGAAATGTACATACACACTTATATACACACATACACATTTTTTTCTGCTTTTTTTTTTTTTTTTGAGACAGGGTCTCACTCTGTCACCTAGGCTGGAGTTCAGAGGCATGATCTTGGCTCACTGCAACCTCTGCCTCCCAGGCTCAAGTGATCCTCCCACCTCAGCCTCATAAGTATTTGGAACTACAAGTGTGTGCCACAGACACCCAGCTAATTGTCATCTACCTGCCTCAGCTTTCCAAACTTTTGGGACTACAGGTGTGAGCCACGGTGCCCAGCAGAAATTACATTTACAAATTAATATGAAGACATGGTGATAACTAACATATTTATAACATGAAATCTGCTCATCCAGGAACATAGAATGCAAATCTTTCATTCCACTCAGCAAAATTTTGTCATGTCCTTGATAAAAGTCCTGCACATCTAAGTTTATTCCTAGGTATTTAATTTTTGCTGAAATACCTGAAAAAATACTTCATCACTATGTCTTCTATGTGATTATAAATAACATTTAGGAAGGCTATTGATTTTTATATAAAAGAGCTTTTAACCCATAATCTTAAAAATTGTTTTTTTCAGTTGGTTCCTTTGGATATTTTTAGGTAAACAATCATGTAAACTGAAAATAATGATTGTTATTTTTCTATATAGACTATGACACCATGGGAAAATACAGTAGATACTTTTTAAAAGAATATAAAAGGGCTGGGCACAGTGGCTCACGCCTGTAATCCCAACACTTTGTGAGGCTGAGGCGGGAGGATCACGAGGTCAGGAGATTGAGACCATCGTGGCTAACACGGTGAAACCCCATCTCTACTAAAAAATACAAAAAATTAGCCAGGCATGGTGGTGGGCACCTGTATTCCCAGCTACTGGGGAGGCTGAGGCAGTAGAATGGTGTGAACCTGGGAAGGGGAGCCCGCAGTGAGCCGAGATTATGCCACTGCACTCCAGTCTGGGTGACAGACCAAGACTCTGTCTCAAAAAAAAAAAAAAAAAAAAAGACAGAGAAGAATATAAAACTATAGAGAATACAACCTCAACTATTTAAACATATGTATAAGGTTATGTATTTTACTAGCAAAGAAAAAATATATACTGGTAGAAAATGGCCATCATGTCAACTGTCAATAGTGGTTATATTAGGTAGAGAAATTATGGGAGACTAATTTTTTTTCTTTTTGCTTTTCTGTACTTTACTAATTTTCTCAACAATGGTTGCTTGTGAGTTTTATAATAAAAAAAGTTTTTAAAATTTTTCCAACATGGAAAGTTATATTTCTTTATAAACTAAAAACAAAAACAAAACTTCCTATTTGAATACCTTTGACTTTTACTGCAGACTTACAGACCCTTGAAAGAAAAGGCAATCCCCTCCCACTAGTTTTGGTGTCATTCTCCCCATCTTTCCCTTCACTTCCACCTTGGTCTTTTTTCTACTTCCCACCTTGGCTAGTGGTCTCCACCCAAAATGCTTGCTTGGCTTAATTGTTAGAATTCAGGGCAAAAGAGATCCCGAATTGCTAATCTAAACTAAGGTTATACATGTGGGAAATAACAAAGAGAAACCAGGTAGTAAATAAGATTTGGAGGACTTAAAATACCCAGACTTTAATTCCTCTAAGTTTATAGTTATTAATCATGTTTTTTTATTATATTATCTCTTAACATTTAATTTCTAAATACAATGTTTATGAGGAAAAGAGAAAAGAGCTTGGCTTCTTTCCTCACCAAATTGTTGTTCTTATCATCTTCCAGACATTCCAAAACTGATGTCAGATTTAGCTCATCAGAGTCTACAAACCATATTGGTGAAGAAGATGAATAGGATTCCTGTTTAACCCAGAGACACCTATGTTAAATGTTTACACACAGCCTAACCCAAATATGCAATTAAACCACATCACTAAAGGGCAAGATGACCACGGATTTAAACAAAATGTATCGGAGGAAAAGGCAACACATTAAAACCCATGTGAGGAGCTGGACTTCTGAGACAGCCATTCTCCTTGCATAGCACTGTCTGCTGCCACAGCTCATAGAAGTCAACAATTTTCTTCAAGAATGGTAGGCAGCCTCTAAATGGCCCTGATCAC